>NC_000006.12:58553888-58853888 GCF_000001405.40 Homo sapiens
AGAATTCTCAAACACTACTATGTGATGTTTGCATGCAAGTCACAGAGTGCAACATTCCTCTTGATAGAGCAGTTGGGAAACACTCCTTTTGTAGAATTTGCAATGGGATATTTGGACTTCTTTGAGGCCTTCATTGGAAACGGGATTTCTTCGTATGAATCTAGACAGAAGAATTCTCAGAAACTTCCTTGTGATGTGTGCATTCAACTCAGCGAGTGGCACTTTCCTTTGGATACAGCAGTTTTGAAACACTGTTTTTGTAGTATTTCCAAGCGGATATTTAGAGCGCCTTGAAGCCTATGCTAGAAATGGAAATATCTCCCCATAAAACCAAGACAGAAGCAATCTCAGAAACTAATGTGTGATGGCTGCATTCCACACACACGGTGGACCATTTCTCTTGATAGAGCAGTTTTGAAACACTCTTTCTGTAGAATCTGCAAGTGGATAATTGGACCTCCTAGAGGCCTTCGTTGGAAACGGGATTTCTTCATCTAAACCTACAGAGAAGAATTCTCAGTAACTTCTTCGGATGTGTGCATTCGACTCACAGAATGGAACATTCCCTTTATAGAGCAGTTTTGAGACACCGTTTTTGTAGAATTACCAAGTGGATATTTAGAGCACTTGGAAGTCTCTGCTAGAAAAGGAAACATCTTCATGTAAAAAGTAGATAGAATCGTTCTCAGAAAGTGCTTAGTGACGTGTGTGTTCAACTCACAGAGTTTAACGTTTCTTTTGATAGAGCGTTTCTGAAACACCCTTCTTGTAGTAGCTGCAAGTGGATATTTGGACCTATTTGAGGCCTTCTTTGTAAACGGGATTTCTTCATGTAACTCTAGATTGAAGAATTCTCAGAAACTCCTTTGTGATGTGTGCATTCAATTCAAAGAGTGAAACCTCCCTTTTCACAGAGCAGTTTTGAAACACTGTTTTTGTAGGATTTCCAAGGGGATATTTATATCGCATTGAGCCTACGGCAGAAAAAGAAACATCTTCCTATAAAAACTAGACAGAATGATTCTCAGAATCTGCTTTGCGATGTGTGCATTCAACCCACAGAGTAAAACTTTTCTTTTGATAGAGCAGTTTTGAAACACTCTTTTTGTAGTATTTGCATGTGTATATTTAGAGCGCGTTGAAGCCCACAGTAGAAAAGGAGATAACTTCACCAAAAACCTAGACGGAAGCAATCTCAGAAACTACTTTGTGATGTGTACATTCAACTCACAGAGTGGAACTTTCCCCTTTACAGAGCAGTGTTGAAACACTCTTTTTGTAGAAACTGCAGGTGGATATTTGGACCTCTTTGAGGCCTTCGTTGGAAACGGGATTTCTTCCTATAACCCTAGACAGAAGAATTTTCAGAAACCTCATTGTGATGTGTGCGTTCACCTCACAGAGTGGAGTCTTCCGTTTGATAGAGAAGTTTTGAAACCCTGTTCTTGTAGTATCTCCAAGTGGATATTTAGACCACTTTGAAGCCTATGATAGAAAAGGAAACATCTTCATGGAAAACATAGATAGAATCATTCTCAGAAACAACTTTGTGATGTGTGCGTTGAACTCACCGTCTTTAACCTTTCTTTTGGTAGAGAAGTTTTGAAACACTCTCTTTGTAAAGTCTACAAGTGGATATTTTGAGCCCTTGGAGGCATTCTTTGGAAAAGGGAATGTCTTCACATATAAGGCAGACAGAAGTGTTCTCAGAAACTGCTTTGTGATGTCTGTGTTCAACTCACAGAGTTTAACATTTCCTTTGAGAGAGCGGTTTAGTAACACTCTCTTTGTAGAATTTGGAAATGTATACTAAGAGCGCTTTGAGGCCTATGGTAGAAAAGGAAATATCTTTCCATAAAAGCTAGACAGAAGCAATCTCAGAAACTCCTTTGTGATGTCTGCATTCAACTCACCGAGTGGAACATTCCTCTTGATAGAGCAGTTTGGAAACACTCTTTCTGTAGAATCAGCTTGTTTGTATTTGGACCTCCTTGAGGCCTTCGTTGGAAACGGGTTTTCATCTTATAAACCCAGACAGAAGAATTCTCAGAGCCTTCTTCGTGATGTGTGCTTTAAACTCACCGAGATAAAGATTTCTCTTGATAGAGCAATTTGGAAACACTCTTTTTGTAGAATTTGCAAGGGTACATTGAGAGCGCTTTCAGGCCTATGGTAGAAAAGGGAATATCTTTCCATAAAAGGTACACAGAAGCAATCTCAGAAACTACTTTGTGATGTGTGCATTCAACTCACCGAGTGCAACATTGCTCTTGACCGAGCAGTTTGGAAACATTGTTTCTGTAGAATCTGCAAGTGGATATTTGGACCTCTTTGAGGCCTTCGTTGGAAACGGGATTTCTTCCAATAAACCCAGACAGAAGAATTCTCAGAGATTTCTTTGTGATGTGTGAATTCAACTCACAGTGTGGATCCTTCCTTTTGATAGAGCAGTTTTGAAACACTGTTTTTGTAGTATTTCCAAGCGGATATTTGGAACGCCTTGAAGCGTATGGTAGAAAAGGAAATATCTTCCCATAAAACCTAGACAGAACCAATCTCAGAAACGACTTTGTGATGTCTGCATTCAACTCACAGAGTTGAACATTTCTCTGGATAGAGCAGTTTTGAAACCCTCTTTCTGAAGGATCTGCAAGTGGATATTTGGAACTCCTTTGGGTCTTCGTTGGAAACGGGATTTCTTCGTATAAATCTAGACAGAAGAATTCTCCGAAACTTCTTTGGTTGTGTGCATTCAAGTCACAGAGTGGAACCTTCCTTTGGATAGAGCAGTTTGAAACGCTGTGGTTGTAGTATTTCCAAGCGGATATTAGAGCGCCTTGAAGCCTATGGTAGAAAAGGAAATATCTTCCCATAAAACCTAGACGGAAGCAATCTCAGAAGCTACTGTGTAATGGCTGCATTCCACACACACGGTGGAACATTTCTCTTGATAGAGCAGTTTTGAAACACTCTTTCTGTAGAATCTGCAAGTGGATAATTGGACCGCCTTGAGGCCTTCGTTGGAAACGGGATTTCTTCATGTTACGCTAGATAGAAGAATTCTCAAACACTACTATGTGATGTTTGCATTCAAGTCACAGAGTGCAACATTCCTCTTGATAGAGCAGTTGGGAAACACTCCTTTTGTAGAATTTGCAATGGGATATTTGGTCTTCTTTGAGGCCTTCGTTGGAAACGGGATTTCTTCGTATAAATCTAGACAGAAGAATTCTCAGAAACTTCCTTGTGATGTGTGCATTCAACTCAGCGAGTGGCACCTTCCTTTGGATACAGCAGTTTTGAAACACTGTTTTTGTACTATTTCCAAGCGGATATTTAGAGCGCCTTGAAGCCTATGCTAGAAATGGAAATATCTCCCCATAAAACCAAGACAGAAGCAATCCCAGAAACTAATGTGTGATGGCTGCATTCCACACACACGGTGGACCATTTCTCTTCATAGAGCAGTTTTGAAACACTCTTTCTGTAGAATCTGCAAGTGGATAATAGGACCTCCTAGAGGCCTTCGTTGGAAACGGATTTCTTCATCTAAACCTACAGAGAAGAATTCTCAGTAACTTCTTCGGATGTGTGCATTCGACTCACAGAATGGAACATTCCGTTTGATAGAGCAGTTTTGAGACACCGTTTTTGTAGAATTCCCAAGTGGATATTTAGAGCACTTTGAAGTCTCTGCTAGAAAAGGAAACATCTTCATGTAAAAAGTAGATAGAATCGTTCTCAGAAAGTGCTTAGTGACGTGTGTGTTCAACTCACAGAGTTTAACGTTTCTTTTGATAGAGCGTTTCTGAAACACCCTTCTTGTAGTAGCTGCAAGTGGATATTTGGACCTATTTGAGGCCTTCTTTGGAAACGGGATTTCTTCATGTAACTCTAGTTTGAAGAATTTTCAGAAACTCCTTTATGATGTGTGCATTCAATTCAAAGAGTGAAACGTCCCTTTTCACAGAGCAGTTTTGAAACACTGTTTTTGTAGGATTTCCAAGGGGATATTTATAGCGCATTGATCCTATGGCAGAAAAAGAAACATCTTCCTATAAAAACTAGACAGAATAATTCTCAGAATCTGCTTTGCGATGTGTGCGTTCAACTCACAGAGTAAAACTTTTCTTTTGATAGAGCAGTTTTGAAACACTCTTTTTGTAGTATTTGCATGTGTATATTTAGAGCGCATTGAAGCCCACAGTAGAGAAGGAAATAACTTCACCTAAAACCTAGACAGAAGCAATCTCAGAAACTACTTTGTGATGTGTACATTCTACTCACAGAGTGGAACTTTCCTCTTTATAGAGCAGTGTTGAAACACTCTTTTTGTAGAAACTGCAAGTGGATATGTGGACCTCTTTGAGGTCCTCGTTGGAAACGGGATTTCTTCCTATAACCCTAGACAGAAGAATTTTCAGAAACATCATTTTGATGTGTGCGTTCATCTCACAGAGTGGAGTCTTCCGTTTGATAGAGAAGTTTTGAAACCCTGTTCTTGTAGGATTTCCAAGTGGATATTTAGACCACTTTGAAGCCTATGATAGAAAAGGAAACATCTTCATGGAAAACATAGATAGAAATCATTCTCAGAAACAACTTTGTGATGTGTGCGTTGAACTCACCGTCTTTAACCTTTCTTTTGGTAGAGAAGTTTTGAAACACTCTCTTTGTAAAGTCTACAAGTGGATATTTTGAGCCCTTGGAGGCATTCTTTGGAAAAGGGAATGTCTTCACATAAAAGGCAGACAGAAGTGTTCTCAGAAACTGCTTTGTGATGTCTGTGTTCAACTCACAGAGTTTAACATTTCCTTTGAGAGAGCGGTTTAGTAACACTCTCTTTGTAGAATTTGGAAGTGTATACTAAGAGCGCTTTGAGGCCTATGGTAGAAAAGGAATTATCTTTCCATAAAAGCTAGACAGAAGCAATCTCAGAAACTCCTTTGTGATGTCTGCATTCAACTCACCGAGTGGAACATTCCTCTTGATAGAGCAGTTTGGAAACACTCTTTCTGTAGAATCAGCTTGTTTGTATTTGGACCTCCTTGAGGCCTTCGTTGGAAACGGGTTTTCATCTTATAAACCCAGACAGAAGAATTCTCAGAGTCTTCTTTGTGATGTGTGCTTTCAACTCACCGAGATAAAGATTTCTCTTGATAGAGCAATTTGGAAACACTCTTTTTGTAGAATTTGCAAGGGTACATTCAGAGCGCTTTCAGGCCTATGGTAGAAAAGGGAATATCTTTCCATAAAAGGTAGACAGAAGCAATCTCAGAAACTACTTTGTGATGTGTGCATTCAACTCACCGAGTGCAACATTCCTCTTGATAGAGCAGTTTGGAAACATTGTTTCTGTAGAATCTGCAAGTGGATATATGGACCGCTTTGAGGCCTTCGTTGGAAACGGGATTTCTTCCTATAAACCCAGACAGAAGAATTCTCAGAGATTTCTTTGTGATGTGTGAATTCAACTCACAGTGTGGATCCTTCCTTTTGATAGAGCAGTTTTGAAACACTGTTTTTGTAGTATTTCCAAGCGGATATTTGGAACGCCTTGAAGCGTATGGTAGAAAAGGAAATATCTTCCAATAAAACCTAGACAGAACCAATCTCAGAAACGACTTTGTGATGTCTGCATTCAACTCACAGAGTTGAACATTTCTCTTGATAGAGCAGTTTTGATACCCTCTTTCTGAAAGATCTGCAAGGGGATATTTGGAACTCCTTTGGGTCTTCGTTGGAAACGGGATTTCTTCGTAGAAATCTAGACAGAAGAATTCTCCGAAACTTCTTTGGTTGTGTGCATTCAAGTCACAGAGTGGAACCTTCCTTTGGATAGAGCAGTTTGAAACGCTGTGGTTGTAGTATTTCCAAGCGGATAATAGAGCGCCTTGAGGCCTATGGTAGAAAAGGAAATATCTTCCCATAAAACCTAGACGGAAGCAATCTCAGAAACTACTGTGTGATGGCTGCATTCCGCACACACGGTGGAACATTTCTCTTGATAGAGCAGTTTTGAAACACTCTTTCTGTAGAATCTGCAAGTGGATAATTGGACCGCCTTGAGGCCTTCGTTGGAAACGGGATTTCTTCATGTTACTCTAGACAGAAGAATTCTCAAACACTACTATGTGATGTTTGCATGCAAGTCACAGAGTGCAACATTCCTCTTGATAGAGCAGTTGGGAAACACTCCTTTGTAGAATTTGCAATGGGATATTTGGACTTCATTGTGGCCTTCGTTGGAAACGGGATTTGTTCGTATGAATCTAGACAGAAGAATTCTCAGAAACTTCCTTGTGATGTGTGCATTCAACTCAGCGAGTGGCACCTTCCTTTGGATACAGCAGTTTTGAAACACTGTTTTTGTACTATTTCCAAGCGGATATTTAGAGCGCCTTGAAGCCTATGCTAGAAATGGAAATATCTCCCCATAAAACCAAGACAGAAGCAATCTCAGAAACTAATGTGTGATGGCTGCATTCCACACACACGGTGGACCATTTCTCTTGATAGAGCAGTTTTGAAACACTCTTTCTGTAGAATCTGCAAGTGGATAATTGGACCTCCTAGAGGCCTTCGTTGGAAACGGGATTTCTTCATCTAAACCTACAGAGAAGAATTCTCAGTAACTTCTTCGGATGTGTGCATTCGACTCACAGAATGGAACATTCCGTTTGATAGAGCAGTTTTGAGACACCGTTTTTGTAGAATTCCCAAGTGGATATTTAGAGCACTTTGAACTCTCTGCTAGAAAAGGAAACATCTTCATGTAAAAAGTAGATAGAATCGTTCTCAGAAAGTGCTTAGTGACGTGTGCGTTCAACTCACAGAGTGTAACGTTTCTTTTGATAGAGCGTTCCTGAAACACCCTTCTTGTAGTAGCTGCAAGTGGATATTTGGACCTATTGGAGGCCTTCTTTGGAAACGGGATTTCTTCATGTAACTCTAGATTGAAGAATTCTCAGAAACTCCTTTGTGATGTGTGCATTCAATTCAAAGAGTGAAACCTCCCTTTTCACAGAGCAGTTTTGAAACACTGTTTTTGTAGGATTTCCAAGGGGATATTAATAGCGCATTGAGCCTACGGCAGAAAAAGAAACATCTTCCTATAAAAACTAGACAGAATGATTCTCAGAATCTGCTTTGCGATGTGTGCGTTCAACCCACAGAGTAAAACTTTTCTTTTGATAGAGCAGTTTTGAAACACTCTTTTTGTAGTATTTGCATGTGTATATTTAGAGCGCGTTGAAGCCCACAGTAGAAAAGGAGATAACTTCATCTAAAACCTAGACAGAAGCAATCTCAGAAACTATTTTGTGATGTGTACATTCAACTCACAGAGTGGAACTTTCCTCTTTATAGAGCAGTGTTGAAACACTCTTTTTGTAGAAACTGCAAGTGGATATTTGGACCTCTTTGAGGCCTTCTTTGGAAACGGGATTTCTTCCTATAACCCTAGACAGAGTAATTTTCAGAAACCTCATTGTGATGTGTGCGTTCATCTCACAGAGTGGAGTCTTCCGTTTGATAGAGAAGTTTTGAAACCCTGTTCTTGTAGGATTTCCAAGTGGATATTTAGACCACTTTGAAGCCTATGATAGAAAAGGAAACATCTTCATGGAAAACATAGATAGAATCATTCTCAGAAACAACTTTGTGATGTGTGCGTTGAACTCACCGTCTTTAACCTTTCTTTTGGTAGAGAAGTTTTGAAACACTCTCTTTGTAAAGTCTACAAGTGGATATTTTGAGCCCTTGGAGGCATTCTTTGGAAAAGGGAATGTCTTCACATAAAAGGCAGACAGAAGTGTTCTCAGAAACTGCTTTGTGATGTCTGTGTTCAACTCACAGAGTTTAACATTTTCCTTTGAGAGAGCGGTTTAGTAACACTCTCTTTGTAGAATTTGGAAGTGTATACTAAGAGCGCTTTGAGGCCTATGGTAGAAAAGGAAATATCTTTCCATAAAAGCTAGACAGAAGCAATCTCAGAAACTCCTTTGTGATGTCTGCATTCAACTCACCGAGTGGAACATTCCTCTTGATAGAGCAGTTTGGAAACACTCTTTCTGTAGAATCAGCTTGTTTGTATTTGGACCTCCTTGAGGCCTTCGTTGGAAACGGGTTTTCATCTTATAAACCCAGACAGAAGAATTCTCAGAGTCTTCTTTGTGATGTGTGCTTTCAACTCACCGAGATAAAGATTTCTCTTGATAGAGCAATTTGGAAACACTCTTTTTGTAGAATTTGCAAGGGTACATTGAGAGCGCTTTCAGTCCTACGGTAGAAAAGGGAATATCTTTCCATAAAAGGTAGACAGAAGCAATCTCAGAAACTACTTTGTGATGTGTGCATTCAACTCACCGAGTGCAACATTCCTCTTGATAGAGCAGTTTGGAAACATTGTTTCTGTAGAATCTGCAAGTGGATATATGGACCGCTTTGAGGCCTTCGTTGGAAACGGGATTTCTTCCTATAAACCCAGACAGAAGAATTCTCAGAGACTTCTTTGTGATGTGTGAATTCAACTCACAGTGTGGATCCTTCCTTTTGATAGAGCAGTTTTGAAACACCGTTTTTGTAGTATTTCCAAGCGGATATTTGGAACGCCTTGAAGCGTATGGTAGAAAAGGAAATATCTTCCCATAAAACCTAGACAGAACCAATCTCAGAAACGACTTTGTGATGTCTGCATTCAACTCACAGAGTTGAACATTTCTCTTGATAGAGCAGTTTTGAAACCCTCTTTCTGAAGGATCTGCAAGTGGATATTTGGAACTCCTTTGGGTCTTCGTTGGAAACGGGATTTCTTCGTATAAATCTAGACAGAAGAATTCTCCGAAACTTCTTTGGTTGTGTGCATTCAAGTCACAGAGTGGAACCTTCCTTTGGATAGAGCAGTTTGAAACGCTGTGGTTGTAGTATTTCCAAGCGGATATTAGAGCGCCTTGAGGCCTATGGTAGAAAAGGAAATATCTTCCCATAAAACCTAGACGGAAGCAATCTCAGAAACTACTGTGTGACGGCTGCATTCCACACACACGGTGGAACATTTCTCTTGATAGAGCAGTTTTGAAACACTCTTTCTGTAGAATCTGCAAGTGGATAATTGGACCGCCTTGAGGCCTTCGTTGGAAACGGGATTTCTTCATGTTACTCTAGATAGAAGAATTCTCAAACACTACTATGTGATGTTTGCATTCAAGTCACAGAGTGTAACATTCCTCTTGATAGAGCAGTTGGGAAACACTCCTTTTGTAGAATGTGCAATGGGATATTTGGACTTCTTTGAGGCCTTCGTTGGAAACGGGATTTCTTCGTATGAATCTAGACAGAAGAATTCTCAGAAACTTCCTTGTGATGTGTGCATTCAACTCAGCGAGTGGCACCTTCCTTTGGATACAGCAGTTTTGAAACACTGTTTTTGCAGTATTTCCAAGCGGATATTTAGAGCGCCTTGAAGCCTACGCTAGAAATGGAAATATCTCCACATAAAACCAAGACAGAAACAATCTCAGAAACTAATGTGTGATGGCTGCATTCCACACACACGGTGGACCATTTCTCTTGATAGAGCAGTTTTGAAACACTCTTTCTGTAGAATCTGCAAGTGGATAATTGGACCTCCTAGAGGCCTTCGTTGGAAACGGGATTTCTTCATCTAAACTTACAGAGAAGAATTCTCAGTAACTTCTTCGGATGTGTGCATTCGACTCACAGAATGGAACATTCCGTTTGATAGAGCAGTTTTGAGACACCGTTTTTGTAGAATTCCCAAGTGGATATTTAGAGCACTTTGAAGTGTCTGCTAGAAAAGGAAACATCTTCATGTAAAAAGTAGATAGAATCGTTCTCAGAAAGTGCTTAGTGACATGTGTGTTCAACTCACAGAGTTTAACGTTTCTTTTGATAGAGCGTTTCTGAAACACCCTTCTTGTAGTAGCTGCAAGTGGATATTTGGACCTATTTGAGGCCTTCTTTGGAAACGGGATTTCTTCATGTAACTCTAGATTGAAGAATTTTCAGAAACTCCTTTGTGATGTGTGCATTCAATTCAAAGAGTGAAACCTCCCTTTTCACAGAGCAGTTTTGAAACACTGTTTTTGTAGGACTTCCAAGGGGATATTTATAGCGCATTGATCCTATGGCAGAAAAAGAAACATCTTCCTATAAAAACTAGACAGAATAATTCTCAGAATCTGCTTTGCGATGTGTGCGTTCAACTCACAGAGTAAAACTTTTCTTTTGATAGAGCAGTTTTGAAACCCTCTTTTTGTAGTATTTGCATGTGTATATTTAGAGCGCATTGAAGCCCACAGTAGAAAAGGAAATAACTTCACCTAAAACCTAGACAGAAGCAATCTCCGAAACTACTTTGTGATGTGTACATTCTACTCACAGAGTGGAACTTTCCTCTTTATAGAGCAGTGTTGAAACACTCTTTTTGTAGAAACTGCAAGTGGATATGTGGACCTCTTTGAGGCCCTCGTTGGAAACGGGATTTCTTCCTATAACCCTAGACAGAAGAATTTTCAGAAACCTCATTGTGATGTGTGCGTTCATCTCACAGAGTGGAGTCTTCCGTTTGATAGAGAAGTTTTGAAACCCTGTTCTTGTAGGATTTCCAAGTGGATATTTAGACCACTTTGAAGCCTATGATAGAAAAGGAAACATCTTCATGGAAAACATAGATAGAATCATTCTCAGAAACAACTTTGTGATGTGTGCCGTTGAACTCACCGTCTTTAACCTTTCTTTTGGTAGAGAAGTTTTGAAACACTCTCTTTGTAAAGTCTACAAGTGGATATTTTGAGCCCTTGGAGGCATTCTTTGGAAAAGGGAATGTCTTCACATAAAAGGCAGACAGAAGTGTTCTCAGAAACTGCTTTGTGATGTCTGTGTTCAACTCACAGAGTTTAACATTTCCTTTGAGAGAGCGGTTTAGTAACACTCTCTTTGTAGAATTTGGAAGTGTATACTAAGAGCCGCTTTGAGGCCTATGGTAGAAAAGGAAATATCTTTCCATAAAAGCTAGACAGAAGCAATCTCAGAAACTCCTTTGTGATGTCTGCATTCAACTCACCGAGTGGAACATTCCTCTTGATAGAGCAGTTTGGAAACACTCTTTCTGTAGAATCAGCTTGTTTGTATTTGGACCTCCTTGAGGCCTTCGTTGGAAACGGGTTTTCATCTTATAAACCCAGACAGAAGAATTCTCAGAGTCTTCTTTGTGATGTGTGCTTTCAACTCACCGAGATAAAGATTTCTCTTGATAGAGCAATTTGGAAACACTCTTTTTGTAGAATTTGCAAGGGTACATTCAGAGCGCTTTCAGGCCTATGGTAGAAAAGGGAATATCTTTCCATAAAAGGTAGACAGAAGCAATCTCAGAAACTACTTTGTGATGTGTGCATTCAACTCACCGAGTGCAACATTCCTCTTGATAGAGCAGTTTGGAAACATTGTTTCTGTAGAATCTGCAAGTGGATATATGGACCGCTTTGAAGCCTTCGTTGGAAACGGGATTTCTTCCTATAAACCCAGACAGAAGAATTCTCAGAGACTTCTTTGTGATGTGTGAATTCAACTCACAGTGTGAATCCTTCCTTTTGATAGAGCAGTTTTGAAACACCGTTTTTGTAGTATTTCCAAGCGGATATTTGGAACGCCTTGAAGCGTAAGGTATAAAAGGAAATATCTTCCCATAAAACCTAGACAGAACCCATCTCAGAAACGACTTTGTGATGTCTGCATTCAACTCACAGAGTTGAACATTTCTCTTGATAGAGCAGTTTTGAAACCCTCTTTCTGAAGGATCTGCAAGTGGATATTTGGAACTCCTTTGGGTCTTCGTTGGAAACGGGATTTCTTCGTATAAATCCAGACAGAAGAATTCTCCGAAACTTCTTTGGTTGTGTGCATTCAAGTCACAGAGTGGAACCTTCCTTTGGATAGAGCAGTTTGAAACGCTGTGGTTGTAGTATTTCCAAGCGGATATTAGAGCGCCTTGAGGCCTATGGTAGAAAAGGAAATATCTTCCCATAAAACCTAGACGGAAGCAATCTCAGAAACTACTGTGTGATGGCTGCATTCCACACACACGGTGGAACATTTCTCTTGATAGAGCAGTTTTGAAACACTCTTTCTGTAGAATCTGCAAGTGGATAATTGGACCGCCTTGAGGCCTTCGTTGGAAACGGGATTTCTTCATGTTACTCTAGACAGAAGAATTCTCAAACACTGCTATGTGATGTTTGCATGCAAGTCACACAGTGCAACATTCCTCTTGATAGAGCAGTTGGGAAACACTCCTTTTGTAGAATTCGCAATGGGATATTTGGACTTCTTTGAGGCCTTCGTTGGAAACGGGATTTCTTCGTATGAATCTAGACAGAAGAATTCTCAGAAACTTTCCTTGTGATGTGTGCATTCAACTCAGCGAATGGCACCTTCCTTTGGATACAGCAGTTTTGAAACACTGTTTTTGTAGTATTTCCAAGCGGATATTTAGAGCGCCTTGAAGCCTACGCTAGAAATGGAAATATCTCCCCATAAAACCAAGACAGAAGCAATCTCAGAAACTAATGTGTGATGGCTGCATTCCACACACACGGTGGACCATTTCTCTTGATAGAGCAGTTTTGAAACACTCTTTCTGTAGAATCTGCAAGTGGATAATTGGACCTCCTAGAGGCCTTCGTTGGAAACGGGATTTCTTCATCTAAACCTACAGAGAAGAATTCTCAGTAACTTCTTCGGATGTGTGCATTCGACTCACAGAATGGAACATTCCCGTTGATAGAGCAGTTTTGAGACACCGTTTTTGTAGAATTCCCAAGTGGATATTTAGAGCACTTTGAAGTCTCTGCTAGAAAAGGAAACATCTTCATGTAAAAAGTAGATAGAATCGTTCTCAGAAAGTGCTTAGTGACGTGTGCGTTCAACTCACAGAGTGTAACGTTTCTTTTGATAGAGCGTTCCTGAAACACCCTTCTTGTAGTAGCTGCAAGTGGATATTTGGACCTACTTGAGGCCTTCTTTGGAAACGGGATTTCTTCATGTAACTCTAGATTGAAGAATTTTCAGAAACTCCTTTGTGATGTGTGCATTCAATTCAAAGAGTGAAACCTCCCTTTTCACAGAGCAGTTTTGAAACACTGTTTTTGTAGGACTTCCAAGGGGATATTTATAGCGCATTGATCCTATAGCAGAAAAAGAAACATCTTCCTATAAAAACTAGACAGAATAATTCTCAGAATCTGCTTTGCCATGTGTGCGTTCAACTCACAGAGTAAAACTTTTCCTTTGATAGAGCAGTCTTGAAACACTCTTTTTGTAGTATTTGCATGTGTATATTTAGAGCGCATTGAAGCCCACAGTAGAAAAGGAAATAACTTCACCTAAAACCTAGACAGAAGCAATCTCAGAAACTAATTTGTGATGTGTACATTCAACTCACAGAGTGGAACTTTCCTCTTTATAGAGCAGTGTTGAAACACTCTTTTTGTAGAAACTGCAAGTGGATATTTGGACCTCTTTGAGGCCTTCGTTGGAAACGGGATTTCTTCCTATAACCCTAGACAGAAGAATTTTCAGAAACCTCATTGTGATGTGTGCGTTCATCTCACAGAGTGGAGTCTTCCGTTTGATAGAGAAGTTTTGAAACCCTGTTCTTGTAGGATTTCCAAGTGGATATTTAGACCACTTTGAAGCCTATGATAGAAAAGGAAACATCTTCATGGAAAACATAGATAGAATCATTCTCAGAAACAACTTTGTGATGTGTGCGTTGAACTCGCCGTCTTTAACCTTTCTTTTGGTAGAGAAGGTTTGAAACACTCTCTTTGTAAAGTCTACAAGTGGATATTTTGAGCCCTTGGAGGCATTCTTTGGAAAAGGGAATGTCTTCACGTAAAAGGCAGACAGAAGTGTTCTCAGAAACTGCTTTGTGATGTCTGTGTTCAACTCACAGAGTTTAACATTTCCTTTGATAGAGCAGTTCAGTAACACTCTCTTTGTAGAATTTGGAAGTGTATACTAAGAGCGCTTTGAGGCCTATGGTAGAAAAGGAAATATCTTTCCATAAAAGCAAGACAAAAGCAATCTCAGAAACTCCTTTGTGATGTCTGCATTCAACTCACCGAGTGGAACATTCCTCTTGATAGAGCAGTTTGGAAACACTCTTTCTGTAGAATCAGCTTGTTTGTATTTGGACCTCCGTGAGGCCTTCGTTGGAAACGGGTTTTCATCTTATAAACCCAGACAGAAGAATTCTCAGAGTCTTCTTTGTGATGTGTGCTTTCAACTCACCGAGATAAAGATTTCTCTTGATAGAGCAATTTGGAAACACTCTTTTTGTAGAATTTGCAAGGGTACATTGAGAGCGCTTTCAGGCCTATGGTAGAAAAGGGAATATCTTTCCATAAAAGGTAGACAGAAGCAATCTCAGAAACTACTTTGTGATGTGTGCATTCAACTCACCGAGTGCAACATTCCTCTTGATAGAGCAGTTTGGAAACATTGTTTCTGTAGAATCTGCAAGTGGATATATGGACCGCTTTGAGGTCTTCGTTGGAAACGGGATTTCTTCCTAGTAAACCCAGACGAGAAGAATTCTCAGAGACTTCTTTGTGATGTGTGAATTCAACTCACAGTGTGGATCCTTCCTTTTGATAGAGCAGTTTCGAAACACTGTTTTTGTAGTATTTCCAAGCGGATATTTGGAACGCCTTGAAGCGTATGGTTGAAAAGGAAATATCTTCCCATAAAACCTAGACAGAACCAATCTCAGAAACGACTTTGTGATGTCTGCATTCAACTCACAGAGTTGAACATTTCTCTTGATAGAGCAGATTTGAAACCCTCTTTCTGAAGGATCTGCAAGTGGATATTTGGAACTCCTTTGGGTCTTCGTTGGAAACGGGATTTCTTCGTATAAATCTAGACAGAAGAATTCTCCGAAACTTCTTTGGTTGTGTGCATTCAAGTCACAGAGTGGAACCTTCCTTTGGATAGAGCAGTTTGAAACGCTGTGGTTGTAGTATTTCCAAGCGGATATTAGAGCGCCTTGAGGCCTATGGTAGAAAAGGAAATATCTTCCCATAAAACCTAGACGGAAGCAATCTCAGAAACTACTGTGTGATGGCTGCATTCCACACACACGGTGGAACATTTCTCTTGATAGAGCAGTTTTGAAACACTCTTTCTGTAGAATCTGCAAGTGGATAATTGGACCGCCTTGAGGCCTTCGTTGGAAACGGGATTTCTTCATGTTACTCTAGACAGAAGAATTCTCAAACACTACTATGTGATGTTTGCATTCAAGTCACAGAGTGCAACATTCCTCTTGATAGAGCAGTTGGGAAACACTCCTTTTGTAGAATTTGCAATGGGATATTTGGACTTCTTTGAGGCCTTCGTTGGAAACGGGATTTCTTCGTATGAATCTAGACAAAAGAATTCTCAGAAACTTCCTTGTGATGTGTGCATTCAACTCAGCGAGTGGCACCTTCCTTTGGATACAGCAGTTTTGAAACACTGTTTTTGTAGTATTTCCAAGCGGATATTTAGAGCGCCTTGAAGCCTACGCTAGAAATGGAAATATCTCCACATAAAACCAAGACAGAAGCAATCTCAGAAACTAATGTGTGATGGCTGCATTCCACACACACGGTGGACCATTTCTCTTGATAGAGCAGTTTTGAAACACTCTTTCTGTAGAATCTGCAAGTGGATAATTGGACCTCCTAGAGGCCTTCGTTGGAAACGGGATTTCTTCATCTAAACCTACAGAGAAGAATTCTCAGTAACTTCTTCGGATGTGTGCATTCGACTCACAGAATGGAACATTCCGTTTGATAGAGCAGTTTTGAGACACCGTTTTTGTAGAATTCCCAAGTGGATATTTAGAGCACTTTGAAGTCTCTGCTAGAAAAGGAAACATCTTCATGTAAAAAGTAGATAGAATCGTTCTCAGAAAGCGCTTAGTGACGTGGGCGTTCAACTCACAGAGTTTAACGTTTCTTTTGATAGAGCGTTTCTGAAACACCCTTCTTGTAGTAGCTGCAAGTGGATATTTGGACCTATTTGAGGCCTTCTTTGGAAACGGGATTTCTTCATGTAACTCTAGTTTGAAGAATTTTCAGAAACTCCTTTGTGATGTGTGCATTCAATTCAAAGAGTGAAACCTCCCTTTTCACAGAGCAGTTTTGAAACACTGTTTTTGTAGGATTTCCAAGGGGATATTTATAGCGCATTGAGCCTACGGCAGAAAAATAAACATCTTCCTATAAAAACTAGACAGAATAATTCTCAGAATCTGCTTTGCGATGTGTGCGTTCAACCCACAGAGTAAAAGTTTTCTTTTGATAGAGCAGTTTTGAAACACTCTTTTTGTAGTATTTGCATGTGTATATTTAGAGCGCATTGAAGCCCACAGTAGAAAAGGAAATAACTTCACCTAAAATCTAGACAGAAGCAATCTCAGAAACTACTTTGTGATGTGTACATTCAACTCACAGAGTGGAACTTTCCTCTTTATAGAGCAGTGTTGAAACACTCTTTTTGTAGAAACTGCAAGTGGATATTTGGACCTCTTTGAGGCCTTCGTTGGAAACGGGATTTCTTCCTATAACCCTAGACAGAAGAATTTTCAGAAACCTCATTGTGATGTGTGCGTTCATCTCACAGAGTGGAGTCTTCCGTTTGATAGAGAAGTTTTGAAACCCTGTTCTTGTAGGATTTCCAAGTGGATATTTAGACCACTTTGAAGCCTATGATAGAAAAGGAAACATCTTCATGGAAAACATAGATAGAATCATTCTCAGAAACAACTTTGTGATGTGTGCGTTGAACTCACAGTCTTTAACCTTTCTTTAGGTAGAGAAGTTTTGAAACACTCTCTTTGTAAAGTCTACAAGTGGATATTTTGGGCCCTTGGAGGCATTCTTTGGAAAAGGGAATGTCTTCACATAAAAGGCAGACAGAAGTGTTCTCAGAAACTGCTTTGTGATGTCTGTGTTCAACTCACAGAGTTTAACATTTCCTTTGATAGAGCAGTTTAGTAACACTCTCTTTGTAGAACTTGGAAGTGTATACTAAGAGCGCTTTGAGGCCTATGGTAGAAAAGGAAATATCTTTCCATAAAAGCTAGACAGAAGCAATCTCAGAAACTCCTTTGTGATGTCTGCATTCAACTCACCGAGTGGAACATTCCTCTTGATAGAGCAGTTTGGAAACACTCTTTCTGTAGAATCAGCTTGTTTGTATTTGGACCTCCTTGAGGCCTTCGTTGGAAACGGGTTTTCATCTTATAAACCCAGACAGAAGAATTCTCAGAGTCTTCTTTGTGATGTGTGCTTTCAACTCACCGAGATAAAGATTTCTCTTGATAGAGCAATTTGGAAACACTCTTTTTGTAGAATTTGCAAGGGTACATTGAGAGCGCTTTCAGGCCTATGGTAGAAAAGGGAATATCTTTCCATAAAAGGTAGACAGAAGCAATCTCAGAAACTACTTTGTCATGTGTGCATTCAACTCACCGAGTGCAACATTCCCCTTGATAGAGCAGTTTGGAAACATTGTTTCTGTAGAATCTGCAAGTGGATATATGGACCGCTTTGAGGCCTTCGTTGGAAACGGGATTTCTTCCTATAAACCCAGACAGAAGAATTCTCAGACATTTCTTTGTGATGTGTGAATTCAACTCACAGTGTGGATCCTTCCTTTTGATAGAGCAGTTTTGAAACACTGTTTTTGTAGTATTTCCAAGCAGATATTTGGAACGCCTTGAAGCGTATAGTAGAAAAGGAAATATCTTCCCATAAAACCTAGACAGAACCCATCTCAGAAACGACTTTGTGATGTCTTGTCTGCATTCAACTCACAGAGTTGAACATTTCTCTTGATAGAGCAGTTTTGAAACCCTCTTTCTGAAGGATCTGCAAGTGGATATTTGGAACTCCTTTGGGTCTTCGTTGGAAACGGGATTTCTTCGTATAAATCCAGACAGAAGAATTCTCCGAAACTTCTTTGGTTGTGTGCATTCAAGTCACAGAGTGGAACCTTCCTTTGGATAGAGCAGTTTGAAACGCTGTGGTTGTAGTATTTCCAAGCGGATATTAGAGCGCCTTGAGGCCTATGGTAGAAAAGGAAATATCTTCCCATAAAACCTAGACGGAAGCAATCTCAGAAACTACTGTGTGATGGCTGCATTCCACACACACGGTGGAACATTTCTCTTGATAGAGCAGTTTTGAAACACTCTTTCTGTAGAATCTGCAAGTGGATAATTGGACCGCCTTGAGGCCTTCGTTGGAAACGGGATTTCTTCATGTTACTCTAGACAGAAGAATTCTCAAACACTGCTATGTGATGTTTGCATTCAAGTCACAGAGTGCAACATTCCTCTTGATAGAGCAGTTGGGAAACACTCCTTTTGTAGAATTTGCAATGGGATATTTGGACTTCTTTGAGGCCTTCGTTGGAAACGGGATTTCTTCGTATGAATCTAGACAGAAGAATTCTCAGAAACTTCCTTGTGATGTGTGCATTCAACTCAGCGAGTGGCACCTTCCTTTGGATACAGCAGTTTTGAAACACTGTTTTTGTACTATTTCCAAGCGGATATTTAGAGCGCCTTGAAGCCTATGCTAGAAATGGAAATATCTCCCCATAAAACCAAGACAGAAGCAATCTCAGAAACTAATGTGTGATGGCTGCATTCCACACACACGGTGGACCATTTCTCTTGATAGAGCAGTTTTGAAACACTCTTTCTGTAGAATCTGCAAGTGGATAATTGGACCTCCTAGAGGCCTTCGTTGGAAACGGGATTTCTTCATCTAAACCTACAGAGAAGAATTCTCAGTAACTTCTTCGGATGTGTGCATTCGACTCACAGAATGGAACATTCCCTTTGATAGAGCAGTTTTGAGACACCGTTTTTGTAGAATTCCCAAGTGGATATTTAGAGCACTTTGAAGTCTCTGCTAGAAAAGGAAACATCTTCATGTAAAAAGTAGATAGAATCGTTCTCAGAAAGTGCTTAGTGACGTGTGCGTTCAACTCACAGAGTTTAACGTTTCTTTTGATAGAGCGTTTCTGAAACACCCTTCTTGTAGTAGCTGCAAGTGGATATTTGGACCTATTTGAGGCCTTCTTTGGAAACGGGATTTCTTCATGTAACTCTAGTTTGAAGAATTTTCAGAAACTCCTTTGTGATGTGTGCATTCAATTCAAATAGTGAAACGTCCCTTTTCACAGAGCAGTTTTGAAACACTGTTTTTGTAGGATTTCCAAGGGGATATTTATAGCACATTCAGCCTACGGCAGAAAAAGAAACATCTTCCTATAAAAACTAGACAGAATAATTCTCAGAATCTGCTTTGCGATGTGTGCGTTCAACTCACAGAGTAAAACTTTTCTTTTGATAGAGCAGGTTTGAAACACTCTTTTTGTAGTATTTGCATGTGTATATTTAGAGCGCATTGAAGCCCACAGTAGAAAAGGAAATAACTTCACCTAAAACCTAGACAGAAGCAATCTCAGAAACTACTTTGTGATGTGTACATTCAACTCACAGAGTGGAACTTTCCTCTTTATAGAGCAGTGTTGAAACACTCTTTTTGTAGAAACTGCAAGTGGATATTTGGACCTCTTTGAGGCCTTCGTTGGAAACGGGATTTCTTCCTATAACCCTAGACAGAAGAATTTTCAGAAACCTCATTGTGATGTGTGCGTTCATCTCACAGAGTGGAGTCTTCCGTTTGATAGAGAAGTTTTGAAACCCTGTTCTTGTAGGATTTCCAAGTGGATATTTAGACCACTTTGAAGCCTATGATAGAAAAGGAAACATCTTCATGGAAAACATAGATAGAATCATTCTCAGAAACAACTTTGTGATGTGTGCGTTGAACTCACCGTCTTTAACCTTTCTTTTGGTAGAGAAGTTTTGAAACACTCTCTTTGTAAAGTCTACAAGTGGATATTTTGAGCCCTTGGAGGCATTCTTTGGAAAAGGGAATGTCTTCACATAAAAGGCAGACAGAAGTGTTCTCAGAAACTGCTTTGTGATGTCTGTGTTCAACTCACAGAGTTTAACATTTCCTTTGAGAGAGCGGTTTAGTAACACTCTCTTTGTAGAATTTGGAAGTGTATACTAAGAGCGCTTTGAGGCCTATGGTAGAAAAGGAAATATCTTTCCATAAAAGCTAGACAGAAGCAATCTCAGAAACTCCTTTGTGATGTCTGCATTCAACTCACCGAGTGGAACATTCCTCTTGATAGAGCAGTTTGGAAACACTCTTTCTGTAGAATCAGCTTGTTTGTATTTGGACCTCCTTGAGGCCTTCGTTGGAAACGGGTTTTCATCTTATAAACCCAGACAGAAGAATTCTCAGAGTCTTCTTTGTGATGTGTGCTTTCAACTCACCGAGATAAAGATTTCTCTTGATAGAGCAATTTGGAAACACTCTTTTTGTAGAATTTGCAAGGGTACATTGAGAGCGCTTTCAGGCCTATGGTAGAAAAGGGAATATCTTTCCATAAAAGGTAGACAGAAGCAATCTCAGAAACTACTTTGTGATGTGTGCATTCAACTCACCGAGTGCAACATTCCTCTTGACCGAGCAGTTTGGAAACATTGTTTCTGTAGAATCTGCAAGTGGATATTTGGACCTCTTTGAGGCCTTCGTTGGAAACGGGATTTCTTCCTATAAACCCAGACAGAAGAATTCTCAGAGACTTCTTTGTGATGTGTGAATTCAACTCACAGTGTGGATCCTTCCTTTTGATAGAGCAGTTTTGAAACACTGTTTTTGTAGTATTTCCAAGCGGATATTTGGAACGCCTTGAAGCGTATGGTAGAAAAGGAAATATCTTCCCATAAAACCTAGACAGAACCCATCTCAGAAACGACTTTGTGATGTCTGCATTCAACTCACAGAGTTGAACATTTCTCTTGATAGAGCAGTTTTGAAACCCTCTTTCTGAAGGATCTGCAAGTGGATATTTGGAACTCCTTTGGGTCTTCGTTGGAAACGGGATTTCTTCGTATAAATCCAGACAGAAGAATTCTCCGAAACTTCTTTGGTTGTGTGCATTCAAGTCACAGAGTGGAACCTTCCTTTGGATAGAGCAGTTTGAAACGCTGTGGTTGTAGTATTTCCAAGCGGATATTAGAGCGCCTTGAAGCCTATGGTAGAAAAGGAAATATCTTCCCATAAAACCTAGACGGAAGCAATCTCAGAAACTACTGTGTGATGGCTGCATTCCACACACACGGTGGAACATTTCTCTTGATAGAGCAGTTTTGAAACACTCTTTCTGTAGAATCTGCAAGTGGATAATTGGACCGCCTTGAGGCCTTCGTTGGAAACGGGATTTCTTCATGTTACTCTAGACAGAAGAATTCTCAAACACTGCTATGTGATGTTTGCATTCAAGTCACAGAGTGCAACATTCCTCTTGATAGAGCAGTTGGGAAACACTCCTTTTGTAGAATTTGCAATGGGATATTTGGACTTCTTTGAGGCCTTCGTTGGAAACGGGATTTCTTCGTATGAATCTAGACAGAAGAATTCTCAGAAACTTCCTTGTGATGTGTGCATTCAACTCAGCGAGTGGCACCTTCCTTTGGATACAGCAGTTTTGAAACACTGTTTTTGTACTATTTCCAAGCGGATATTTAGAGCGCCTTGAAGCCTATGCTAGAAATGGAAATATCTCCCCATAAAACCAAGACAGAAGCAATCTCAGAAACTAATGTGTGATGGCTGCATTCCACACACACGGTGGACCATTTCTCTTGATAGAGCAGTTTTGAAACACTCTTTCTGTAGAATCTGCAAGTGGATAATTGGACCTCCTAGAGGCCTTCGTTGGAAACGGGATTTCTTCATCTAAACCTACAGAGAAGAATTCTCAGTAACTTCTTCGGATGTGTGCATTCGACTCACAGAATGGAACATTCCCTTTGATAGAGCAGTTTTGAGACACCGTTTTTGTAGAATTCCCAAGTGGATATTTAGAGCACTTTGAAGTCTCTGCTAGAAAAGGAAACATCTTCATGTAAAAGTAGATAGAATCGTTCTCAGAAGTGCTTAGTGACGTGTGCGTTCAACTCACAGAGTTTAACGTTTCTTTTGATAGAGCGTTTCTGAAACACCCTTCTTGTAGTAGCTGCAAGTGGATATTTGGACCTATTTGAGGCCTTCTTTGGAAACGGGATTTCTTCATGTAACTCTAGTTTGAAGAATTTTCAGAAACTCCTTTGTGATGTGTGCATTCAATTCAAAGAGTGAAACCTCCCTTTTCACAGAGCAGTTTTGAAACACTGTTTTTGTAGGACTTCCAAGGGGATATTTATAGCGCATTGAGCCTATGGCAGAAAAAGAAACATCTTCCTATAAAAACTAGACAGAATAATTCTCACAATCTGCTTTGCGATGTGTGCGTTCAACTCACAGAGTAAAACTTTTCTTTTGATAGAGCAGTTTTGAAACACTCTCTTTGTAGTATTTGCATGTGTATATTTAGAGCACATTGAAGCCCACAGTAGAGAAGGAAATAACTTCACCTAAAACCTAGACAGAAGCAATCTCAGAAACTACTTTGTGATGTGTACATTCAACTCACAGAGTGGAACTTTCCTCTTTATAGAGCAGTGTTGAAACACTCTTTTTGTAGAAACTGCAAGTGGATATTTGGACCTCTTTGAGGCCTTCGTTGGAAACGGGATTTCTTCCTATAACCCTAGACAGAAGAATTTTCAGAAACCTCATTGTGATGTGTGCGTTCATCTCACAGAGTGGAGTCTTCCGTTTGATAGAGAAGTTTTGAAACCCTGTTCTTGTAGGATTTCCAAGTGGATATTTAGACCACTTTGAAGCCTATGATAGAAAAGGAAACATCTTCATGGAAAACATAGATAGAATCATTCTCAGAAACAACTTTGTGATGTGTGCGTTGAACTCACCGTCTTTAACCTTTCTTTTGGTAGAGAAGTTTTGAAACACTCTCTTTGTAAAGTCTACAAGTGGATATTTTGAGCCCTTGGAGGCATTCTTTGGAAAAGGGAATGTCTTCACATAAAAGGCAGACAGAAGTGTTCTCAGAAACTGCTTTGTGATGTCTGTGTTCAACTCACAGAGTTTAACATTTCCTTTGAGAGAGCGGTTTAGTAACACTCTCTTTGTAGAATTTGGAAGTGTATACTAAGAGCGCTTTGAGGCCTATGGTAGAAAAGGAAATATCTTTCCATAAAAGCTAGACAGAAGCAATCTCAGAAACTCCTTTGTGATGTCTGCATTCAACTCACCGAGTGGAACATTCCTCTTGATAGAGCAGTTTGGAAACACTCTTTCTGTAGAATCAGCTTGTTTGTATTTGGACCTCCCTTGAGGCCTTCGTTGGAAACGGGTTTTCATCTTATAAACCCAGACAGAGAATTCTCAGAGTCTTCTTTGTGATGTGTGCTTTCAACTCACCGAGATAAAGATTTCTCTTGATAGAGCAATTTGGAAACACTCTTTTTGTAGAATTTGCAAGGGTACATTGAGAGCGCTTTCAGGCCTATGGTAGAAAAGGGAATATCTTTCCATAAAAGGTAGACAGAAGCAATCTCAGAAACTACTTTGTGATGTGTGCATTCAACTCACCGAGTGCAACATTCCTCTTGATAGAGCAGTTTGGAAACATTGTTTCTGTAGAATCTGCAAGTGGATATATGGACCGCTTTGAGGCCTTCGTTGGAAACGGGATTTCTTCCTATAAACCAAACAGAAGAATTCTCAGAGATTTCTTTGTGATGTGTGAATTCAACTCACAGTGTGGATCCTTCCTTTTGATAGAGCAGTTTTGAAACACCGTTTTTGTAGTATTTCCAAGCGGATATTTGGAACGCCTTGAAGCGTATGGTAGAAAAGGAAATATCTTCCCATAAAACCTAGACAGAACCCATCTCAGAAACGACTTTGTGATGTCTGCATTCAACTCACAGAGTTGAACATTTCTCTTGATAGAGCAGTTTTGAAACCCTCTTTCTGAAGGATCTGCAAGTGGATATTTGGAACTCCTTTGGGTCTTCGTTGGAAACGGGATTTCTTCGTATAAATCTAGACAGAAGAATTCTCCGAAACTTCTTTGGTTGTGTGCATTCAAGTCACAGAGTGGAACCTTCCTTTGGATAGAGCAGTTTGAAACGCTGTGGTTGTAGTATTTCCAAGCGGATATTAGAGCGCCTTGAGGCCTATGGTAGAAAAGGAAATATCTTCCCATAAAACCTAGACGGAAGCAATCTCAGAAACTACTGTGTGATGGCTGCATTCCACACACACGGTGGAACATTTCTCTTGATAGAGCAGTTTTGAAACACTCTTTCTGTAGAATCTGCAAGTGGATAATTGGACCGCCTTGAGGCCTTCGTTGGAAACGGGATTTCTTCATGTTACTCTAGACAGAAGAATTCTCAAACACTGCTATGTGATGTTTGCATTCAAGTCACAGAGTGCAACATTCCTCTTGATAGAGCAGTTGGGAAACACTCCTTTTGTAGAATTTGCAATGGGATATTTGGACTTCTTTGAGGCCTTCGTTGGAAACGGGATTTCTTCGTATGAATCTAGACAGAAGAATTCTCAGAAACTTTCCTTGTGATGTGTGCATTCAACTCAGCGAGTGGCACCTTCCTTTGGATACAGCAGTTTTGAAACACTGTTTTTGTAGTATTTCCAAGCGGATATTTAGAGCGCCTTGAAGCCTATGCTAGAAATGGAAATATCTCCCCATAAAACCAAGACAGAAGCAATCTCAGAAACTAATGTGTGATGGCTGCATTCCACACACACGGTGGACCATTTCTCTTGATAGAGCAGTTTTGAAACACTCTTTCTGTAGAATCTGCAAGTGGATAATTGGACCTCCTAGAGGCCTTCGTTGGAAACGGGATTTCTTCATCTAAACCTACAGAGAAGAATTCTCAGTAACTTCTTCGGATGTGTGCATTCGACTCACAGAATGGAACATTCCGTTTGATAGAGCAGTTTTGAGACACCGTTTTTGTAGAATTCCCAAGTGGATATTTAGAGCACTTTGAAGTCTCTGCTAGAAAAGGAAACATCTTCATGTAAAAAGTAGATAGAATCGTTCTCAGAAAGTGCTTAGTGACGTGTGCGTTCAACTCACAGAGTTTAACGTTTCTTTTGATAGAGCGTTTCTGAAACACCCTGCTTGTAGTAGCTGCAAGTGGATATTTGGACCTATTTGAGGCCTTCTTTGGAAACGGGATTTCTTCATGTAACTCTAGTTTGAAGAATTTTCAGAAACTCCTTTGTGATGTGTGCATTCAATTCAAAGAGTGAAACCTCCCTTTTCACAGAGCAGTTTTGAAACACTGTTTTTGTAGGATTTCCAAGGGGATATTTATAGCGCATTGAGCCTACGGCAGAAAAAGAAACATCTTCCTATAAAAACTAGACAGAATAATTCTCAGAATCTGCTTTGCGATGTGTGCGTTCAACCCACAGAGTAAAACTTTTCTTTTGATAGAGCAGTTTTGAAACACTCTTTTTGTAGTATTTGCATGTGTATATTTAGAGCGCATTGAAGCCCAAAGTAGAAAAGGAAATAACTTCACCTAAAACCTAGACAGAAGCAATCTCAGAAACTACTTTGTGATGTGTACATTCAACTCACAGAGTGGAACTTTCCTCTTTATAGAGCAGTGTTGAAACACTCTTTTTGTAGAAACTGCAAGTGGATATTTGGACCTCTTTGAGGCCTTCGTTGGAAACGGGATTTCTTCCTATAACCCTAGACAGAAGAATTTTCAGAAACCTCATTGTGATGTGTGCGTTCATCTCACAGAGTGGAGTCTTCCGTTTGATAGAGAAGTTTTGAAACCCTGTTCTTGTAGGATTTCCAAGTGGATATTTAGACCACTTTGAAGCCTATGATAGAAAAGGAAACATCTTCATGGAAAACATAGATAGAATCATTCTCAGAAACAACTTTGTGATGTGTGCGTTGAACTCACCGTCTTTAACCTTTCTTTTGGTAGAGAAGTTTTGAAACACTCTCTTTGTAAAGTCTACAAGTGGATATTTTGAGCCCTTGGAGGCATTCTTTGGAAAAGGGAATGTCTTCACATAAAAGGCAGACAGAAGTGTTCTCAGAAACTGCTTTGTGATGTCTGTGTTCAACTCACAGAGTTTAACATTTTCCTTTGAGAGAGCGGTTTAGTAACACTCTCTTTGTAGAATTTGGAAGTGTATACTAAGAGCGCTTTGAGGCCTATGGTAGAAAAGGAAATATCTTTCCATAAAAGCTAGACAGAAGCAATCTCAGAAACTCCTTTGTGATGTCTGCATTCAACTCACCGAGTGGAACATTCCTCTTGATAGAGCAGTTTGGAAACACTCTTCCTGTAGAATCAGCTTGTTTGTATTTGGACCTCCTTGAGGCCTTCGTTGGAAACGGGTTTTCATCTTATAAACCCAGACAGAAGAATTCTCAGAGTCTTCTTTGTGATGTGTGCTTTCAACTCACCGAGATAAAGATTTCTCTTGATAGAGCAATTTGGAAACACTCTTTTTGTAGAATTTGCAAGGGTACATTGAGAGCGCTTTCAGGCCTATGGTAGAAAAGGGAATATCTTTCCATAAAAGGTAGACAGAAGCAATCTCAGAAACTACTTTGTGATGTGTGCATTCAACTCACCGAGTGCAACATTCCTCTTGATAGAGCAGTTTGGAAACATTGTTTCTGTAGAATCTGCAAGTGGATATATGGACCGCTTTGAGGCCTTCGTTGGAAACGGGATTTCTTCCTATAAACCCAGACAGAAGAATTCTCAGAGATTTCTTTGTGATGTGTGAATTCAACTCACAGTGTGGATCCTTCCTTTTGATAGAGCAGTTTTGAAACACTGTTTTTGTAGTATTTCCAAGCGGATATTTGGAACGCTTTGAAGCGTATGGTAGAAAAGGAAATATCTTCCCATAAAACCTAGACAGAAACCCATCTCAGAAACGACTTTGTGATGTCTGCATTCAACTCACAGAGTTGAACATTTCTCTTGATAGAGCAGTTTTGAAACCCTCTTTCTGAAGGATCTGCAAGTGGATATTTGGAACTCCTTTGGGTCTTCGTTGGAAACGGGATTTCTTCGTATAAATCCAGACAGAAGAATTCTCCGAAACTTCTTTGGTTGTGTGCATTCAAGTCACAGAGTGGAACCTTCCTTTGGATAGAGCAGTTTGAAACGCTGTGGTTGTAGTATTTCCAAGCGGATATTAGAGCGCCTTGAAGCCTATGGTAGAAAAGGAAATATCTTCCCATAAAACCTAGACGGAAGCAATCTCAGAAACTACTGTGTGATGGCTGCATTCCACACACACGGTGGAACATTTCTCTTGATAGAGCAGTTTTGAAACACTCTTTCTGTAGAATCTGCAAGTGGATAATTGGACCGCCTTGAGGCCTTCGTTGGAAACGGGATTTCTTCATGTTACTCTAGACAGAAAGAATTCTCAAACACTACTATGTGATGTTTGCATTCAAGTCACAGAGTGCCACATTCCTCTTGATAGAGCAGTTGGGAAACACTCCTTTTGTAGAATCTGCAATGGGATATTTGGACTTCTTTGAGGCCTTCGTTGGAAACGGGATTTCTTCGTATGAATCTAGACAGAAGAATTCTCAGAAACTTCCTTGTGATGTGTGCATTCAACTCAGCGAGTGGCACCTTCCTTTGGATACAGCAGTTTTGAAACACTGTTTTTGTAGTATTTCCAAGCGGATATTTAGAGCGCCTTGAAGCCTATGCTAGAAAGGGAAATATCTCCCCATAAAACCAAGACAGAAGCAATCTCAGAAACTAATGTGTGATGGCTGCATTCCACACACACGGTGGCCCATTTCTCTTGATAGAGCAGTTTTGAAACACTCTTTCTGTAGAATCTGCAAGTGGATAATTGGACCTCCTAGAGGCCTTCGTTGGAAACGGGATTTCTTCATCTAAACCTACAGAGAAGAATTCTCAGTAACTTCTTCGGATGTGTGCATTCGACTCACAGAATGGAACATTCCCTTTGATAGAGCAGTTTTGAGACACCGTTTTTGTAGAATTCCCAAGTGGATATTTAGAGCACTTTGAAGTCTCTGCTAGAAAAGGAAACATCTTCATGTAAAAAGTAGATAGAATCGTTCTCAGAAAGTGCTTAGTGACGTGTGCGTTCAACTCACAGAGTTTAACGTTTCTTTTGATAGAGCGTTTCTGAAACACCCTTCTTGTAGTAGCTGCAAGTGGATATTTGGACCTATTTGAGGCCTTCTTTGGAAACGGGATTTCTTCATGTAACTCTAGATTGAAGAATTTTCAGAAACTCCTTTGTGATGTGTGCATTCAATTCAAAGTGTGAAACGTCCCTTTTCACAGAGCAGTTTTGAAACACTGTTTTTGTAGGATTTCCAAGGGGATATTTATAGCGCATTGAGCCTACGGCAGAAAAAGAAACATCTTCCTATAAAAACTAGACAGAATAATTCTCAGAATCTGCTTTGCGATGTGTGCGTTCAATTCACAGAGTAAAACTTTTCTTTTGATAGAGCAGTTTTGAAACACTCTTTTTGTAGTATTTGCATGTGTATATTTAGAGCGCATTGAAGCCCACAGTAGAAAAGGAAATAACTTCACCTAAAACCTAGACAGAAGCAATCTCAGAAACTACTTTGTGATGTGTACATTCAACTCACAGAGTGGAACTTTTCTCTTTATAGAGCAGTGTTGAAACACTCTTTTTGTAGAAACTGCAAGTGGATATTTGGACCTCTTTGAGGCCTTCGTTGGAAACGGGATTTCTTCCTATAACCCTAGACAGAAGAATTTTCAGAAACCTCATTGTGATGTGTGCGTTCATCTCACAGAGTGGAGTCTTCCGTTTGATAGAGAAGTTTTGAAACCCTGTTCTTGTAGGATTTCCAAGTGGATATTTAGACCACTTTGAAGCCTATGATAGAAAAGGAAACATCTTCATGGAAAACATAGATAGAATCATTCTCAGAAACAACTTTGTGATGTGTGCGTTGAACTCACCGTCTTTAACCTTTCTTTTGGTAGAGAAGTTTTGAAACACTCTCTTTGTAAAGTCTACAAGTGGATATTTTGAGCCCTTGGAGGCATTCTTTGGAAGAGGGAATGTCTTCACATAAAAGGCAGACAGAAGTGTTCTCAGAAACTGCTTTGTGATGTCTGTGTTCAACTCACAGAGTTTAACATTTCCTTTGAGAGAGCGGTTTAGTAACACTCTCTTTGTAGAATTTGGAAGTGTATACTAAGAGCGCTTTGAGGCCTATGGTAGAAAAGGAAATATCTTTCCATAAAAGCTAGACAGAAGCAATCTCAGAAACTCCTTTGTGATGTCTGCATTCAACTCACCGAGTGGAACATTCCTCTTGATAGAGCAGTTTGGAAACACTCTTTCTGTAGAATCAGCTTGTTTGTATTTGGACCTCCTTGAGGCCTTCGTTGGAAACGGGTTTTCATCTTATAAACCCAGACAGAAGAATTCTCAGAGTCTTCTTTGTGATGTGTGCTTTCAACTCACCGAGATAAAGATTTCTCTTGATAGAGCAATTTGGAAACACTCTTTTTGTAGAATTTGCAAGGGTACATTGAGAGCGCTTTCAGGCCTATGGTAGAAATGGGAATATCTTTCCATAAAAGGTAGACAGAAGCAATCTCAGAAACTACTTTGTGATGTGTGCATTCAACTCACCGAGTGCAACATTCCTCTTGACCGAGCAGTTTGGAAACATTGTTTCTGTAGAATCTGCAAGTGGATATTTGGACCTCTTTGAGGCCTTCGTTGGAAACGGGATTTCTTCCTATAAACCCAGACAGAAGAATTCTCAGAGACTTCTTTGTGATGTGTGAATTCAACTCACAGTGTGGATCCTTCCTTTTGATAGAGCAGTTTTGAAACACTGTTTTTGTAGTATTTCCAAGCGGATATTTGGAACGCCTTGAAGCGTATGGTAGAAAAGGAAATATCTTCCCATAAAACCTAGACAGAACCAATCTCAGAAACGACTTTGTGATGTCTGCATTCAACTCACAGAGTTGAACATTTCTCTTGATAGAGCAGTTTTGAAACCCTCTTTCTGAAGGATCTGCAAGTGGATATTTGGAACTCCTTTGGGTCTTCGTTGGAAACGGGATTTCTTCATATAAATCTAGACAGAAGAATTCTCCGAAACTTCTTTGGTTGTGTGCATTCAAGTCACAGAGTGGAACCTTCCTTTGGATAGAGCAGTTTGAAACGCTGTGGTTGTAGTATTTCCAAGCGGATATTAGAGCGCCTTGAGGCCTATGGTAGAAAAGGAAATATCTTCCCATAAAACCTAGACGGAAGCAATCTCAGAAACTACTGTGTGATGGCTGCATTCCACACACACGGTGGAACATTTCTCTTGATAGAGCAGTTTTGAAACACTCTTTCTGTAGAATCTGCAAGTGGATAATTGGACCGCCTTGAGGCCTTCGTTGGAAACGGGATTTCTTCATGTTACTCTAGACAGAAGAATTCTCAAACACTGCTATGTGATGTTTGCATGCAAGTCACAGAGTGCAACATTCCTCTTGATAGAGCAGTTGGGAAACACTCCTTTTGTAGAATTTGCAATGGGATATTTGGACTTCTTTGAGGCCTTCGTTGGAAACGGGATTTCTTCATATGAATCTAGACAGAAGAATTCTCAGAAACTTCCTTGTGATGTGTGCATTCAACTCAGCGAGTGGCACCTTCCTTTGGATACAGCAGTTTTGAAACACTGTTTTTGTAGTATTTCCAAGCGGATATTTAGAGCGCCTTGAAGCCTATGCTAGAAATGGAAATATCTCCCCATAAAACCAAGACAGAAGCAATCTCAGAAACTAATGTGTGATGGCTGCATTCCACACACACGGTGGACCATTTCTCTTGATAGAGCAGTTTTGAAACACTCTTTCTGTAGAATCTGCAAGTGGATAATTGGACCTCCTAGAGGCCTTCGTTGGAAACGGGATTTCTTCATCTAAACCTACAGAGAAGAATTCTCAGTAACTTCTTCGGATGTGTGCATTCGACTCACAGAATGGAACATTCCCTTTGGTAGAGCAGTTTTGAGACACCGTTTTTGTAGAATTCCCAAGTGGATATTTAGAGCACTTTGAAGTCTCTGCTAGAAAAGGAAACATCTTCATGTAAAAAGTAGATAGAATCGTTCTCAGAAAGTGCTTAGTGACGTGTGTGTTCAACTCACAGAGTTTAACGGTTTCTTTTGATAGAGCGTTTCTGAAACACCCTTCTTGTAGTAGCTGCAAGTGGATATTTGGACCTATTTGAGGCCTTCTTTGGAAACGGGATTTCTTCATGTAACTCTAGTTTGAAGAATTTTCAGAAACTCCTTTGTGATGTGTGCATTCAATTCAAAGAGTGAAACCTCCCTTTTCACAGAGCAGTTTTGAAACACTGTTTTTGTAGGATTTCCAAGGGGATATTTATAGCGCATTGAGCCTATGGCAGAAAAAGAAACATCTTCCTATAAAAACTAGACAGAATAATTCTCAGAATCTGCTTTGCCATGTGTGCGTTCAACTCACAGAGTAAAACTTTTCTTTTGATAGAGCAGTTTTGAAACACTCTTTTTGTAGTATTTGCATGTTTATATTTAGAGCGCATTGAAGCCCACAGTAGAAAAGGAAATAACTTCACCTAAAACCTAGACAGAAGCAATCTCAGAAACTACTTTGTGATGTGTACATTCAACTCACAGAGTGGAACTTTTCTCTTTATAGAGCAGTGTTGAAACACTCTTTTTGTAGAAACTGCAAGTGGATATTTGGACCTCTTTGAGGCCTTCGTTGGAAACGGGATTTCTTCCTATAACCCTAGACAGAAGAATTTTCAGAAACCTCATTGTGATGTGTGCGTTCATCTCACAGAGTGGAGTCTTCCGTTTGATAGAGAAGTTTTGAAACCCTGTTCTTGTAGGATTTCCAAGTGGATATTTAGACCACTTTGAAGCCTATGATAGAAAAGGAAACATCTTCATGGAAAACATAGATAGAATCATTCTCAGAAACAACTTTGTGATGTGTGCGTTGAACTCACAGCCTTTAACCTTCCTTTTGGTAGAGAAGTTTTGAAACACTCTCTTTGTAAAGTCTACAAGTGGATATTTTGGGCCCTTGGAGGCATTCTTTGGAAAAGGGAATGTCTTCACATAAAAGGCAGACAGAAGTGTTCTCAGAAACTGCTTTGTGATGTCTGTGTTTAACTCACAGAGTTTAACATTTCCTTTGAGAGAGCGGTTTAGTAACACTCTCTTTGTAGAATTTGGAAGTGTATACTAAGAGCGCTTTGAGGCCTATGGTAGAAAAGGAAATATCTTTCCATAAAAGCTAGACAGAAGCAATCTCAGAAACTCCTTTGTGATGTCTGCATTCAACTCACCGAGTGGAACATTCCTCTTGATAGAGCAGTTTGGAAACACTCTTTCTGTAGAATCAGCTTGTTTGTATTTGGACCTCCTTGAGGCCTTCGTTGGAAACGGGTTTTCATCTTATAAACCCAGACAGAAGAATTCTCAGAGTCTTCTTTGTGATGTGTGCTTTCAACTCACCGAGATAAAGATTTCTCTTGATAGAGCAATTTGGAAACACTCTTTTTGTAGAATTTGCAAGGGTACATTGAGAGCGCTTTCAGGCCTATGGTAGAAAAGGGAATATCTTTCCATAAAAGGTAGACAGAAGCAATCTCAGAAACTACTTTGTGATGTGTGCATTCAACTCACCGAGTGCAACATTCCTCTTGATAGAGCAGTTTGGAAACATTGTTTCTGTAGAATCTGCAAGTGGATATATGGACCGCTTTGAGGCCTTCGTTGGAAACGGGATTTCTTCCTATAAACCCAGACAGAAGAATTCTCAGAGATTTCTTTGTGATGTGTGAATTCAACTCACAGTGTGGATCCTTCCTTTTGATAGAGCAGTTTTGAAACACTGTTTTTGTAGTATTTCCAAGCGGATATTTGGAACGCCTTGAAGCGTATGGTAGAAAAGGAAATATCTTCCCATAAAACCTAGACAGAACCCATCTCAGAAACGACTTTGTGATGTCTGCATTCAACTCACAGAGTTGAACATTTCTCTTGATAGAGCAGTTTTGAAACCCTCTTTCTGAAGGATCTGCAAGTGGATATTTGGAACTCCTTTGGGTCTTCGTTGGAAACGGGATTTCTTCGTATAAATCCAGACAGAAGAATTCTCCGAAACTTCTTTGGTTGTGTGCATTCAAGTCACAGAGTGGAACCTTCCTTTGGATAGAGCAGTTTGAAACGCTGTGGTTGTAGTATTTCCAAGCGGATATTAGAGCGCCTTGAAGCCTATGGTAGAAAAGGAAATATCTTCCCATAAAACCTAGACGGAAGCAATCTCAGAAACTACTGTGTGATGGCTGCATTCCACACACACGGTGGAACATTTCTCTTGATAGAGCAGTTTTGAAACACTCTTTCTGTAGAATCTGCAAGTGGATAATTGGACCGCCTTGAGGCCTTCGTTGGAAACGGGATTTCTTCATGTTACTCTAGACAGAAGAATTCTCAAACACTGCTATGTGATGTTTGCATTCAAGTCACAGAGTGCAACATTCCTCTTGATAGAGCAGTTGGGAAACACTCCTTTTGTAGAATTTGCAATGGGATATTTGGACTTCTTTGAGGCCTTCGTTGGAAACGGGATTTCTTCGTATGAATCTAGACAGAAGAATTCTCAGAAACTTCCTTGTGATGTGTGCATTCAACTCAGCGAGTGGCACCTTCCTTTGGATACAGCAGTTTTGAAACACTGTTTTTGTAGTATTTCCAAGCGGATATTTAGAGCGCCTTGAAGCCTATGCTAGAAATGGAAATATCTCCCCATAAAACCAAGACAGAAGCAATCTCAGAAACTAATGTGTGATGGCTGCATTCCACACACACGGTGGACCATTTCTCTTGATAGAGCAGTTTTGAAACACTCTTTCTGTAGAATCTGCAAGTGGATAATTGGACCTCCTAGAGGCCTTCGTTGGAAACGGGATTTCTTCATCTAAACCTACAGAGAAGAATTCTCAGTAACTTCTTCGGATGTGTGCATTCGACTCACAGAATGGAACATTCCCTTTGGTAGAGCAGTTTTGAGACACCGTTTTTGTAGAATTCCCAAGTGGATATTTAGAGCACTTTGAAGTCTCTGCTAGAAAAGGAAACATCTTCATGTAAAAAGTAGATAGAATCGTTCTCAGAAAGTGCTTAGTGACGTGTGCGTTCAACTCACAGAGTTTAACGTTTCTTTTGATAGAGCGTTTCTGAAACACCCTTCTTGTAGTAGCTGCAAGTGGATATTTGGACCTATTTGAGGCCTTCTTTGGAAACGGGATTTCTTCATGTAACTCTAGATTGAAGAATTTTCAGAAACTCCTTTGTGATGTGTGCATTCAATTCAAAGAGTGAAACCTCCCTTTTCACAGAGCAGTTTTGAAACACTGTTTTTGTAGGATTTCCAAGGGGATATTTATAGCGCATTGAGCCTATGACAGAAAAAGAAACATCTTCCTATAAAAACTAGACAGAATAATTCTCAGAATCTGCTTTGCGATGTGTGCGTTCAACCCACAGTAGTAAAACTTTTCTTTTGATAGAGCAGTTTTGAAACACTCTTTTTGTAGTATTTGCATGTGTATATTTAGAGCGCATTGAAGCCCACAGTAGAAAAGGAAATAACTTCACCTAAAACCTAGACAGAAGCAATCTCAGAAACTACTTTGTGATGTGTACATTCAACTCACAGAGTGGAACTTTTCTCTTTATAGAGCAGTGTTGAAACACTCTTTTTGTAGAAACTGCAAGTGGATATTTGGACCTCTTTGAGGCCTTCGTTGGAAACGGGATTTCTTCCTATAACCCTAGACAGAAGAATTTTCAGAAACCTCATTGTGATGTGTGCGTTCATCTCACAGAGTGGAGTCTTCCGTTTGATAGAGAAGTTTTGAAACCCTGTTCTTGTAGGATTTCCAAGTGGATATTTAGACCACTTTGAAGCCTATGATAGAAAAGGAAACATCTTCATGGAAAACATAGATAGAATCATTCTCAGAAACAACTTTGTGATGTGTGCGTTGAACTCACCGTCTTTAACCTTTCTTTTGGTAGAGAAGTTTTGAAACACTCTCTTTGTAAAGTCTACAAGTGGATATTTTGAGCCCTTGGAGGCATTCTTTGGAAAAGGGAATGTCTTCACATAAAAGGCAGACAGAAGTGTTCTCAGAAACTGCTTTGTGATGTCTGTGTTCAACTCACAGAGTTTAACATTTCCTTTGAGAGAGCGGTTTAGTAACACTCTCTTTGTAGAATTTGGAAGTGTATACTAAGAGCGCTTTGAGGCCTATGGTAGAAAAGGAAATATCTTTCCATAAAAGCTAGACAGAAGCAATCTCAGAAACTCCTTTGTGATGTCTGCATTCAACTCACCGAGTGGAACATTCCTCTTGATAGAGCAGTTTGGAAACACTCTTTCTGTAGAATCAGCTTGTTTGTATTTGGACCTCCTTGAGGCCTTCGTTGGAAACGGGTTTTCATCTTATAAACCCAGACAGAAGAATTCTCAGAGTCTTCTTTGTGATGTGTGCTTTCAACTCACCGAGATAAAGATTTCTCTTGATAGAGCAATTTGGAAACACTCTTTTTGTAGAATTTGCAAGGGTACATTGAGAGCGCTTTCAGGCCTATGGTAGAAAAGGGAATATCTTTCCATAAAAGGTAGACAGAAGCAATCTCAGAAACTACTTTGTGATGTGTGCATTCAACTCACCGAGTGCAACATTCCTCTTGATAGAGCAGTTTGGAAACATTGTTTCTGTAGAATCTGCAAGTGGATATATGGACCGCTTTGAGGCCTTCGTTGGAAACGGGATTTCTTCCTATAAACCCAGACAGAAGAATTCTCAGAGATTTCTTTGTGATGTGTGAATTCAACTCACAGTGTGGATCCTTCCTTTTGATAGAGCAGTTTTGAAACACTGTTTTTGTAGTATTTCCAAGCGGATATTTGGAACGCCTTGAAGCCGTATGGTAGAAAAGGAAATATCTTCCCATAAAACCTAGACAGAACCCATCTCAGAAACGACTTTGTGATGTCTGCATTCAACTCACAGAGTTGAACATTTCTCTTGATAGAGCAGTTTTGAAACCCTCTTTCTGAAGGATCTGCAAGTGGATATTTGGAACTCCTTTGGGTCTTCGTTGGAAACGGGATTTTTCGTATAAATCCAGACAGAAGAATTCTCCGAAACTTCTTTGGTTGTGTGCATTCAAGTCACAGAGTGGAACCTTCCTTTGGATAGAGCAGTTTGAAACGCTCTGGTTGTAGTACTTCCAAGCGGATATTAGAGAGCCTTGAAGCCTATGGTAGAAAAGGAAATATCTTCCCATAAAACCTAGACGGAAGCAATCTCAGAAACTACTGTGTGATGGCTGCATTCCACACACACGGTGGAACATTTCTCTTGATAGAGCAGTTTTGAAACACTCTTTCTGTAGAATCTGCAAGTGGATAATTGGACCGCCTTGAGGCCTTCGTTGGAAACGGGATTTCTTCATGTTACTCTAGACAGAAGAATTCTCAAACACTGCTGTGTGATGTTTGCATGCAAGTCACAGAGTGCAACATTCCTCTTGATAGAGCAGTTGGGAAACACTCCTTTTGTAGAATTTGCAATGGGATATTTGGACTTCTTTGAGGCCTTCGTTGGAAACGGGATTTCTTCGTATGAATCTAGACAGAAGAATTCTCAGAAACTTCCTTGTGATGTGTGCATTCAACTCAGTGAGTGGCACCTTCCTTTGGATACAGCAGTTTTGAAACACTGTTTTTGTAGTATTTCCAAGCGGATATTTAGAGCGCCTTGAAGCCTATGCTAGAAATGGAAATATCTCCCCATAAAACCAAGACAGAAGCAATCTCAGAAACTAATGTGTGATGGCTGCATTCCACACACACGGTGGACCATTTCTCTTGATAGAGCAGTTTTGAAACACTCTTTCTGTAGAATCTGCAAGTGGATAATTGGACCTCCTAGAGGCCTTCGTTGGAAACGGGATTTCTTCATCTAAACCTACAGAGAAGAATTCTCAGTAACTTCTTCGGATGTGTGCATTCGACTCACAGAATGGAACATTCCCTTTGATAGAGCAGTTTTGAGACACCGTTTTTGTAGAATTCCCAAGTGGATATTTAGAGCACTTTGAAGTCTCTGCTAGAAAAGGAAACATCTTCATGTAAAAAGTAGATAGAATCGTTCTCAGAAAGTGCTTAGTGACGTGTGCGTTCAACTCACAGAGTTTAACGTTTCTTTTGATAGAGCGTTTCTGAAACACCCTGCTTGTAGTAGCTGCAAGTGGATATTTGGACCTATTTGAGGCCTTCTTTGGAAACGGGATTTCTTCATGTAACTCTAGTTTGAAGAATTTTCAGAAACTCCTTTGTGATGTGTGCATTCAATTCAAAGAGTGAAACCTCCCTTTTCACAGAGCAGTTTTGAAACACTGTTTTTGTAGGATTTCCAAGGGGATATTTATAGCGCATTGAGCCTACGGCAGAAAAAGAAACATCTTCCTATAAAAACTAGACAGAATAATTCTCAGAATCTGCTTTGCGATGTGTGCGTTCAACCCACAGAGTAAAACTTTTCTTTTGATAGAGCAGTTTTGAAACACTCTTTTTGTAGTATTTGCATGTGTATATTTAGAGCGCATTGAAGCCCACAGTAGAAAAGGAAATAACTTCACCTAAAACCTAGACAGAAGCAATCTCAGAAACTACTTTGTGATGTGTACATTCAACTCACAGAGTGGAACTTTCCTCTTTATAGAGCAGTGTTGAAACACTCTTTTTGTAGAAACTGCAAGTGGATATTTGGACCTCTTTGAGGCCTTCGTTGGAAACGGGATTTCTTCCTATAACCCTAGACAGAAGAATTTTCAGAAACCTCATTGTGATGTGTGCGTTCATCTCACAGAGTGGAGTCTTCCGTTTGATAGAGAAGTTTTGAAACCCTGTTCTTGTAGGATTTCCAAGTGGATATTTAGACCACTTTGAAGCCTATGATAGAAAAGGAAACATCTTCATGGAAAACATAGATAGAATCATTCTCAGAAACAACTTTGTGATGTGTGCGTTGAACTCACCGTCTTTAACCTTTCTTTTGGTAGAGAAGTTTTGAAACACTCTCTTTGTAAAGTCTACAAGTGGATATTTTGAGCCCTTGGAGGCATTCTTTGGAAAAGGGAATGTCTTCACATAAAAGGCAGACAGAAGTGTTCTCAGAAACTGCTTTGTGATGTCTGTGTTCAACTCACAGAGTTTAACATTTCCTTTGAGAGAGCGGTTTAGTAACACTCTCTTTGTAGAATTTGGAAGTGTATACTAAGAGCGCTTTGAGGCCTATGGTAGAAAAGGAAATATCTTTCCATAAAAGCTAGACAGAAGCAATCTCAGAAACTCCTTTGTGATGTCTGCATTCAACTCACCGAGTGGAACATTCCTCTTGATAGAGCAGTTTGGAAACACTCTTTCTGTAGAATCAGTTTGTTTGTATTTGGACCTCCTTGAGGCCTTCGTTGGAAACGGGTTTTCATCTTATAAACCCAGACAGAAGAATTCTCAGAGTCTTCTTTGTGATGTGTGCTTTCAACTCACCGAGAAAAGATTTCTCTTAATAGAGCAATTTGGAAACACTCTTTTTGTAGAATTTGCAAGGGTACATTGAGAGAGCTTTCAGGCCTATGGTAGAAAAGGGAATATCTTTCCATAAAAGGTAGACAGAAGCAATCTCAGAAACTACTTTGTGATGTGTGCATTCAACTCACCGAGTGCAACATTCCTCTTGACCGAGCAGTTTGGAAACATTGTTTCTGTAGAATCTGCAAGTGGATATTTGGACCTCTTTGAGGCCTTCGTTGGAAACGGGATTTCTTCCTATAAACCCAGACAGAAGAATTCTCAGAGATTTCTTTGTGATGTGTGAATTCAACTCACAGTGTGGATCCTTCCTTTTGATAGAGCAGTTTTGAAACACTGTTTTTGTAGTATTTCCAAGCGGATATTTGGAACGCCTTGAAGCCGTATGGTAGAAAAGGAAATATCTTCCCATAAAACCTAGACAGAACCAATCTCAGAAACGACTTTGTGATGTCTGCATTCAACTCACAGTAGTTGAACATTTCTCTTGATAGAGCAGTTTTGAAACCCTCTTTCTGAAGGATCTGCAAGTGGATATTTGGAACTCCTTTGGGTCTTCGTTGGAAACGGGATTTCTTCGTATAAATCTAGACAGAAGAATTCTCCGAAACTTCTTTGGTTGTGTGCATTCAAGTCACAGAGTGGAACCTTCCTTTGGATAGAGCAGTTTGAAACGCTGTGGTTGTAGTATTTCCAAGCGGATATTAGAGCGCCTTGAGGCCTATGGTAGAAAAGGAAATATCTTCCCATAAAACCTAGACGGAAGCAATCTCAGAAACTACTGTGTGATGGCTGCATTCCACACACACGGTGGAACATTTCTCTTGATAGAGCAGTTTTGAAACACTCTTTCTGTAGAATCTGCAAGTGGATAATTGGACCGCCTTGAGGCCTTCGTTGGAAACGGGATTTCTTCATGTTACTCTAGATAGAAGAATTCTCAAACACTGCTATGTGATGTTTGCATTCAAGTCACAGAGTGCAACATTCCTCTTGATAGAGTAGTTGGGAAACACTCCTATTGTAGAATTTGCAATGGGATATTTGGACTTCTTTGAGGCCTTCGTTGGAAACGGGATTTCTTCGTATAAAACTAGACAGAAGAATTCTCAGAAACTTCTTTGTAATGTGTGCATTCAACTCAGCGTGTGGCACCTTCCTTTGGATACAGCAGTTTTGAAACACTGTTTTTGTAGTATTTCCAAGCGGATATTTAGAGCGCCTTGAAGCCTACGCTAGAAATGGAAATATCTCCCCATAAAACCAAGACAGAAGCAATCTCAGAAACTAATGTGTGATGGCTGCATTCCACACACACGGTGGACCATTTCTCTTGATAGAGCAGTTTTGAAACACTCTTTCTGTAGAATCTGCAAGTGGATAATTGGACCTCCTAGAGGCCTTCGTTGGAAACGGGATTTCTTCATCTAAACCTACAGAGAAGAATTCTCAGTAACTTCTTCGGATGTGTGCATTCGACTCACAGAGTGGAACATTCCCTTCGATAGAGCAGTTTTGAGACACCGTTTTGGTAGAATTCCCAAGTGGATATTTAGAGCACTTTGAAGTCTCTGCTAGAAAAGGAAACATCTTCATGTAAAAAGTAGATAGAATCGTTCTCAGAAAGTGCTTAGTGACGTGTGCGTTCAACTCACAGAGTGTAACGTTTCTTTTGATAGAGCGTTTCTGAAACACCCTTCTTGTAGTAGCTGCAAGTGGATATTTGGACCTATTGGAGGCCTTCTTTGGAAACGGGATTTCTTCCTGTAACTCTAGATTGAAGAATTCTCAGAAACTCCTTTGGGATGTGTGCATTCAATTCAAAGAGTGAAACCTCCCTTTTCACAGAGCAGTTTGGAAACACTGTTTTTGTAGGATTTCCAAGGGGATATTTATAGCGCATTGAGCCTACGGCACAAAAAGAAACACCTTCCTATAAAAACTAGACAGAATAATTCTCAGAATCTGCTTTGCCATGTGTGCGTTCAACTGACAGAGTAAAACTTTTCTTTTGATAGAGCAGTTTTGAAACACTCTTTTTGTAGTATTTGCATGTGTATATTTAGAGCGCATTGAAGCCCACAGAAGAAAAGGAAATAACTTCACCTAAAACCTAGACAGAAGCAATCTCAGAAACTACTTTGTGATGTGTACATTCAACTCACAGAGTGGAACTTTCCTCTTTATAGAGCAGTGTTGAAACACTCTTTTTGTAGAAACTGCAAATGGATATGTGGACCTCTTTGAGGCCCTCGTTGGAAACGGGATTTCTTCCTATAACCCTAGACAGAAGAATTTTCAGAAACCTCATTGTGATGTGTGCGTTCATCTCACAGAGTGGAGTCTTCCGTTTGATAGAGAAGTTTTGAAACCCTGTTCTTGTAGGATTTCCAAGTGGATATTTAGACCACTTTGAAGCCTATGATAGAAAAGGAAACATCTTCATGGAAAACATAGATAGAATCATTCTCAGAAACAACTTTGTGATGTGTACGTTGAACTCGCCGTCTTTAACCTTTCTTTTGGTAGAGAAGTTTTGAAACACTCTCTTTGTAAAGTCTACAAGTGGATATTTTGAGCCCTTGGAGGCATTCTTCAGAAAAGGGAATGTCTTCACGTAAAAGGCAGACAGAAGTGTTCTCAGAAACTGCTTTGTGATGTCTGTGTTCAACTCACAGAGTTTAACATTTCCTTTGATAGAGCAGTTTAGTAACCCTCTCTTTGTAGAATTTGGAAGTGTATACTAAGAGCGCTTTGAGGCCTATGGTAGAAAAGGAAACATCTTTCCATAAAAGCTAGACAGAAGCAATCTCAGAAACTCCTTTGTGATGTCTGCATTCAACTCACCGAGTGGAACATTCCTCTTGATAGAGCAGTTTGGAAACACTCTTTCTGTAGAATCAGGTTGTTTGTATTTGGACCTCCTTGAGGCCTTCGTTGGAAACGGGTTTTCATCTTATAAACCCAGACAGAAGAATTCTCAGAGTCTTCTTTGTGATGTGTGCTTTCAACTCACCGAGATAAAGATTTCTCTTGATAGAGCAATTTGGAAACACTCTTTTTGTAGACTTTGCAAGGGTACATTGAGAGCGCTTTCAGGCCTATGGTAGAAAAGGGAATATCTTTCCATCAAAGGTAGACAGAAGCAATCTCAGAAACTACTTTGTGATGTGTGCATTCAACTCACCGAGTGCAACGTTCCTCTTGATAGAGCAGTTTGGAAACATTGTTTCTGTAGAATCTGCAAGTGGATATTTGGACCTCTTTGAGGCCTTCGTTGGAAACGGGATTTCTTCCTATAAACCCAGACAGAAGAATTCTCAGAGACTTCTTTGTGATGTGTGAATTCAACTCACAGTGTGGATCCTTCCTTTTGATAGAGCAGTTTTGAAACACTGTTTTTGTAGTATTTCCAAGTGGATATTTGGAACGCCTTGAAGCGTATGGTAGAAAAGGAAATATCTTCCCATAAAACCTAGACAGAACCAATCTCAGAAACGACTTTGTGATGTCTGCATTCAACTCACAGAGTTGAACATTTCTCTTGATAGAGCAGTTTTGATACCCTCTTTCTGAAGTATCTGCAAGTGGATATTTGGAACTCCTTTGGGTCTTCGTTGGAAACGGGATTTCTTCGTAGAAATCTAGACAGAAGAATTCTCCAAAACTTCTTTGGTTGTGTGCATTCAAGTCACAGGGTGGAACCTTCCTTTGGGAAGAGCAGTTTGAAACGGTGTGGTTGTAGTATTTGCAAGCGGATATTAGAGCGCCTTGAGACCTATGGTAGAAAAGGAAATATCTTCACATAAAACCTAGACGGAAGCAATCTCAGAAACTACTGGGTGATGGCTGCATTCCACACACACGGTGGAACATTTCTCTTGATAGAGCAGTTTTGAAACACTCTTTCTGTAGAATCTGCAAGTGGATAATTGGACCGCCTTGAGGCCTTCGTTGGAAACGGGATTTCTTCATGTTACTCTAGATAGAAGAATTCTCAAACACTACTATGTGATGTCTGCATTCAAGTCACAGAGTGAAACATTCCTCTTGATAGAGCAGTTGGCAAAGACTCCTTTGTAGAATTTGCAATGGGATATTTGGACTTCTTTGAGGCCTTCGTTGGAAACGGGATTTCTTCGTATAAATCTAGACAGAAGAATTCTCAGAAACTTCTTTGTGATGTGTGCATTCAACTCAGCGAGTGGCACCTTCCTTTGGATACAGCAGTTTTGAAACACTGTTTTTGTAGTATTTCCAAGCGGATATTTAGAGCGCCTTGAAGCCTACGCTAGAAATGGTAATATCTCCCCATAAAACCAAGACAGAAAGCAATCTCAGAAACTAATGTGTGATGGCTGCATTCCACACACACGGTGGACCATTTCTCTTGATAGAGCAGTTTTGAAACACTCTTTCTGTAGAATCTGCAAGTGGATAATTGGACCTCCTAGAGGCCTTCGTTGGAAACGGGATTTCGTCATCTAAACCTACAGAGAAGAATTCTCAGTAACTTCTTCAGATGTGTGCATTCGACTCACAGAGTGGAACATTCCCTTCGATAGAGCAGTTTTGAGACACCGTTTTGGTAGAATTCCCAAGCGGATATTTAGAGCACTTTGAAGTCTCTGCTAGAAAAGGAAACATCTTCATGTAAAAAGTAGATAGAATCGTTCTCAGAAAGTGCTTAGTGACGTGTGCGTTCAACTCACAGAGTTTAACGTTTCTTTTGATAGACCGTTTCTGAAACACCCTTCTTGTAGTAGCTGCAAGTGGATATTTGGACCTATATGAGGCCTTCTTTGGAAACGGGATTTCTTCATGTAACTCTAGTTTGAAGAATTTTCAGAAACTCCTTTGTGATGTGTGCATTCAATTCAAAGAGTGAAACCTCCCTTTTCACAGAGCAGTTTTGAAACACTGTTTTTGTAGGATTTCCAAGGGGATATTTATAGCGCATTGAGCCTACGGCAGAAAAAGAAACATCTTCCTATAAAAACTAGACAGAATAATTCTCAGAATCTGCTTTGCGATGTGTGCGTTCAACTCACAGAGTAAAACTTTTCTTTTGATAGAGCAGTTTTGAAACACTCTTTTTGTAGTATTTGCATGTGTATATTTAGAGCGCATTGAAGCCCACAGTAGAAAAGGAAATAACTTCACCTAAAACCTAGACAGAAGCAATCTCAGAAACTACTTTGTGATGTGTACATTCAACTCACAGAGTGGAACTTTCCTCTTTACAGAGCAGTGTTGAAACACTCTTTTTGTATAAACTGCAGGTGGATATTTGGACCTCTTTGAGGCCTTCGTTGGAAACGGGATTTCTTCCTATAACCCTAGACAGAAGAATTTTCAGAAACCTCATTGTGATGTGTGCGTTCATCTCACAGAGTGGAGTCTTCCGTTTGATAGAGAAGTTTTGAAACCCTGTTCTTGTAGGATTTCCAAGTGGATATTTAGACCACTTTGAAGCCTATGATAGAAAAGGAAACATCTTCATGGAAAACAAAGAGAGAATCATTCTCAGAAACAAATTTGTGATGTGTGCGTTGAACTCACCGTCTTTAACCTTTCTTTTGATAGAGAAGTTTTGAAACACTCTCTTTGTAAAGTCTACAAGTGGATATTTTGGGCCCTTGGAGGCATTCTTTGGAAAAGGGAATGTCTTCACATAAAAGGCAGACAGAAGTGTTCTCAGAAACTGCTTTGTGATGTCTGTGTTCAACTCACAGATTTTAACATTTCCTTTGAGAGAGCAGTTTAGTAACACTGTCTTTGTAGAATTTGGAAGTGTATACTAAGAGCGCTTTGAGGCCTATGGTAGAAAAGGAAATATCTTTCCATAAAAGCTAGACAGAAGCAATCTCAGAAACTCCTTTGTGATGTCTGCATTCAACTCACCGAGTGGAACATTCCTCTTGATAGAGCAGTTTGGAAACACTCTTTCTGTAGAATCAGCTTGTTTGTATTTGGACCTCCTTGAGGCCTTCGTTGGAAACGGGTTTTCATCTTATAAACCCAGACAGAAGAATTCTCAGAGTCTTCTTTGTGATGTGTGCTTTCAACTCACCGAGATAAAGATTTCTCTTGATAGAGCAATTTGGAAACACTCTTTTTGTAGAATTTGCAAGGGTACATTGAGAGCGCTTTCAGGCCTATGGTAGAAAAGGGAATATCTTTCCATAAAAGGTAGACAGAAGCAATCTCAGAAACTACTTTGTGATGTGTGCATTCAACTCACCGAGTGCAACATTCCTCTTGACCGAGCAGTTTGGAAACATTGTTTCTGTAGAATCTGCAAGTGGATATTTGGACCTCTTTGAGGCCTTCGTTGGAAACGGGATTTCTTCCTATAAACCCAGACAGAAGAATTCTCAGAGACTTCTTTGTGATGTGTGAATTCAACTCACAGTGTGGATCCTTCCTTTTGATAGAGCAGTTTTGAAACACTGTTTTTGTAGTATTTCCAAGCGGATATTTGGAACGCCTTGAAGCGTATGGTAGAAAAGGAAATATCTTCCCATAAAACCTAGACAGAACCCATCTCAGAAACGACTTTGTGATGTCTGCATTCAACTCACAGAGTTGAACATTTCTCTTGATAGAGCAGTTTTGAAACCTTCTTTCTGAAGGATCTGCAAGTGGATATTTGGAACTCCTTTGGGTCTTCCTTGGAAACGGGATTTCTTCGTATAAATCCAGACAGAAGAATTCTCCGAAACTTCTTTGGTTGTGTGCATTCAAGTCACAGAGTGGAACCTTCCTTTGGATAGAGCAGTTTGAAACGCTGTGGTTGTAGTATTTCCAAGCGGATATTAGAGCGCCTTGAGGCCTATGGTAGAAAAGGAAATATCTTCCCATAAAACCTAGACGGAAGCAATCTCAGAAAGTACTGTGTGATGGCTGCATTCCACACACACGGTGGAACATTTCTCTTGATAGAGCAGTTTTGAAACACTCTTTCTGTAGAATCTGCAAGTGGATAATTGGACCGCCTTGAGGCCTTCGTTGGAAACGGGATTTCTTCATGTTACTCTAGACAGAAGAATTCTCAAACACTGCTATGTGATGTTTGCATGCAAGTCACAGAGTGCAACATTCCTCTTGATAGAGCAGTTGGGAAACACTCCTTTTGTAGAATTTGCAATGGGATATTTGGACTTCTTTGAGGCCTTCGTTGGAAACGGGATTTCTTCGTATGAATCTAGACAGAAGAATTCTCAGAAACTTCCTTGTGATGTGTGCATTCAACTCAGCGAGTGGCACCTTCCTTTGGATACAGCAGTTTTGAAACACTGTTTTTGTAGTATTTCCAAGCGGATATTTAGAGCGCCTTGAAGCCTATGCTAGAAATGGAAATATCTCCCCATAAAACCAAGACAGAAGCAATCTCAGAAACTAATGTGTGATGGCTGCATTCCACACACACGGTGGACCATTGCTCTTGATAGAGCAGTTTTGAAACACTCTTTCTGTAGAATCTGCAAGTGGATAATTGGACCTCCTAGAGGCCTTCGTTGGAAACGGGATTTCTTCATCTAAACCTACAGAGAAGAATTCTCAGTAACTTCTTCGGATGTGTGCATTAGACTCACAGAATGGAACATTCCCTTTGGTAGAGCAGTTTTGAGACACCGTTTTTGTAGAATTCCAAAGTGGATATTTAGAGCACTTTGAAGTCTCTGCTAGAAAAGGAAACATCTTCATGTAAAAAGTAGATAGAATCGTTCTCAGAAAGTGCTTAGTGACGTGTGCGTTCAACTCACAGAGTTTAACGTTTCTTTTGATAGAGCGTTTCTGAAACACCCTTCTTGTAGTAGCTGCAAGTGGATATTTGGACCTATTTGAGGCCTTCTTTGGAAACGGGATTTCTTCATGTAACTCTAGATTGAAGAATTTTCAGAAACTTCTTTGTGATGTGTGCATTCAATTCAAAGAGTGAAACCTCCCTTTTCACAGAGCAGTTTTGAAACACTGTTTTTGTAGGATTTCCAAGGGGATATTTATAGCGCATTGATCCTATGGCAGAAAAAGAAACATCTTCCTATAAAAACTAGACAGAATAATTCTCAGAATCTGCTTTGCGATGTGTGCGTTCAACCCACAGAGTAAAACTTTTCTTTTGATAGAGCAGTTTTGAAACACTCTTTTTGTAGTATTTGCATGTGTATATTTAGAGCGCATTGAAGCCCACAGTAGAAAAGGAAATAACTTCACCTAAAACCTAGACAGAAGCAATCTCAGAAACTACTTTGTGATGTGTACATTCAACTCACAGAGTGGAACTTTCCTCTTTATAGAGCAGTGTTGAAACACTCTTTTTGTAGAAACTGCAAGTGGATATTTGGACCTCTTTGAGGCCTTCTTTGGAAACGGGATTTCTTCCTATAACCCTAGACAGAAGAATTTTCAGAAACCTCATTGTGATGTGTGCGTTCATCTCACAGAGTGGAGTGTTCCGTTTGATAGAGAAGTTTTGAAACCCTGTTCTTGTAGGATTTCCAAGTGGATATTTAGACCACTTTGAAGCCTATGATAGAAAAGGAAACATCTTCATGGAAAACATAGATAGAATCATTCTCAGAAACAACTTTGTGATGTGTGCGTTGAACTCACCGTCTTTAACCTTTCTTTTGGTAGAGAAGTTTTGAAACACTCTCTTTGTAAAGTCTACAAGTGGATATTTTGAGCCCTTGGAGGCATTCTTTGGAAAAGGGAATGTCTTCACATAAAAGGCAGACAGAAGTGTTCTCAGAAACTGCTTTGTGATGTCTGTGTTCAACTCACAGAGTTTAACATTTCCTTTGAGAGAGCGGTTTAGTAACACTCTCTTTGTAGAATTTGGAAGTGTATACTAAGAGCGCTTTGAGGCCTATGGTAGAAAAGGAAATATCTTTCCATAAAAGCTAGACAGAAGCAATCTCAGAAACTCCTTTGTGATGTCTGCATTCAACTCACCGAGTGGAACATTCCTCTTGATAGAGCAGTTTGGAAACACTCTTTCTGTAGAATCAGCTTGTTTGTATTTGGACCTCCTTGAGGCCTTCGTTGGAAACGGGTTTTCATCTTATAAACCCAGACAGAAGAATTCTCAGAGTCTTCTTTGTGATGTGTGCTTTCAACTCACCGAGATAAAGATTTCTCTTGATAGAGCAATTTGGAAACACTCTTTTTGTAGAATTTGCAAGGGTACATTGAGAGCGCTTTCAGGCCTATGGTAGAAAAGGTAGACAGAAGCAATCTCAGAAACTACTTTGTGATGTGTGCATTCAACTCACCGAGTGCAACGTTCCTCTTCACCGAGCAGTTTGGAAACATTGTTTCTGTAGAATCTGCAAGTGGATATTTGTACCTCTTTGAGGCCTTCGTTGGAAATGGGATTTCTTCCTATAAACCCAGACAGAAGTAATTCTCAGAGATTTCTTTGTGATGTGTGAATTCAACTCACAGTGTGGATCCTTCCTTTTGATAGAGCAGTTTTGAAACACCGTTTTTGTAGTATTTCCAAGCGGATATTTGGAACGCCTTGAAGCGTATGGTAGAAAAGGAAATATCTTCCCATAAAACATAGACAGAACCCATCTCAGAAACGACTTTGTGATGTCTGCATTCAACTCACAGAGTTGAACATTTCTCTTGATAGAGCAGTTTTGAAACCCTCTTTCTGAAGGATCTGCAAGTGGATATTTGGAACTCCTTTGGGTCTTCGTTGGAAACGGGATTTCTTCGTATAAATCCAGACAGAAGAATTCTCCGAAACTTCTTTGGTTGTGTGCATTCAAGTCACAGAGTGGAACCTTCCTTTGGATAGAGCAGTTTGAAACGCTGTGGTTGTAGTATTTCCAAGCGGATATTAGAGCGCCTTGAAGCCTATGGTAGAAAAGGAAATATCTTCCCATAAAACCTAGACGGAAGCAATCTCAGAAACTACTGTGTGATGGCTGCATTCCACACACACGGTGGAACATTTCTCTTGATAGAGCAGTTTTGAAACACTCTTTCTGTAGAATCTGCAAGTGGATAATTGGACCGCCTTGAGGCCTTCGTTGGAAACGGGATTTCTTCATGTTACTCTAGACAGAAGAATTCTCAAACACTGCTATGTGATGTTTGCAATCAAGTCACAGAGTGCAACATTCCTCTTGATAGAGCAGTTGGGAAACACTCCTTATGTAGAATTTGCAATGGGATATTTGGACTTCTTTGAGGCCTTCGTTGGAAACGGGATTTCTTCGTATGAATCTAGACAGAAGAATTCTCAGAAACTTCCTTGTGATGTGTGCATTCAACTCAGCGAGTGGCACCTTCCTTTGGATACAGCAGTTTTGAAACACTGTTTTTGTAGTATTTCCAAGCGGATATTTAGAGCGCCTTGAAGCCTATGCTAGAAATGGAAATATCTCCCCATAAAACCAAGACAGAAGCAATCTCAGAAACTAATGTGTGATGGCTGCATTCCACACACACGGTGGACCATTTCTCTTGATAGAGCAGTTTTGAAACACTCTTTCTGTAGAATCTGCAAGTGGATAATTGGACCTCCTAGAGGCCTTCGTTGGAAACGGGATTTCTTCATCTAAACCTACAGAGAAGAATTCTCAGTAACTTCTTCGGATGTGTGCATTCGACTCACAGAATGGAACATTCCCTTTGATAGAGCAGTTTTGAGACACCGTTTTTGTAGAATTCCCAAGTGGATATTTAGAGCACTTTGAAGTCTCTGCTAGAAAAGGAAACATCTTCATGTAAAAAGTAGATAGAATCGTTCTCAGAAAGTGCTTAGTGACGTGTGCGTTCAACTCACAGAGTTTAACGTTTCTTTTGATAGAGCGTTTCTGAAACACCCTTCTTGTAGTAGCTGCAAGTGGATATTTGGACCTATTTGAGGCCTTCTTTGGAAACGGGATTTCTTCATGTAACTCTAGATTGAAGAATTTTCAGAAACTCCTTTGTGATGTGTGCATTCAATTCAAAGAGTGAAACCTCCCTTTTCACAGAGCAGTTTTGAAACACTGTTTTTGTAGGATTTCCAAGGGGATATTTATAGCGCATTGAGCCTATGGCAGAAAAAGAAACATCTTCCTATAAAAACTAGACAGAATAATTCTCAGAATCTGCTTTGCGATGTGTGCGTTCAACCCACAGAGTAAAACTTTTCTTTTGATAGAGCAGTTTTGAAACACTCTTTTTGTAGTATTTGCATGTGTATATTTAGAGCGCATTGAAGCCCACAGTAGAAAAGGAAATAACTTCACCTAAAACCTAGACAGAAGCAATCTCAGAAACTACTTTGTGATGTGTACATTCAACTCACAGAGTGGAACTTTCCTCTTTATAGAGCAGTGTTGAAACACTCTTTTTGTAGAAACTGCAAGTGGATATTTGGACCTCTTTGAGGCCTTCGTTGGAAACGGGATTTCTTCCTATAACCCTAGACAGAAGAATTTTCAGAAACCTCATTGTGATGTGTGCGTTCATCTCACAGAGTGGAGTCTTCCGTTTGATAGAGAAGTTTTGAAACCCTGTTCTTGTAGGATTTCCAAGTGGATATTTAGACCACTTTGAAGCCTATGATAGAAAAGGAAACATCTTCATGGAAAACATAGATAGAATCATTCTCAGAAACAACTTTGTGATGTGTGCGTTGAACTCACCGTCTTTAACCTTTCTTTTGGTAGAGAAGTTTTGAAACACTCTCTTTGTAAAGTCTACGAGTGGATATTTTGAGCCCTTGGAGGCATTCTTTGGAAAAGGGAATGTCTTCACATAAAAGGCAGACAGAAGTGTTCTCAGAAACTGCTTTGTGATGTCTGTGTTCAACTCACAGAGTTTAACATTTCCTTTGAGAGAGCGGTTTAGTAACACTCTCTTTGTAGAATTTGGAAGTGTATACTAAGAGCGCTTTGAGGCCTATGGTAGAAAAGGAAATATCTTTCCATAAAAGCTAGACAGAAGCAATCTCAGAAACTCCTTTGTGATGTCTGCATTCAACTCACCGCGTGGAACATTCCTCTTGATAGAGCAGTTTGGAAACACTCTTTCTGTAGAATCAGCTTGTTTGTATTTGGACCTCCTTGAGGCCTTCGTTGGAAACGGGTTTTCATCTTATAAACCCAGACAGAAGAATTCTCAGAGTCTTCTTTGTGATGTGTGCTTTCAACTCACCGAGATAAAGATTTCTCTTGATAGAGCAATTTGGAAACACTCTTTTTGTAGAATTTGCAAGGGTACATTGAGAGCGCTTTCAGGCCTATGGTAGAAAAGGGAATATCTTTCCATAAAAGGTAGACAGAAGCAATCTCAGAAACTACTTTGTGATGTGTGCATTCAACTCACCGAGTGCAACATTCCTCTTGATAGAGCAGTTTGGAAACATTGTTTCTGTAGAATCTGCAAGTGGATATATGGACCGCTTTGAGGCCTTCGTTGGAAACGGGATTTCTTCCTATAAACCCAGACAGAAGAATTCTCAGAGATTTCTTTGTGATGTGTGAATTCAACTCACAGTGTGGATCCTTCCTTTTGATAGAGCAGTTTTGAAACACCGTTTTTGTAGTATTTCCAAGCGGATATTTGGAACGCCTTGAAGCGTATGGTAGAAAAGGAAATATCTTCCCATAAAACCTAGACAGAACCAATCTCAGAAACGACTTTGTGATGTCTGCATTCAACTCACAGAGTTGAACATTTCTCTTGATAGAGCAGTTTTGAAACCCTCTTTCTGAAGGATCTGCAAGTGGATATTTGGAACTCCTTTGGGTCTTCGTTGGAAACGGAATTTCTTCGTATAAATCCAGACAGAAGAATTCTCCGAAACTTCTTTGGTTGTGTGCATTCAAGTCACAGAGTGGAACCTTCCTTTGGATAGAGCAGTTTGAAACGCTGTGGTTGTAGTATTTCCAAGCGGATATTAGAGCGCCTTGAGGCCTATGGTAGAAAAGGAAATATCTTCCCATAAAACCTAGACGGAAGCAATCTCAGAAACTACTGTGTGATGACTGCATTCCACACACACGGTGGAACATTTCTCTTGATAGAGCAGTTTTGAAACACTCTTTCTGTAGAATCTGCAAGTGGATAATTGGACGGCCTTGAGGCCTTCGTTGGAAACGGGATTTCTTCATGTTACTCTAGACAGAAGAATTCTCAAACACTGCTATATGATGTTTGCATGCAAGTCAGAGAGTGCAACATTCCTCTTGATAGAGCAGTTGGGAAACACTCCTTTTGTAGAATTTGCAATGGGATATTTGGACTTCTTTGAGGCCTTCGTTGGAAACGGGATTTCTTCGTATGAATCTAGACAGAAGAATTCTCAGAAACTTCCTTGTGATGTGTGCATTCAACTCAGCGAATGGCACCTTTCTTTGGATACAGCAGTTTTGAAACACTGTTTTTGTAGTATTTCCAAGCGGATATTTAGAGCGCCTTGAAGCCTATGCTAGAAATGGAAATATCTCCCCATAAAACCAAGACAGAAGCAATCTCAGAAACTAATGTGTGATGGCTGCATTCCACACACACGGTGGACCATTTCTCTTGATAGAGCAGTTTTGAAACACTCTTTCTGTAGAATCTGCAAGTGGATAATTGGACCTCCTAGAGGCCTTCGTTGGAAACGGGATTTCTTCATCTAAACCTACAGAGAAGAATTCTCAGTAACTTCTTCGGATGTGTGCATTCGACTCACAGAATGGAACATTCCCTTTGATAGAGCAGTTTTGAGACACCGTTTTTGTAGAATTCCCAAGTGGATATTTAGAGCACTTTGAAGTCTCTGCTAGAAAAGGAAACATCTTCATGTAAAAAGTAGATAGAATCGGTCTCAGAAAGTGCTTAGTGACGTGTGTGTTCAACTCACAGAGTTTAACGTTTCTTTTGATAGAGCGTTTCTGAAACACCCTTCTTGTAGTAGCTGCAAGTGGATATTTGGACCTATTTGAGGCCTTCTTTGGAAACGGGATTTCTTCATGTAACTCTAGATTGAAGAATTTTCAGAAAATCCTTTGTGATGTGTGCATTCAATTCAAAGAGTGAAACGTCCCTTTTCACAGAGCAGTTATGAAACACTGTTTTTGTAGGATTTCCAAGGGGATATTTATAGCGCATTGATCCTATGGCAGAAAAAGAAACATCTTCCTATAAAAACTAGACAGAATAATTCTCAGAATCTGCTTTGCGATGTGTGCGTTCAACCCACAGAGTAAAACTTTTCTTTTGATAGAGCAGTTTTGAAACACTCTTTTTGTAGTATTTGCATGTGTATATTTAGAGCGCATTGAAGCCCACAGTAGAAAAGGAAATAACTTCACCTAAAACCTAGACAGAAGCAATCTCAGAAACTACTTTGTGATGTGTACATTCAACTCACAGAGTGGAACTTTCCTCTTTATAGAGCAGTGTTGAAACACTCTTTTTGTAGAAACTGCAAGTGGATATTTGGACCTCTTTGAGGCCTTCGTTGGAAACGGGATTTCTTCCTATAACCCTAGACAGAAGAATTTTCAGAAACCTCATTGTGATGTGTGCGTTCATCTCACAGAGTGGAGTCTTCCGTTTGATAGAGAAGTTTTGAAACCCTGTTCTTGTAGGATTTCCAAGTGGATATTTAGACCACTTTGAAGCCTATGATAGAAAAGGAAACATCTTCATGGAAAACATAGATAGAATCATTCTCAGAAACAACTTTGTGATGTGTGCGTTGAACTCACCGTCTTTAACCTTTCTTTTGGTAGAGAAGTTTTGAAACACTCTCTTTGTAAAGTCTACAAGTGGATATTTTGAGCCCTTGGAGGCATTCTTTGGAAAAGGGAATGTCTTCACATAAAAGGCAGACAGAAGTGTTCTCAGAAACTGCTTTGTGATGTCTGTGTTCAACTCACAGAGTTTAACATTTCCTTTGAGAGAGCGGTTTAGTAACACTCTCTTTGTAGAATTTGGAAGTGTATACTAAGAGCGCTTTGAGGCCTATGGTAGAAAAGGAATTATCTTTCCATAAAAGCTAGACAGAAGCAATCTCAGAAACTCCTTTGTGATGTCTGCATTCAACTCACCGAGTGGAACATTCCTCTTGATAGAGCAGTTTGGAAACACTCTTTCTGTAGAATCAGCTTGTTTGTATTTGGACCTCCCTTGAGGCCTTCGTTGGAAACGGGTTTTCATCTTATAAACCCAGACAGAGAATTCTCAGAGTCTTCTTTGTGATGTGTGCTTTCAACTCACCGAGATAAAGATTTCTCTTGATAGAGCAATTTGGAAACACTCTTTTTGTAGAATTTGCAAGGGTACATTGAGAGCGCTTTCAGGCCTATGGTAGAAAAGGGAATATCTTTCCATAAAAGGTAGACAGAAGCAATCTCAGAAACTACTTTGTGATGTGTGCATTCAACTCACCGAGTGCAACATTCCTCTTGATAGAGCAGTTTGGAAACATTGTTTCTGTAGAATCTGCAAGTGGATATATGGACCGCTTTGAGGCCTTCGTTGGAAACGGGATTTCTTCCTATAAACCCAGACAGAAGAATTCTCAGAGACTTCTTTGTGATGTGTGAATTCAACTCACAGTGTGGATCCTTCCTTTTGATAGAGCAGTTTTGAAACACTGTTTTTGTAGTATTTCCAAGCGGATATTTGGAACGCCTTGAAGCGTATGGTAGAAAAGGAAATATCTTCCCATAAAACCTAGACAGAACCCATCTCAGAAACGACTTTGTGATGTCTGCATTCAACTCACAGAGTTGAAGATTTCTCTTGATAGAGCAGTTTTGAAACCCTCTTTCTGAAGGATCTGCAAGTGGATATTTGGAACTCCTTTGGGTCTTCGTTGGAAACGGGATTTCTTCGTATAAATCCAGACAGAAGAATTCTCCGAAACTTCTTTGGTTGTGTGCATTCAAGTCACAGAGTGGAACCTTCCTTTGGATAGAGCAGTTTGAAACGCTGTGGTTGTAGTATTTCCAAGCGGATATTAGAGCGCCTTGAGGCCTATGGTAGAAAAGGAAATATCTTCCCATAAAACCTAGACGGAAGCAATCTCAGAAACTACTGTGTGATGGCTGCATTCCACACACACGGTGGAACATTTCTCTTGATAGAGCAGTTTTGAAACACTCTTTCTGTAGAATCTGCAAGTGGATAATTGGACCGCCTTGAGGCCTTCGTTGGAAACGGGATTTCTTCATGTTACTCTAGACAGAAGAATTCTCAAACACTGCTATGTGATGTTTGCATTCAAGTCACAGAGTGCAACATTCCTCTTGATAGAGCAGTTGGGAAGCACTCCTTTTGTAGAATTTGCAATGGGATATTTGGACTTCTTTGAGGCCTTCGTTGGAAACGGGATTTCTTCGTATGAATCTAGACAGAAGAATTCTCAGAAACTTCCTTGTGATGTGTGCATTCAACTCAGCGAGTGGCACCTTCCTTTGGATACAGCAGTTTTGAAACACTGTTTTTGTACTATTTCCAAGCGGATATTTAGAGCGCCTTGAAGCCTATGCTAGAAATGGAAATATCTCCCCATAAAACCAAGACAGAAGCAATCTCAGAAACTAATGTGTGATGGCTGCATTCCACACACACGGTGGACCATTTCTCTTGATAGAGCAGTTTTGAAACACTCTTTCTGTAGAATCTGCAAGTGGATAATTGGACCTCCTAGAGGCCTTCGTTGGAAACGGGATTTCTTCATCTAAACCTACAGAGAAGAATTCTCAGTAACTTCTTCGGATGTGTGCATTCGACTCACAGAATGGAACATTCCCTTTGATAGAGCAGTTTTGAGACACGGTTTTTGTAGAATTCCCAAGTGGATATTTAGAGCACTTTGAAGTCTCTGCTAGAAAAGGAAACATCTTCATGTAAAAAGTAGATAGAATCGTTCTCAGAAAGTGCTTAGTGACGTGTGCGTTCAACTCACAGAGTTTAACGTTTCTTTTGATAGAGCGTTTCTGAAACACCCTTCTTGTAGTAGCTGCAAGTGGATATTTGGACCTATTTGAGGCCTTCTTTGGAAACGGGATTTCTTCATGTAACTCTAGATTGAAGAATTTTCAGAAACTCCTTTGTGATGTGTGCATTCAATTCAAAGAGTGAAACCTCCCTTTTCACAGAGCAGTTTTGAAACACTGTTTTTGTAGGATTTCCAAGGGGATATTTATAGCGCATTGAGCCTATGGCAGAAAAAGAAACATCTTCCTATAAAAACTAGACAGAATAATTCTCAGAATCTGCTTTGCGATGTGTGCGTTCAACTCACAGAGTAAAACTTTTCTTTTGATAGAGCAGTTTTGAAACACTCTTTTTGTAGTATTTGCATGTGTATATTTAGAGCGCATTGAAGCCCACAGTAGAAAAGGAAATAACTTCACCTAAAACCTAGACAGAAGCAATCTCAGAAACTACTTTGTGATGTGTACATTCAACTCACAGAGTGGAACTTTTCTCTTTATAGAGCAGTGTTGAAACACTCTTTTTGTAGAAACTGCAAGTGGATATTTGGACCTCTTTGAGGCCTTCGTTGGAAACGGGATTTCTTCCTATAACCCTAGACAGAAGAATTTTCAGAAACCTCATTGTGATGTGTGCGTTCATCTCACAGAGTGGAGTCTTCCATTTGATAGAGAAGTTTTGAAACCCTGTTCTTGTAGGATTTCCAAGTGGATATTTAGACCACTTTGAAGCCTATGATAGAAAAGGAAACATCTTCATGGAAAACATAGATAGAATCATTCTCAGAAACAACTTTGTGATGTGTGCGTTGAACTCACCGTCTTTAACCTTTCTTTTGGTAGAGAAGTTTTGAAACACTCTCTTTGTAAAGTCTACAAGTGGATATTTTGAGCCCTTGGAGGCATTCTTTGGAAAAGGGAATGTCTTCACATAAAAGGCAGACAGAAGTGTTCTCAGAAACTGCTTTGTGATGTCTGTGTTCAACTCACAGAGTTTAACATTTCCTTTGAGAGAGCGGTTTAGTAACACTCTCTTTGTAGAATTTGGAAGTGTATACTAAGAGCGCTTTGAGGCCTATGGTAGAAAAGGAATTATCTTTCCATAAAAGCTAGACAGAAGCAATCTCAGAAACTCCTTTGTGATGTCTGCATTCAACTCACCGAGTGGAACATTCCTCTTGATAGAGCAGTTTGGAAACACTCTTTCTGTAGAATCAGCTTGTTTGTATTTGGACCTCCTTGAGGCCTTCGTTGGAAACGGGTTTTCATCTTATAAACCCAGACAGAAGAATTCTCAGAGTCTTCTTTGTGATGTGTGCTTTCAACTCACCGAGATAAAGATTTCTCTTGATAGAGCAATTTGGAAACACTCTTTTTGTAGAATTTGCAAGGGTACATTGAGAGCGCTTTCAGGCCTATGGTAGAAAAGGGAATATCTTTCCATAAAAGGTAGACAGAAGCAATCTCAGAAACTACTTTGTGATGTGTGCATTCAACTCACCGAGTGCAACATTCCTCTTGACCGAGCAGTTTGGAAACATTGTTTCTGTAGAATCTGCAAGTGGATATTTGGACCTCTTTGAGGCCTTCGTTGGAAACGGGATTTCTTCCTATAAACCCAGACAGAAGAATTCTCAGAGACTTCTTTGTGATGTGTGAATTCAACTCACAGTGTGGATCCTTCCTTTTGATAGAGCAGTTTTGAAACACTGTTTTTGTAGTATTTCCAAGCGGATATTTGGAACGCCTTGAAGCGTATGGTAGAAAAGGAAATATCTTCTCATAAAACCTAGACAGAACCAATCTCAGAAACGACTTTGTGATGTCTGCATTCAACTCACAGAGTTGAACATTTCTCTTGATAGAGCAGTTTTGAAACCCTCTTTCTGAAGGATCTGCAAGTGGATATTTGGAACTCCTTTGGGTCTTCGTTGGAAACGGGATTTCTTCGTATAAATCTAGACAGAAGAATTCTCCGAAACTTCTTTGGTTGTGTGCATTCAAGTCACAGAGTGGAACCTTCCTTTGGATAGAGCAGTTTGAAACGCTGTGGTTGTAGTATTTCCAAGCGGATATTAGAGCGCCTTGAGGCCTATGGTAGAAAAGGAAATATCTTCCCATAAAACCTAGACGGAAGCAATCTCAGAAACTACTGTGTGATGGCTGCATTCCACACACACGGTGGAACATTTCTCTTGATAGAGCAGTTTTGAAACACTCTTTCTGTAGAATCTGCAAGTGGATAATTGGACCGCCTTGAGGCCTTCGTTGGAAACGGGATTTCTTCATGTTACTCTAGACAGAAGAATTCTCAAACACTGCTGTGTGATGTTTGCATGCAAGTCACAGAGTGCAACATTCCTCTTGATAGAGCAGTTGGGAAACACTCCTTTTGTAGAATTTGCAATGGGATATTTGGACTTCTTTGAGGCCTTCGTTGGAAACGGGATTTCTTCGTATGAATCTAGACAGAAGAATTCTCAGAAACTTCCTTGTGATGTGTGCATTCAACTCAGCGAGTGGCACCTTCCTTTGGATACAGCAGTTTTGAAACACTGTTTTTGTAGTATTTCCAAGCGGATATTTAGAGCGCCTTGAAGCCTATGCTAGAAATGGAAATATCTCCCCATAAAACCAAGACAGAAGCAATCTCAGAAACTAATGTGTGATGGCTGCATTCCACACACACGGTGGACCATTTCTCTTGATAGAGCAGTTTTGAAACACTCTTTCTGTAGAATCTGCAAGTGGATAATTGGACCTCCTAGAGGCCTTCGTTGGAAACGGGATTTCTTCATCTAAACCTACAGAGAAGAATTCTCAGTAACTTCTTCGGATGTGTGCATTCGACTCACAGAATGGAACATTCCCTTTGATAGAGCAGTTTTGAGACACCGTTTTTGTAGAATTCCCAAGTGGATATTTAGAGCACTTTGAAGTCTCTGCTAGAAAAGGAAACATCTTCATGTAAAAAGTAGATAGAATCGTTCTCAGAAAGTGCTTAGTGACGTGTGCGTTCAACTCACAGAGTTTAACGTTTCTTTTGATAGAGCGTTTCTGAAACACCCTTCTTGTAGTAGCTGCAAGTGGATATTTGGACCTATTTGAGGCCTTCTTTGGAAACGGGATTTCTTCATGTAACTCTAGATTGAGGAATTTTCAGAAACTCCTTTGTGATGTGTGCATTCAATTCAAAGAGTGAAACCTCCCTTTTCACAGAGCAGTTTTGAAACACTGTTTTTGTAGGATTTCCAAGGGGATATTTATAGCGCATTGAGCCTATGGCAGAAAAAGAAACATCTTCCTATAAAAACTAGACAGAATAATTCTCAGAATCTGCTTTGCGATGTGTGCGTTCAACCCACAGAGTAAAACTTTTCTTTTGATAGAGCAGTTTTGAAACACTCTTTTTGTAGTATTTGCATGTGTATATTTAGAGCGCATTGAAGCCCACAGTAGAAAAGGAAATAACTTCACCTAAAACCTAGACAGAAGCAATCTCAGAAACTACTTTGTGATGTGTACATTCAACTCACAGAGTGGAACTTTTCTCTTTATAGAGCAGTGTTGAAACACTCTTTTTGTAGAAACTGCAAGTGGATATTTGGACCTCTTTGAGGCCTTCGTTGGAAACGGGATTTCTTCCTATAACCCTAGACAGAAGAATTTTCAGAAACCTCATTGTGATGTGTGCGTTCATCTCACAGAGTGGAGTCTTCCGTTTGATAGAGAAGTTTTGAAACCCTGTTCTTGTAGGATTTCCAAGTGGATATTTAGACCACTTTGAAGCCTATGATAGAAAAGGAAACATCTTCATGGAAAACATAGATAGAATCATTCTCAGAAACAACTTTGTGATGTGTGCAGTTGAACTCACCGTCTTTAACCTTTCTTTTGGTAGAGAAGTTTTGAAACACTCTCTTTGTAAAGTCTACGAGTGGATATTTTGAGCCCTTGGAGGCATTCTTTGGAAAAGGGAATGTCTTCACATAAAAGGCAGACAGAAGTGTTCTCAGAAACTGCTTTGTGATGTCTGTGTTCAACTCACAGAGTTTAACATTTCCTTTGAGAGAGCGGTTTAGTAACACTCTCTTTGTAGAATTTGGAAGTGTATACTAAGAGCGCTTTGAGGCCTATGGTAGAAAAGGAAATATCTTTCCATAAAAGCTAGACAGAAGCAATCCCAGAAACTCCTTTGTGATGTCTGCATTCAACTCACCGAGTGGAACATTCCTCTTGATAGAGCTGTTTGAAAACACTCTTTCTGTAGAATCAGCTTGTTTGTATTTGGACCTCCTTGAGGCCTTCGTTGGAAACGGGTTTTCATCTTATAAACCCAGACAGAAGAATTCTCAGAGTCTTCTTTGTGATGTGTGCTTTCAACTCACCGAGATAAAGATTTCTCTTGATAGAGCAATTTGGAAACACTCTTTTTGTAGAATTTGCAAGGGTACATTGAGAGCGCTTTCAGGCCTATGGTAGAAAAGGGAATATCTTTCCATAAAAGGTAGACAGAAGCAATCTCAGAAACTACTTTGTGATGTGTGCATTCAACTCACCGAGTGCAACATTCCTCTTGACCGAGCAGTTTGGAAACATTGTTTCTGTAGAATCTGCAAGTGGATATTTGGACCTCTTTGAGGCCTTCGTTGGAAACGGGATTTCTTCCTATAAACCCAGACAGAAGAATTCTCAGAGACTTCTTTGTGATGTGTGAATTCAACTCACAGTGTGGATCCTTCCTTTTGATAGAGCAGTTTTGAAACACTGTTTTTGTAGTATTTCCAAGCGGATATTTGGAACGCCTTGAAGCGTATGGTAGAAAAGGAAATATCTTCCCATAAAACCTAGACAGAACCAGTCTCAGAAACGACTTTGTGATGTCTGCATTCAACTCACAGAGTTTAACATTTCTCTTGATAGAGCAGTTTTGAAACCCTCTTTCTGAAGGATCTGCAAGTGGATATTTGGAATTCCTTTGGGTCTTCGTTGGAAACGGGATTTCTTCGTATAAATCCAGACAGAAGAATTCTCCGAAACTTCTTTGGTTGTGTGCATTCAAGTCACAGAGTGGAACCTTCCTTTGGATAGAGCAGTTTGAAACGCTGTGGTTGTAGTATTTCCAAGCGGATATTAGAGCGCCTTGAGGCCTATGGTAGAAAAGGAAATATCTTCCCATAAAACCTAGACGGAAGCAATCTCAGAAACTACTGTGTGATGGCTGCATTCCACACACACGGTGGAACATTTCTCTTGATAGAGCAGTTTTGAAACACTCTTTCTGTAGAATCTGCAAGTGGATAATTGGACCGCCTTGAGGCCTTCGTTGGAAACGGGATTTCTTCATGTTACTCTAGACAGAAGAATTCTCAAACACTGCTGTGTGATGTTTGCATTCAAGTCACAGAGTGCAACATTCCTCTTGATAGAGCAGTTGGGAAACACTCCTTTTGTAGAATTTGCAATGGGATATTTGGACTTCTTTGAGGCCTTCGTTGGAAACGGGATTTCTTCGTATGAATCTAGACAGAAGAATTCTCAGAAACTTCCTTGTGATGTGTGCATTCAACTCAGCGAGTGGCACCTTCCTTTGGATACAGCAGTTTTGAAACACTGTTTTTGTACTATTTCCAAGCGGATATTTAGAGCGCCTTGAAGCCTATGCTAGAAATGGAAATATCTCCCCATAAAACCAAGACAGAAGCAATCTCAGAAACTAATGTGTGATGGCTGCATTCCACACACACGGTGGACCATTTCTCTTGATAGAGCAGTTTTGAAACACTCTTTCTGTAGAATCTGCAAGTGGATAATTGGACCTCCTAGAGGCCTTCGTTGGAAACGGGATTTCTTCATCTAAACCTACAGAGAAGAATTCTCAGTAACTTCTTCGGATGTGTGCATTCGACTCACAGAATGGAACATTCCCTTTGATAGAGCAGTTTTGAGACACCGTTTTTGTAGAATTCCCAAGTGGATATTTAGAGCACTTTGAAGTCTCTGCTAGAAAAGGAAACATCTTCATGTAAAAAGTAGATAGAATCGTTCTCAGAAAGTGCTTAGTGACGTGTGTGTTCAACTCACAGAGTTCAACGTTTCTTTTGATAGAGCGTTTCTGAAACACCCTTCTTGTAGTAGCTGCAAGTGGATATTTGGACCTATTTGAGGCCTTCTTTGGAAACGGGATTTCTTCATGTAACTCTAGTTTGAAGAATTTTCAGAAACTCCTTTGTGATGTGTGCATTCAATTCAAAGAGTGAAACGTCCCTTTTCACAGAGCAGTTTTGAAACACTGTTTTTGTAGGATTTCCAAGGGGATATTTATAGCGCATTGATCCTATGGCAGAAAAAGAAACATCTTCCTATAAAAACTAGACAGAATAATTCTCAGAATCTGCTTTGCGATGTGTGCGTTCAACTCACAGAGTAAAACTTTTCTTTTGATAGAGCAGTTTTGAAACACTCTTTTTGTAGTATTTGCATGTGTATATTTAGAGCGCATTGAAGCCCACAGTAGAAAAGGAAATAACTTCACCTAAAACCTAGACAGAAGCAATCTCAGAAACTACTTTGTGATGTGTACATTCAACTCACAGAGTGGAACTTTCCTCTTTATAGAGCAGTGTTGAAACACTCTTTTTGTAGAAACTGCAAGTGGATATTTGGACCTCTTTGAGGCCTTCGTTGGAAACGGGATTTCTTCCTATAACCCTAGACAGAAGAATTTTCAGAAACCTCATTGTGATGTGTGCGTTCATCTCACAGAGTGGAGTCTTCCGTTTGATAGAGAAGCTTTGAAACCCTGTTCTTGTAGGATTTCCAAGTGGATATTTAGACCACTTTGAAGCCTATGATAGAAAAGGAAACATCTTCATGGAAAACATAGATAGAATCATTCTCAGAAACAACTTTGTGATGTGTGCGTTGAACTCACCGTCTTTAACCTTTCTTTTGGTAGAGAAGTTTTGAAACACTCTCTTTGTAAAGTCTACAAGTGGATATTTTGAGCCCTTGGAGGCATTCTTTGGAAAAGGGAATGTCTTCACATAAAAGGCAGACAGAAGTGTTCTCAGAAACTGCTTTGTGATGTCTGTGTTCAACTCACAGAGTTTAACATTTCCTTTGAGAGAGCGGTTTAGTAACACTCTCTTTGTAGAATTTGGAAGTGTATACTAAGAGCGCTTTGAGGCCTATGGTAGAAAAGGAATTATCTTTCCATAAAAGCTAGACAGAAGCAATCTCAGAAACCCCTTTGTGATGTCTGCATTCAACTCACCGAGTGGAACATTCCTCTTGATAGAGCAGTTTGGAAACACTCTTTCTGTAGAATCAGCTTGTTTGTATTTGGACCTCCTTGAGGCCTTCGTTGGAAACGGGTTTTCATCTTATAAACCCAGACAGAAGAATTCTCAGAGTCTTCTTTGTGATGTGTGCTTTCAACTCACCGAGATAAAGATTTCTCTTGATAGAGCAATTTGGAAACACTCTTTTTGTAGAATTTGCAAGGGTACATTGAGAGCGCTTTCAGGCCTATGGTAGAAAAGGGAATATCTTTCCATAAAAGGTAGACAGAAGCAATCTCAGAAACTACTTTGTGATGTGTGCATTCAACTCACCGAGTGCAACATTCCTCTTGATAGAGCAGTTTGGAAACATTGTTTCTGTAGAATCTGCAAGTGGATATATGGACCGCTTTGAGGCCTTCGTTGGAAACGGGATTTCTTCCTATAAACCCAGACAGAAGAATTCTCAGAGATTTCTTTGTGATGTGTGAATTCAACTCACAGTGTGGATCCTTCCTTTTGATAGAGCAGTTTTGAAACACTGTTTTTGTAGTATTTCCAAGCGGATATTTGGAACGCCTTGAAGCGTAAGGTAGAAAAGGAAATATCTTCCCATAAAACCTAGACAGAACCCATCTCAGAAACGACTTTGTGATGTCTACATTCAACTCACAGAGTTGAACATTTCTCTTGATAGAGCAGTTTTGAAACCCTCTTTCTGAAGGAGCTGCAAGTGGATATTTGGAACTCCTTTGGGTCTTCGTTGGAAACGGGATTTCTTCGTATAAATCCAGACAGAAGAATTCTCCGAAACTTCTTTGGTTGTGTGCATTCAAGTCACAGAGTGGAACCTTCCTTTGGATAGAGCAGTTTGAAACGCTGTGGTTGTAGTATTTCCAAGCGGATATTAGAGTGCCTTGAAGCCTATGGTAGAAAAGGAAATATCTTCCCATAAAACCTAGACGGAAGCAATCTCAGAAACTACTGTGTGATGGCTGCATTCCACACACACGGTGGAACATTTCTCTTGATAGAGCAGTTTTGAAACACTCTTTCTGTAGAATCTGCAAGTGGATAATTGGACCGCCTTGAGGCCTTCGTTGGAAACGGGATTTCTTCATGTTACTCTAGACAGAAGAATTCTCAAACACTGCTATGTGATGTTTGCATTCAAGTCACAGAGTGCAACATTCCTCTTGATAGAGCAGTTGGGAAACACTCCTTTTGTAGAATTTGCAATGGGATATTTGGACTTCTTTGAGGCCTTCGTTGGAAACGGGATTTCTTCGTATGAATCTAGACAGAAGAATTCTCAGAAACTTCCTTGTGATGTGTGCATTCAACTCAGCGAGTGGCACCTTCCTTTGGATACAGCAGTTTTGAAACACTGTTTTTGTAGTATTTCCAAGCGGATATTTAGAGCGCCTTGAAGCCTATGCTAGAAATGGAAATATCTCCCCATAAAACCAAGACAGAAGCAATCTCAGAAACTAATGTGTGATGGCTGCATTCCACACACACGGTGGACCATTTCTCTTGATAGAGCAGTTTTGAAACACTCTTTCTGTAGAATCTGCAAGTGGATAATTGGACCTCCTAGAGGCCTTCGTTGGAAACGGGATTTCTTCATCTAAACCTACAGAGAAGAATTCTCAGTAACTTCTTCAGATGTGTGCATTCGACTCACAGAATGGAACATTCCCTTTGATAGAGCAGTTTTGAGACACCGTTTTTGTAGAATTCCCAAGTGGATATTTAGAGCACTTTGAAGTCTCTGCTAGAAAAGGAAACATCTTCATGTAAAAAGTAGATAGAATCGTTCTCAGAAAGTGCTTAGTGACGTGTGTGTTCAACTCACAGAGTTTATCGTTTCTTTTGATAGAGCGTTTCTGAAACACCCTTCTTGTAGTAGCTGCAAGTGGATATTTGGACCTATTTGAGGCCTTCTTTGGAAACGGGATTTCTTCATGTAACTCTAGATTGAAGAATTTTCAGAAACTCCTTTGTGATGTGTGCATTCAATTCAAAGAGTGAAACCTCCCTTTTCACAGAGCAGTTTTGAAACACTGTTTTTGTAGGATTTCCAAGGGGATATTTATAGCGCATTGATCCTATGGCAGAAAAAGAAACATCTTCCTATAAAAACTAGACAGAATAATTCTCAGAATCTGCTTTGCGATGTGTGCGTTCAACTCACAGAGTAAAACTTTTCTTTTGATAGAGCAGTTTTGAAACACTTTTTGTAGTATTTGCATGTGTATATTTAGAGCGCATTGAAGCCCACAGTAGAAAAGGAAATAACTTCACCTAAAACCTAGACAGAAGCAATCTCAGAAACTACTTTGTGATGTGTACATTCAACTCACAGAGTGGAACTTTCCTCTTTATAGAGCAGTGTTGAAACACTCTTTTTGTAGAAACTGCAAGTGGATATTTGGACCTCTTTGAGGCCTTCGTTGGAAACGGGATTTCTTCCTATAACCCTAGACAGAAGAATTTTCAGAAACCTCATTGTGATGTGTGCGTTCATCTCACAGAGTGGAGTCTTCCGTTTGATAGAGAAGTTTTGAAACCCTGTTCTTGTAGGATTTCCAAGTGGATATTTAGACCACTTTGAAGCCTATGATAGAAAAGGAAACATCTTCATGGAAAACATAGATAGAATCATTCTCAGAAACAACTTTGTGATGTGTGCGTTGAACTCACCGTCTTTAACCTTTCTTTTGGTAGAGAAGTTTTGAAACACTCTCTTTGTAAAGTCTACAAGTGGATATTTTGAGCCCTTGGAGGCATTCTTTGGAAAAGGGAATGTCTTCACATAAAAGGCAGACAGAAGTGTTCTCAGAAACTGCTTTGTGATGTCTGTGTTCAACTAACAGAGTTTAACATTTCCTTTGAGAGAGCGGTTTAGTAACACTCTCTTTGTAGAATTTGGAAGTGTATACTAAGAGCGCTTTGAGGCCTATGGTAGAAAAGGAAATATCTTTCCATAAAAGCTAGACAGAAGCAATCTCAGAAACTCCTTTGTGATGTCTGCATTCAACTCACCGAGTGGAACATTCCTCTTGATAGAGCAGTTTGGAAACACTCTTTCTGTAGAATCAGCTTGTTTGTATTTGGACCTCCTTGAGGCCTTCGTTGGAAACGGGTTTTCATACTTATAAACCCAGACAGAAGAATTCTCAGAGTCTTCTTTGTGATGTGTGCTTTCAACTCACCGAGATAAAGATTTCTCTTGATAGAGCAATTTGGAAACACTCTTTTTGTAGAATTTGCAAGGGTACATTGAGAGCGCTTTCAGGCCTATGGTAGAAAAGGGAATATCTTTCCATCAAAGGTAGACAGAAGCAATCTCAGAAACTACTTTGTGATGTGTGCATTCAACTCACCGAGTGCAACATTCCTCTTGACCGAGCAGTTTGGAAACATTGTTTCTGTAGAATCTGCAAGTGGATATATGGACCGCTTTGAGGCCTTCGTTGGAAACGGGATTTCTTCCTATAAACCCAGACAGAAGAATTCTCAGAGATTTCTTTGTGATGTGTGAATTCAACTCACAGTGTGGATCCTTCCTTTTGATAGAGCAGTTTTGAAACACTGTTTTTGTAGTATTTCCAAGCGGATATTTGGAACGCCTTGAAGCGTATGGTAGAAAAGGAAATATCTTCCCATAAAACCTAGACAGAACCCATCTCAGAAACGACTTTGTGATGTCTGCATTCAACTCACAGAGTTGAACATTTCTCTTGATAGAGCAGTTTTGAAACCCTCTTTCTGAAGGATCTGCAAGTGGATATTTGGAACTCCTTTGGGTCTTCATTGGAAACGGGATTTCTTCGTATAAATCCAGACAGAAGAATTCTCCGAAACTTCTTTGGTTGTGTGCATTCAAGTCACAGAGTGGAACCTTCCTTTGGATAGAGCAGTTTGAAACGCTGTGGTTGTAGTATTTCCAAGCGGATATTAGAGCGCCTTGAAGCCTATGGTAGAAAAGGATATATCTTCCCATAAAACCTAGACGGAAGCAATCTCAGAAACTACTGTGTGATGGCTGCATTCCACACACACGGTGGAACATTTCTCTTGATAGAGCAGTTTTGAAACACTCTTTCTGTAGAATCTGCAAGTGGATAATTGGACCGCCTTGAGGCCTTCGTTGGAAACGGGATTTCTTCATGTTACTCTAGACAGAAGAATTCTCAAACACTGCTGTGTGATGTTTGCATGCAAGTCACAGAGTGCAACATTCCTCTTGATAGAGCAGTTGGGAAACACTCCTTTTGTAGAATTTGCAATGGGATATTTGGACTTCTTTGAGGCCTTCGTTGGAAACGGGATTTCTTCGTATGAATCTAGACAGAAGAATTCTCAGAAACTTCCTTGTGATGTGTGCATTCAACTCAGCGAGTGGCACCTTCCTTTGGATACAGCAGTTTTGAAACACTGTTTTTGTAGTATTTCCAAGCGGATATTTAGAGCGCCTTGAAGCCTATGCTAGAAATGGAAATATCTCCCCATAAAACCAAGACAGAAGCAATCTCAGAAACTAATGTGTGATGGCTGCATTCCACACACACGGTGGACCATTTCTCTTGATAGAGCAGTTTTGAAACACTCTTTCTGTAGAATCTGCAAGTGGATAATTGGACCTCCTAGAGGCCTTCGTTGGAAACGGGATTTCTTCATCTAAACCTACAGAGAAGAATTCTCAGTAACTTCTTCGGATGTGTGCATTCGACTCACAGAATGGAACATTCCCTTTGATAGAGCAGTTTTGAGACACCGTTTTTGTAGAATTCCCAAGTGGATATTTAGAGCACTTTGAAGTCTCTGCTAGAAAAGGAAACATCTTCATGTAAAAAGTAGATAGAATCGTTCTCAGAAAGTGCTTAGTGACGTGTGCGTTCAACTCACAGAGTTTAACGTTTCTTTTGATAGAGCGTTTCTGAAACACCCTTCTTGTAGTAGCTGCAAGTGGATATTTGGACCTATTTGAGGCCTTCTTTGGAAACGGGATTTCTTCATGTAACTCTAGATTGAAGAATTTTCAGAAACTCCTTTGTGATGTGTGCATTCAATTCAAAGAGTGAAACCTCCCTTTTCACAGAGCAGTTTTGAAACACTGTTTTTGTAGGATTTCCAAGGGGATATTTATAGCGCATTGAGCCTATGGCAGAAAAAGAAACATCTTCCTATAAAAACTAGACAGAATAATTCTCAGAATCTGCTTTGCGATGTGTGCGTTCAACTCACAGAGTAAAACTTTTCTTTTGATAGAGCAGTTTTGAAACACTCTTTTTGTAGTATTTGCATGTGTATATTTAGAGCGCATTGAAGCCCACAGTAGAAAAGGAAATAACTTCACCTAAAACCTAGACAGAAGCAATCTCAGAAACTACTTTGTGATGTGTACATTCAACTCACAGAGTGGAACTTTCCTCTTTATAGAGCAGTGTTGAAACACTCTTTTTGTAGAAACTGCAAGTGGATATTTGGACCTCTTTGAGGCCTTCGTTGGAAACGGGATTTCTTCCTATAACCCTAGACAGAAGAATTTTCAGAAACCTCATTGTGATGTGTGCGTTCATCTCAGAGAGTGGAGTCTTCCGTTTGATAGAGAAGTTTTGAAACCCTGTTCTTGTAGGATTTCCAAGTGGATATTTAGAACACTTTGAAGCCTATGATAGAAAAGGAAACATCTTCATGGAAAACATAGATAGAATCATTCTCAGAAACAACTTTGTGATGTGTGCGTTGAACTCACCGTCTTTAACCTTTCTTTTGGTAGAGAAGTTTTGAAACACTCTAAGTCTACAAGTGGATATTTTGAGCCCTTGGAGGCATTCTTTGGAAAAGGGAATGTCTTCACATAAAAGGCAGACAGAAGTGTTCTCAGAAACTGCTTTGTGATGTCTGTGTTCAACTCACAGAGTTTAACATTTCCTTTGAGAGAGCGGTTTAGTAACACTCTCTTTGTAGAATTTGGAAGTGTATACTAAGAGCGCTTTGAGGCCTATGGTAGAAAAGGAAATATCTTTCCATAAAAGCTAGACAGAAGCAATCTCAGAAACTCCTTTGTGATGTCTGCATTCAACTCACCGAGTGGAACATTCCTCTTGATAGAGCAGTTTGGAAACACTCTTTCTGTAGAATCAGCTTGTTTGTATTTGGACCTCCTTGAGGCCTTCGTTGGAAACGGGTTTTCATCTTATAAACCCAGACAGAAGAATTCTCAGAGTCTTCTTTGTGATGTGTGCTTTCAACTCACCGAGATAAAGATTTCTCTTGATAGAGCAATTTGGAAACACTCTTTTTGTAGAATTTGCAAGGGTACATTGAGAGCGCTTTCAGGCCTATGGTAGAAAAGGGAATATCTTTCCATAAAAGGTAGACAGAAGCAATCTCAGAAACTACTTTGTGATGTGTGCATTCAACTCACCGAGTGCAACATTCCTCTTGACCGAGCAGTTTGGAAACATTGTTTCTGTAGAATCTGCAAGTGGATATTTGGACCTCTTTGAGGCCTTCGTTGGAAACGGGATTTCTTCCTATAAACCCAGACAGAAGAATTCTCAGAGACTTCTTTCTGATGTGTGAATTCAACTCACAGTGTGGATCCTTCCTTTTGATAGAGCAGTTTTGAAACACTGTTTTTGTAGTATTTCCAAGCGGATATTTGGAACGCCTTGAAGCGTATGGTAGAAAAGGAAATATCTTCCCATAAAACCTAGACAGAACCAATCTCAGAAACGACTTTGTGATGTCTGCATTCAACTCACAGAGTTGAACATTTCTCTTGATAGAGCACTTTTGAAACCCTCTTTCTGAAGGATCTGCAAGTGGATATTTGGAACTCCTTTGGGTCTTCGTTGGAAACGGGATTTCTTCGTATAAATCCAGACAGAAGAATTCTCCGAAACTTCTTTGGTTGTGTGCATTCAAGTCACAGAGTGGAACCTTCCTTTGGATAGAGCAGTTTGAAACGCTGTGGTTGTAGTATTTCCAAGCGGATATTAGAGAGCCTTGAAGCCTATGGTAGAAAAGGAAATATCTTCCCATAAAACCTAGACGGAAGCAATCTCAGAAACTACTGTGTGATGGCTGCATTCCACACACACGGTGGAACATTTCTCTTGATAGAGCAGTTTTGAAACACTCTTTCTGTAGAATCTGCAAGTGGATAATTGGACCGCCTTGAGGCCTTCGTTGGAAACGGGATTTCTTCATGTTACTCTAGACAGAAGAATTCTCAAACACTGCTATGTGATGTTTGCATTCAAGTCACAGAGTGCAACATTCCTCTTGATAGAGCAGTTGGGAAACACTCCTTTTGTAGAATTTGCAATGGGATATTTGGACTTCTTTGAGGCCTTCGTTGGAAACGGGATTTCTTCGTATGAATCTAGACAGAAGAATTCTCAGAAACTTCCTTGTGATGTGTGCATTCAACTCAGCGAGTGGCACCTTCCTTTGGATACAGCAGTTTTGAAACACTGTTTTTGTAGTATTTCCAAGCGGATATTTAGAGCGCCTTGAAGCCTATGCTAGAAATGGAAATATCTCCCCATAAAACCAAGACAGAAGCAATCTCAGAAACTAATGTGTGATGGCTGCATTCCATACACACGGTGGACCATTTCTCTTGATAGAGCAGTTTTGAAACACTCTTTCTGTAGAATCTGCAAGTGGATAATTGGACCTCCTAGAGGCCTTCGTTGGAAACGGGATTTCTTCATCTAAACCTACAGAGAAGAATTCTCAGTAACTTCTTCGGATGTGTGCATTCGACTCACAGAATGGAACATTCCGTTTGATAGAGCAGTTTTGAGACACCGTTTTTGTAGAATTCCCAAGTGGATATTTAGAGCACTTTGAAGTCTCTGCTAGAAAAGGAAACATCTTCATGTAAAAAGTAGATAGAATCGTTCTCAGAAAGTGCTTAGTGACGTGTGCGTTCAACTCACAGAGTTTAACGTTTCTTTTGATAGAGCGTTTCTGAAACACCCTTCTTGTAGTAGCTGCAAGTGGATATTTGGACCTATTTGAGGCCTTCTTTGGAAACGGGATTTCTTCATGTAACTCTAGATTGAAGAATTTTCAGAAACTCCTTTGTGATGTGTGCATTCAATTCAAAGAGTGAAACCTCCCTTTTCACAGAGCAGTTTTGAAACACTGTTTTTGTAGGATTTCCAAGGGGATATTTATAGCGCATTGAGCCTATGGCAGAAAAAGAAACATCTTCCTATAAAAACTAGACAGAATAATTCTCAGAATCTGCTTTGCGATGTGTGCGTTCAACTCACAGAGTAAAACTTTTCTTTTGATAGAGCAGTTTTGAAACACTCTTTTTGTAGTATTTGCATGTGTATATTTAGGGCGCATTGAAGCCCACAGTAGAAAAGGAAATAACTTCACCTAAAACCTAGACAGAAGCAATCTCAGAAACTACTTTGTGATGTGTACATTCAACTCACAGAGTGGAACTTTTCTCTTTATAGAGCAGTGTTGAAACACTCTTTTTGTAGAAACTGCAAGTGGATATTTGGACCTCTTTGAGGCCTTCGTTGGAAACGGGATTTCTTCCTATAACCCTAGACAGAAGAATTTTCAGAAACCTCATTGTGATGTGTGCGTTCATCTCACAGAGTGGAGTCTTCCGTTTGATAGAGAAGTTTTGAAACCCTGTTCTTGTAGGATTTCCAAGTGGATATTTAGACCACTTTGAAGCCTATGATAGAAAAGGAAACATCTTCATGGAAAACATAGATAGAATCATTCTCAGAAACAACTTTGTGATGTGTGCGTTGAACTCACCGTCTTTAACCTTTCTTTTGGTAGAGAAGTTTTGAAACACTCTCTTTGTAAAGTCTACAAGTGGATATTTTGAGCCGTTGGAGGCATTCTTTGGAAAAGGGAATGTCTTCACATAAAAGGCAGACAGAAGTGTTCTCAGAAACTGCTTTGTGATGTCTGTGTTCAACTCACAGAGTTTAACATTTCCTTTGAGAGAGCAGTTTAGTAACACTCTCTTTGTAGAATTTGGAAGTGTATACTAAGAGCGCTTTGAGGCCTATGGTAGAAAAGGAAATATCTTTCCATAAAAGCTAGACAGAAGCAATCTCAGAAACTCCTTTGTGATGTCTGCATTCAACTCACCGAGTGGAACATTCCTCTTGATAGAGCAGTTTGGAAACACTCTTTCTGTAGAATCAGGTTTTTTGTATTTGGACCTCCTTGAGGCCTTCGTTGGAAACGGGTTTTCATCTTATAAACCCAGACAGAAGAATTCTCAGAGTCTTCTTTGTGATGTGTGCTTTCAACTCACCGAGATAAAGATTTCTCTTGATAGAGCAATTTGGAAACACTCTTTTTGTAGAATTTGCAAGGGTACATTGAGAGCGCTTTCAGGCCTATGGTAGAAAAGGGAATATCTTTCCATAAAAGATAGACAGAAGCAATCTCAGAAACTACTTTGTGATGTGTGCATTCAACTCACCGAGTGCAACATTCCTCTTGATAGAGCAGTTTGGAAACATTGTTTCTGTAGAATCTGCAAGTGGATATATGGACCGCTTTGAGGCCTTCGTTGGAAACGGGATTTCTTCCTATAAACCCAGACAGAAGAATTCTCAGAGATTTCTTTGTGATGTGTGAATTCAACTCACAGTGTGGATCCTTCCTTTTGATAGAGCAGTTTTGAAACACTGTTTTTGTAGTATTTCCAAGCAGATATTTGGAACGCCTTGAAGCGTATAGTAGAAAAGGAAATATTCTTCCCATAAAACCTAGACAGAACCAATCTCAGAAACGACTTTGTGATGTCTGCATTCAACTCACAAGAGTTGAACATTTCTCTTGATAGAGCAGTTTTGAAACCCTCTTTCTGAAGGATCTGCAAGTGGATATTTGGAACTCCTTTGGGTCTTCGTTGGAAACGGGATTTCTTCGTATAAATCCAGACAGAAATATTCTCCGAAACTTCTTTGGTTGTGTGCATTCAAGTCACAGAGTGGAACCTTCCTTTGGATAGAGCAGTTTGAAACGCTCTGGTTGTAGTATTTCCAAGCGGATATTAGAGAGCCTTGAAGCCTATGGTAGAAAAGGAAATATCTTCCCATAAAACCTAGACGGAAGCAATCTCAGAAACTACTGTGTGATGGCTGCATTCCACACACACGGTGGAACATTTCTCTTGATAGAGCAGTTTTGAAACACTCTTTCTGTAGAATCTGCAAGTGGATAATTGGACCGCCTTGAGGCCTTCGTTGGAAACGGGATTTCTTCATGTTACTCTAGACAGAAGAATTCTCAAACACTGCTATGTGATGTTTGCATTCAAGTCACAGAGTGCAACATTCCTCTTGATAGAGCAGTTGGGAAACACTCCTTTTGTAGAATTTGCAATGGGATATTTGGACTTCTTTGAGGCCTTCGTTGGAAACGGGATTTCTTCGTATGAATCTAGACAGAAGAATTCTCAGAAACTTCCTTGTGATGTGTGCATTCAACTCAGCGAGTGGCACCTTCCTTTGGATACAGCAGTTTTGAAACACTGTTTTTGTAGTATTTCCAAGCGGATATTTAGAGCGCCTTGAAGCCTATGCTAGAAATGGAAATATCTCCCCATAAAACCAAGACAGAAGCAATCTCAGAAACTAATGTGTGATGGCTGCATTCCACACACACGGTGGACCATTTCTCTTGATAGAGCAGTTTTGAAACACTCTTTCTGTAGAATCTGCAAGTGGATAATTGGACCTCCTAGAGGCCTTCGTTGGAAATAGGATTTCTTCATCTAAACCTACAGAGAAGAATTCTCAGTAACTTCTTCGGATGTGTGCATTCGACTCACAGAATGGAACATTCCCTTTGATAGAGCAGTTTTGAGACACCGTTTTTGTAGAATTCCCAAGTGGATATTTAGAGCACTTTGAAGTCTCTGCTAGAAAAGGAAACATCTTCATGTAAAAAGTAGATAGAATCGTTCTCAGAAAGTGCTTAGTGACGTGTGTGTTCAACTCACAGAGTTTAACGTTTCTTTTGATAGAGCGTTTCTGAAACACCCTGCTTGTAGTAGCTGCAAGTGGATATTTGGACCTATTTGAGGCCTTCTTTGGAAACGGGATTTCTTCATGTAACTCTCGTTTGAAGAATTTTCAGAAACTCCTTTGTGATGTGTGCATTCAATTCAAAGAGTGAAACCTCCCTTTTCACAGAGCAGTTTTGAAACACTGTTTTTGTAGGATTTCCAAGGGGATATTTATAGCGCATTGAGCCTACGGCAGAAAAAGAAACATCTTCCTATAAAAACTAGACAGAATAATTCTCAGAATCTGCTTTGCGATGTGTGCGTTCAACCCACAGAGTAAAACTTTTCTTTTGATAGAGCAGTTTTGAAACACTCTTTTTGTAGTATTTGCATGTGTATATTTAGAGCGCATTGAAGCCCACAGTAGAAAAGGAAATAACTTCACCTAAAACCTAGACAGAAGCAATCTCAGAAACTACTTTGTGATGTGTACATTCAACTCACAGAGTGGAACTTTCCTCTTTATAGAGCAGTGTTGAAACACTCTTTTTGTAGAAACTGCAAGTGGATATTTGGACCTCTTTGAGGCCTTCGTTGGAAACGGGATTTCTTCCTATAACCCTAGACAGAAGAATTTTCAGAAACCTCATTGTGATGTGTGCGTTCATCTCACAGAGTGGAGTCTTCCGTTTGATAGAGAAGTTTTGAAACCCTGTTCTTGTAGGATTTCCAAGTGGATATTTAGACCACTTTGAAGCCTATGATAGAAAAGGAAACATCTTCATGGAAAACATAGATAGAATCATTCTCAGAAACAACTTTGTGATGTGTGCGTTGAACTCACCGTCTTTAACCTTTCTTTTGGTAGAGAAGTTTTGAAACACTCTCTTTGTAAAGTCTACAAGTGGATATTTTGAGCCCTTGGAGGCATTCTTTGGAAAAGGGAATGTCTTCACATAAAAGGCAGACAGAAGTGTTCTCAGAAACTGCTTTGTGATGTCTGTGTTCAACTCACAGAGTTTAACATTTCCTTTGAGAGAAGCGGTTTAGTAACACTCTCTTTGTAGAATTTGGAAGTGTATACTAAGAGCGCTTTGAGGCCTATGGTAGAAAAGGAAATATCTTTCCATAAAAGCTAGACAGAAGCAATCTCAGAAACTCCTTTGTGATGTCTGCATTCAACTCACCGAGTGGAACATTCCTCTTGATAGAGCAGTTTGGAAACACTCTTTCTGTAGAATCAGCTTGTTTGTATTTGGACCTCCTTGAGGCCTTCGTTGGAAACGGGTTTTCATCTTATAAACCCAGACAGAAGAATTCTCAGAGTCTTCTTTGTGATGTGTGCTTTCAACTCACCGAGATAAAGATTTCTCTTGATAGAGCAATTTGGAAACACTCTTTTTGTAGAATTTGCAAGGGTACATTGAGAGCGCTTTCAGGCCTATGGTAGAAAAGGTAGACAGAAGCAATCTCAGAAACTACTTTGTGATGTGTGCATTCAACTCACCGAGTGCAACATTCCTCTTGATAGAGCAGTTTGGAAACATTGTTTCTGTAGAATCTGCAAGTGGATATATGGACCGCTTTGAGGCCTTCGTTGGAAACGGGATTTCTTCCTATAAACCCAGACAGAAGAATTCTCAGAGATTTCTTTGTGATGTGTGAATTCAACTCACAGTGTGGATCCTTCCTTTTGATAGAGCAGTTTTGAAACACTGTTTTTGTAGTATTTCCAAGCGGATATTTGGAACGCCTTGAAGCGTATGGTAGAAAAGGAAATATCTTCCCATAAAACCTAGACAGAACCCATCTCAGAAACGACTTTGTGATGTCTGCATTGAACTCACAGAGTTGAACATTTCTCTTGATAGAGCAGTTTTGAAACCCTCTTTCTGAAGGATCTGCAAGTGGATATTTGGAACTCCTTTGGGTCTTCGTTGGAAACGGGATTTCTTCGTATAAATCCAGACAGAAGAATTCTCCGAAACTTCTTTGGTTGTGTGCATTCAAGTCACAGAGTGGAACCTTCCTTTGGATAGAGCAGTTTGAAACGCTGTGGTTGTAGTATTTCCAAGCGGATATTAGAGCGCCTTGAAGCCTATGGTAGAAAAGGAAATATCTTCCCATAAAACCTAGACGGAAGCAATCTCAGAAACTACTGTGTGATGGCTGCATTCCACACACACGGTGGAACATTTCTCTTGATAGAGCAGTTTTGAAACACTCTTTCTGTAGAATCTGCAAGTGGATAATTGGACCGCCTTGAGGCCTTCGTTGGAAACGGGATTTCTTCATGTTACTCTAGACAGAAGAATTCTCAAACACTGCTATGTGATGTTTGCATTCAAGTCACAGAGTGCAACATTCCTCTTGATAGAGCAGTTGGGAAACACTCCTTTTGTAGAATTTGCAATGGGATATTTGGACTTCTTTGAGGCCTTCGTTGGAAACGGGATTTCTTCGTATGAATCTAGACAGAAGAATTCTCAGAAACTTCCTTGTGATGTGTGCATTCAACTCAGCGAGTGGCACCTTCCTTTGGATACAGCAGTTTTGAAACACTGTTTTTGTAGTATTTCCAAGCGGATATTTAGAGCGCCTTGAAGCCTATGCTAGAAATGGAAATATCTCCCCATAAAACCAAGACAGAAGCAATCTCAGAAACTAATGTGTGATGGCTGCATTCCACACACACGGTGGACCATTTCTCTGGATAGAGCAGTTTTGAAACACTCTTTCTGTAGAATCTGCAAGTGGATAATTGGACCTCCTAGAGGCCTTCGTTGGAAACGGGATTTCTTCATCTAAACCTACAGAGAAGAATTCTCAGTAACTTCTTCGGATGTGTGCATTCGACTCACAGAATGGAACATTCCCTTTGATAGAGCAGTTTTGAGACACCGTTTTTGTAGAATTCCCAAGTGGATATTTAGAGCACTTTGAAGTCTCTGCTAGAAAAGGAAACATCTTCATGTAAAAAGTAGATAGAATCGTTCTCAGAAAGTGCTTAGTGACGTGTGTGTTCAACTCACAGAGTTTAACGTTTCTTTTGATAGAGCGTTTCTGAAACACCCTGCTTGTAGTAGCTGCAAGTGGATATTTGGACCTATTTGAGGCCTTCTTTGGAAACGGGATTTCTTCATGTAACTCTAGATTGAAGAATTTTCAGAAACTCCTTTGTGATGTGTGCATTCAATTCAAAGAGTGAAACCTCCCTTTTCACAGAGCAGTTTTGAAACACTGTTTTTGTAGGATTTCCAAGGGGATATTTATAGCGCATTGAGCCTATGGCAGAAAAAGAAACATCTTCCTATAAAAACTAGACAGAATAATTCTCAGAATCTGCTTTGCGATGTGTGCGTTCAACTCACAGAGTAAAACTTTTCTTTTGATAGAGCAGTTTTGAAACACTCTTTTTGTAGTATTTGCATGTGTATATTTAGAGCGCATTGAAGCCCACAGTAGAAAAGGAAATAACTTCACCTAAAACCTAGACAGAAGCAATCTCAGAAACTACTTTGTGATGTGTACATTCAACTCACAGAGTGGAACTTTTCTCTTTATAGAGCAGTGTTGAAACACTCTTTTTGTAGAAACTGCAAGTGGATATTTGGACCTCTTTGAGGCCTTCGTTGGAAACGGGATTTCTTCCTATAACCCTAGACAGAAGAATTTTCAGAAACCTCATTGTGATGTGTGCGTTCATCTCACAGAGTGGAGTCTTCCGTTTGATAGAGAAGTTTTGAAACCCTGTTCTTGTAGGATTTCCAAGTGGATATTTAGACCACTTTGAAGCCTATGATAGAAAAGGAAACATCTTCATGGAAAACATAGATAGAATCATTCTCAGAAACAACTTTGTGATCTGTGCGTTGAACTCACCGTCTTTAACCTTTCTTTTGGTAGAGAAGTTTTGAAACACTCTCTTTGTAAAGTCTACAAGTGGATATTTTGAGCCCTTGGAGGCATTCTTTGGAAAAGGGAATGTCTTCACATAAAAGGCAGACAGAAGTGTTCTCAGAAACTGCTTTGTGATGTCTGTGTTCAACTCACAGAGTTTAACATTTCCTTTGAGAGAGCGGTTTAGTAACACTCTCTTTGTAGAATTTGGAAGTGTATACTAAGAGCGCTTTGAGGCCTATGGTAGAAAAGGAAATATCTTTCCATAAAAGCTAGACAGAAGCAATCTCAGAAACTCCTTTGTGATGTCTGCATTCAACTCACCGAGTGGAACATTCCTCTTGATAGAGCAGTTTGGAAACACTCTTTCTGTAGAATCAGCTTGTTTGTATTTGGACCTCCTTGAGGCCTTCGTTGGAAACGGGTTTTCATCTTATAAACCCAGACAGAAGAATTCTCAGAGTCTTCTTTGTGATGTGTGCTTTCAACTCACCGAGATAAAGATTTCTCTTGATAGAGCAATTTGGAAACACTCTTTTTGTAGAATTTGCAAGGGTACATTGAGAGCGCTTTCAGGCCTATGGTAGAAAAGGGAATATCTTTCCATAAAAGGTAGACAGAAGCAATCTCAGAAACTACTTTGTGATGTGTGCATTCAACTCACCGAGTGCAACATTCCTCTTGACCGAGCAGTTTGGAAACATTGTTTCTGTAGAATCTGCAAGTGGATATTTGGACCTCTTTGAGGCCTTCGTTGGAAACGGGATTTCTTCCTATAAACCCAGACAGAAGAATTCTCAGAGACTTCTTTGTGATGTGTGAATTCAACTCACAGTGTGGATCCTTCCTTTTGATAGAGCAGTTTTGAAACACTGTTTTTGTAGTATTTCCAAGCGGATATTTGGAACGCCTTGAAGCGTATGGTAGAAAAGGAAATATCTTCCCATAAAACCTAGACAGAACCAATCTCAGAAACGACTTTGTGATGTCTGCATTCAACTCACAGAGTTGAACATTTCTCTTGATAGAGCAGTTTTGAAACCCTCTTTCTGAAGGATCTGCAAGTGGATATTTGGAACTCCTTTGGGTCTTCGTTGGAAACGGGATTTCTTCGTATAAATCTAGACAGAAGAATTCTCCGAAACTTCTTTGGTTGTGTGCATTCAAGTCACAGAGTGGAACCTTCCTTTGGATAGAGCAGTTTGAAACGCTGTGGTTGTAGTATTTCCAAGCGGATATTAGAGCGCCTTGAGGCCTATGGTAGAAAAGGAAATATCTTCCCATAAAACCTAGACGGAAGCAATCTCAGAAACTACTGTGTGATGGCTGCATTCCACACACACGGTGGAACATTTCTCTTGATAGAGCAGTTTTGAAACACTCTTTCTGTAGAATCTGCAAGTGGATAATTGGACCGCCTTGAGGCCTTCGTTGGAAACGGGATTTCTTCATGTTACTCTAGACAGAAGAATTCTCAAACACTGCTGTGTGATGTTTGCATGCAAGTCACAGAGTGCAACATTCCTCTTGATAGAGCAGTTGGGAAACACTCCTTTTGTAGAATTTGCAATGGGATATTTGGACTTCTTTGAGGCCTTCGTTGGAAACGGGATTTCTTCGTATGAATCTAGACAGAAGAATTCTCAGAAACTTCCTTGTGATGTGTGCATTCAACTCAGCGAGTGGCACCTTCCTTTGGATACAGCAGTTTTGAAACACTGTTTTTGTAGTATTTCCAAGCGGATATTTAGAGCGCCTTGAAGCCTATGCTAGAAATGGAAATATCTCCCCATAAAACCAAGACAGAAGCAATCTCAGAAACTAATGTGTGATGGCTGCATTCCACACACACGGTGGACCATTTCTCTTGATAGAGCAGTTTTGAAACACTCTTTCTGTAGAATCTGCAAGTGGATAATTGGACCTCCTAGAGGCCTTCGTTGGAAACGGGATTTCTTCATCTAAACCTACAGAGAAGAATTCTCAGTAACTTCTTCGGATGTGTGCATTCGACTCACAGAATGGAACATTCCGTTTGATAGAGCAGTTTTGAGACACCGTTTTTGTAGAATTCCCAAGTGGATATTTAGAGCACTTTGAAGTCTCTGCTAGAAAAGGAAACATCTTCATGTAAAAAGTAGATAGAATCGTTCTCAGAAAGTGCTTAGTGACGTGTGTGTTCAACTCACAGAGTTTAACGTTTCTTTTGATAGAGCGTTTCTGAAACACCCTTCTTGTAGTAGCTGCAAGTGGATATTTGGACCTATTTGAGGCCTTCTTTGGAAACGGGATTTCTTCATGTAACTCTAGATTGAAGAATTTTCAGAAACTCCTTGGTGATGTGTGCCTTCAATTCAAAGAGTGAAACGTCCCTTTTCACAGAGCAGTTTTGAAACACTGTTTTGGTAGGATTTCCAAGGGGATATTTATAGCGCATTGAGCCTGCGGCAGAAAAAGAAACATCTTCCTATAAAAACTAGACAGAATAATTCTCAGAATCTGCTTTGCGATGTGTGCGTTCAACCCACAGAGTAAAACTTTTCTTTTGATAGAGCAGTTTTGAAACACTCTTTTTGTCGTATTTGCATGTGTATATTTAGAGCGCATTGAAGCCCACAGTAGAAAAGGAAATAACTTCACCTAAAACCTAGACAGAAGCAATCTCAGAAACTACTTTGTGATGTGTACATTCAACTCACAGAGTGGAACTTTCCTCTTTATAGAGCAGTGTTGAAACACTCTTTTTGTAGAAACTGCAAGTGGATATTTGGACCTCTTTGAGGCCTTCGTTGGAAACGGGATTTCTTCCTATAACCCTAGACAGAAGAATTTTCAGAAACCTCATTGTGATGTGTGCGTTCATCCCACAGAGTGGAGTCTTCCGTTTGATAGAGAAGTTTTGAAACCCTGTTCTTGTAGGATTTCCAAGTGGATATTTAGACCACTTTGAAGCCTATGATAGAAAAGGAAACATCTTCATGGAAAACATAGATAGAATCATTCTCAGAAACAACTTTGTGATGTGTGCGTTGAACTCACCGTCTTTAACCTTTCTTTTGGTAGAGAAGTTTTGAAACACTCTCTTTGTAAAGTCTACAAGTGGATATTTTGAGCCCTTGGAGGCATTCTTTGGAAAAGGGAATGTCTTCACATAAAAGGCAGACAGAAGTGTTCTCAGAAACTGCTTTGTGATGTCTGTGTTCAACTCACAGAGTTTAACATTTCCTTTGAGAGAGCGGTTTAGTAACACTCTCTTTGTAGAATTTGGAAGTGTATACTAAGAGCGCTTTGAGGCCTATGGTAGAAAAGGAAATATCTTTCCATAAAAGCTAGACAGAAGCAATCTCAGAAACTCCTTTGTGATGTCTGCATTCAACTCACCGAGTGGAACATTCCTCTTGATAGAGCAGTTTGGAAACACTCTTTCTGTAGAATCAGCTTGTTTGTATTTGGACCTCCTTGAGGCCTTCGTTGGAAACGGGTTTTCATCTTATAAACCCAGACAGAAGAATTCTCAGAGTCTTCTTTGTGATGTGTGCTTTCAACTCACCGAGATAAAGATTTCTCTTGATAGAGCAATTTGGAAACACTCTTTTTGTAGAATTTGCAAGGGTACATTGAGAGCGCTTTCAGGCCTATGGTAGAAAAGGGAATATCTTTCCATAAAAGGTAGACAGAAGCAATCTCAGAAACTACTTTGTGATGTGTGCATTCAACTCACCGAGTGCAACATTCCTCTTGATAGAGCAGTTTGGAAACATTGTTTCTGTAGAATCTGCAAGTGGATATATGGACCGCTTTGAGGCCTTCGTTGGAAACGGGATTTCTTCCTATAAACCCAGACAGAAGAATTCTCAGAGATTTCTTTGTGATGTGTGAATTCAACTCACAGTGTGGATCCTTCCTTTTGATAGAGCAGTTTTGAAACACTGTTTTTGTAGTATTTCCAAGCGGATATTTGGAACGCCTTGAAGCGTATGGTAGAAAAGGAAATATCTTCCCATAAAACCTAGACAGAACCCATCTCAGAAACGACTTTGTGATGTCTGCATTCAACTCACAGAGTTGAACATTTCTCTTGATAGAGCAGTTTTGAAACCTTCTTTCTGAAGGATCTGCAAGTGGATATTTGGAACTCCTTTGGGTCTTCGTTGGAAACGGGATTTCTTCGTATAAATCCAGACAGAAGAATTCTCCGAAACTTCTTTGGTTGTGTGCATTCAAGTCACAGAGTGGAACCTTCCTTTGGATAGAGCAGTTTGAAACGCTGTGGTTGTAGTATTTCCAAGCGGATATTAGAGCGCCTTGAAGCCTATGGTAGAAAAGGAAATATCTTCCCATAAAACCTAGACGGAAGCAATCTCAGAAACTACTGTGTGATGGCTGCATTCCACACACACGGTGGAACATTTCTCTTGATAGAGCAGTTTTGAAACACTCTTTCTGTAGAATCTGCAAGTGGATAATTGGACCGCCTTGAGGCCTTCGTTGGAAACAGGATTTCTTCATGTTACTCTAGACAGAAGAATTCTCAAACACTGCTATGTGATGTTTGCATTCAAGTCACAGAGTGCAACATTCCTCTTGATAGAGCAGTTGGGAAACACTCCTTTTGTAGAATTTGCAATGGGATATTTGGACTTCTTTGAGGCCTTCGTTGGAAACGGGATTTCTTCGTATGAATCTAGACAGAAGAATTCTCAGAAACTTCCTTGTGATGTGTGCATTCAACTCAGCGAGTGGCACCTTCCTTTGGATACAGCAGTTTTGAAACACTGTTTTTGTAGTATTTCCAAGCGGATATTTAGAGCGCCTTGAAGCCTATGCTAGAAATGGAAATATCTCCCCATAAAACCAAGACAGAAGCAATCTCAGAAACTAATGTGTGATGGCTGCATTCCACACACACGGTGGACCATTTCTCTTGATAGAGCAGTTTTGAAACACTCTTTCTGTAGAATCTGCAAGTGGATAATTGGACCTCCTAGAGGCCTTCGTTGGAAACGGGATTTCTTCATCTAAACCTACAGAGAAGAATTCTCAGTAACTTCTTCGGGATGTGTGCATTCGACTCACAGAATGGAACATTCCCTTTGATAGAGCAGTTTTGAGACACCGTTTTTGTAGAATTCCCAAGTGGATATTTAGAGCACTTTGAAGTCTCTGCTAGAAAAGGAAACATCTTCATGTAAAAAGTAGATAGAATCGTTCTCAGAAAGTGCTTAGTGACGTGTGCGTTCAACTCACAGAGTTTAACGTTTCTTTTGATAGAGCGTTTCTGAAACACCCTTCTTGTAGTAGCTGCAAGTGGATATTTGGACCTATTTGAGGCCTTCTTTGGAAACGGGATTTCTTCATGTAACTCTAGATTGAAGAATTTTCAGAAACTCCTTTGTGATGTGTGCATTCAATTCAAAGAGTGAAACCTCCCTTTTCACAGAGCAGTTTTGAAACACTGTTTTTGTAGGATTTCCAAGGGGATATTTATAGCGCATTGAGCCTATGGCAGAAAAAGAAACATCTTCCTATAAAAACTAGACAGAATAATTCTCAGAATCTGCTTTGCGATGTGTGCGTTCAACTCACAGAGTAAAACTTTTCTTTTGATAGAGCAGTTTTGAAACACTCTTTTTGTAGTATTTGCATGTGTATATTTAGAGCGCATTGAAGCACACAGTAGAAAAGGAAATAACTTCACCTAAAACCTAGACAGAAGCAATCTCAGAAACTATTTTGTGATGTGTACATTCAACTCACAGAGTGGAACTTTCCTCTTTATAGAGCAGTGTTGAAACACTCTTTTTGTAGAAACTGCAAGTGGATATTTGGACCTCTTTGAGGCCTTCGTTGGAAACGGGATTTCTTCCTATAACCCTAGACAGAAGAATTTTCAGAAACCTCATTGTGATGTGTGCGTTCATCTCACACAGTGGAGTCTTCCGTTTGATAGAGAAGTTTTGAAACCCTGTTCTTGTAGGATTTCCAAGTGGATATTTAGACCACTTTGAAGCCTATGATAGAAAAGGAAACATCTTCATGGAAAACATAGATAGAATCATTCTCAGAAACAACTTTGTGATGTGTGCGTTGAACTCACCGTCTTTAACCTTTCTTTTGGTAGAGAAGTTTTGAAACACTCTCTTTGTAAAGTCTACAAGTGGATATTTTGAGCCCTTGGAGGCATTCTTTGGAAAAGGGAATGTCTTCACATAAAAGGCATACAGAAGTGTTCTCAGAAACTGCTTTGTGATGTCTGTGTTCAACTCACAGAGTTTAACATTTCCTTTGAGAGAGCGGTTTAGTAACACTCTCTTTGTAGAATTTGGAAGTGTATACTAAGAGCGCTTTGAGGCCTATGGTAGAAAAGGAAATATCTTTCCATAAAAGCTAGACAGAAGCAATCTCAGAAACTCCTTTGTGATGTCTGCATTCAACTCACCGAGTGGAACATTCCTCTTGATAGAGCAGTTTGGAAACACTCTTTCTGTAGAATCAGCTTGTTTGTATTTGGACCTCCTTGAGGCCTTCGTTGGAAACGGGTTTTCATCTTATAAACCCAGACAGAAGAATTCTCAGAGTCTTCTTTGTGATGTGTGTTTTCAACTCACCGAGATAAAGATTTCTCTTGATAGAGCAATTTGGAAACACTCTTTTTGTAGAATTTGCAAGGGTACATTGAGAGCGCTTTCAGGCCTATGGTAGAAAAGGGAATATCTTTCCATAAAAGGTAGACAGAAGCAATCTCAGAAACTACTTTGTGATGTGTGCATTCAACTCACCGAGTGCAACATTCCTCTTGATAGAGCAGTTTGGAAACATTGTTTCTGTAGAATCTGCAAGTGGATATATGGACCGCTTTGTGGCCTTCGTTGGAAACGGGATTTCTTCCTATAAACCCAGACAGAAGAATTCTCAGAGATTTCTTTGTGATGTGTGAATTCAACTCACAGTGTGGATCCTTCCTTTTGATAGAGCAGTTTTGAAACACCGTTTTTGTAGTATTTCCAAGCGGATATTTGGAACGCCTTGAAGCGTATGGTAGAAAAGGAAATATCTTCCCATAAAACCTAGACAGAACCAATCTCAGAAACGACTTTGTGATGTCTGCATTCAACTCACAGAGTTGAACATTTCTCTTGATAGAGCAGTTTTGAAACCCTCTTTCTGAAGGATCTGCAAGTGGATATTTGGAACTCCTTTGGGTCTTCGTTGGAAACGGGATTTCTTCGTATAAATCTAGACAGAAGAATTCTCCGAAACTTCTTTGGTTGTGTGCATTCAAGTCACAGAGTGGAACCTTCCTTTGGATAGAGCAGTTTGAAACGCTGTGGTTGTAGTATTTCCAAGCGGATATTAGAGCGCCTTGAGGCCTATGGTAGAAAAGGAAATATCTTCCCATAAAACCTAGACGGAAGCAATCTCAGAAACTACTGTGTGATGGCTGCATTCCACACACACGGTGGAACATTTCTCTTGATAGAGCAGTTTTGAAACACTCTTTCTGTAGAATCTGCAAGTGGATAATTGGACCGCCTTGAGGCCTTCGTTGGAAACGGGATTTCTTCATGTTACTCTAGACAGAAGAATTCTCAAACACTGCTGTGTGATGTTTGCATGCAAGTCACAGAGTGCAACATTCCTCTTGATAGAGCAGTTGGGAAACACTCCTTTTGTAGAATTTGCAATGGGATATTTGGACTTCTTTGAGGCCTTCGTTGGAAACGGGATTTCTTCGTATGAATCTAGACAGAAGAATTCTCAGAAACTTCCTTGTGATGTGTGCATTCAACTCAGCGAGTGGCACCTTCCTTTGGATACAGCAGTTTTGAAACACTGTTTTTGTAGTATTTCCAAGCGGATATTTAGAGCGCCTTGAAGCCTATGCTAGAAATGGAAATATCTCCCCATAAAACCAAGACAGAAGCAATCTCAGAAACTAATGTGTGATGGCTGCATTCCACACACACGGTGGACCATTTCTCTTGATAGAGCAGTTTTGAAACACTCTTTCTGTAGAATCTGCAAGTGGATAATTGGACCTCCTAGAGGCCTTCGTTGGAAACGGGATTTCTTCATCTAAACCTACAGAGAAGAATTCTCAGTAACTTCTTCGGATGTGTGCATTCGACTCACAGAATGGAACATTCCCTTTGGTAGAGCAGTTTTGAGACACCGTTTTTGTAGAATTCCCAAGTGGATATTTAGAGCACTTTGAAGTCTCTGCTAGAAAAGGAAACATCTTCATGTAAAAAGTAGATAGAATCGTTCTCAGAAAGTGCTTAGTGACGTGTGCGTTCAACTCACAGAGTTTAACGTTTCTTTTGATAGAGCGTTTCTGAAACACCCTTCTTGTAGTAGCTGCAAGTGGATATTTGGACCTATTTGAGGCCTTCTTTGGAAACGGGATTTCTTCATGTAACTCTAGATTGAAGAATTTTCAGAAACTCCTTTGTGATGTGTGCATTCAATTCAAAGAGTGAAACCTCCCTTTTCACAGAGCAGTTTTGAAACACTGTTTTTGTAGGATTTCCAAGGGGATATTTATAGCGCATTGAGCCTATGGCAGAAAAAGAAACATCTTCCTATAAAAACTAGACAGAATAATTCTCAGAATCTGCTTTGCGATGTGTGCGTTCAACTCACAGAGTAAAACTTTTCTTTTGATAGAGCAGTTTTGAAACACTCTTTTTGTAGTATTTGCATGTGTATATTTAGAGCGCATTGAAGCCCACAGTAGAAAAGGAAATAACTTCACCTAAAACCTAGACAGAAGCAATCTCAGAAACTACTTTGTGATGTGTACATTCAACTCACAGAGTGGAACTTTCCTCTTTATAGAGCAGTGTTGAAACACTCTTTTTGTAGAAACTGCAAGTGGATATTTGGACCTCTTTGAGGCCTTCGTTGGAAACGGGATTTCTTCCTATAACCCTAGACAGAAGAATTTTCAGAAACCTCATTGTGATGTGTGCGTTCATCTCACAGAGTGGAGTCTTCCGTTTGATAGAGAAGCTTTGAAACCCTGTTCTTGTAGGATTTCCAAGTGGATATTTAGACCACTTTGAAGCCTATGATAGAAAAGGAAACATCTTCATGGAAAACGTAGATAGAATCATTCTCAGAAACAACTTTGTGATGTGTGCGTTGAACTCACCGTCTTTAACCTTTCTTTTGGTAGAGAAGTTTTGAAACACTCTCTTTGTAAAGTCTACAAGTGGATATTTTGAGCCCTTGGAGGCATTCTTTGGAAAAGGGAATGTCTTCACATAAAAGGCAGACAGAAGTGTTCTCAGAAACTGCTTTGTGATGTCTGTGTTCAACTCACAGAGTTTAACATTTCCTTTGAGAGAGCGGTTTAGTAACACTCTCTTTGTAGAATTTGGAAGTGTATACTAAGAGTGCTTTGAGGCCTATGGTAGAAAAGGAAATATCTTTCCATAAAAGCTAGACAGAAGCAATCTCAGAAACTCCTTTGTGATGTCTGCATTCAACTCACCGAGTGGAACATTCCTCTTGATAGAGCAGTTTGGAAACACTCTTTCTGTAGAATCAGCTTGTTTGTATTTGGACCTCCTTGAGGCCTTCGTTGGAAACGGGTTTTCATCTTATAAACCCAGACAGAAGAATTCTCAGAGTCTTCTTTGTGATGTGTGCTTTCAACTCACCGAGATAAAGATTTCTCTTGATAGAGCAATTTGGAAACACTCTTTTTGTAGAATTTGCAAGGGTACATTGAGAGCGCTTTCAGGCCTATGGTAGAAAAGGGAATATCTTTCCATAAAAGGTAGACAGAAGCAATCTCAGAAACTACTTTGTGATGTGTGCATTCAACTCACCGAGTGCAACATTCCTCTTGACCGAGCAGTTTGGAAACATTGTTTCTGTAGAATCTGCAAGTGGATATATGGACCGCTTTGAGGCCTTCGTTGGAAACGGGATTTCTTCCTATAAACCCAGACAGAAGAATTCTCAGAGATTTCTTTGTGATGTGTGAATTCAACTCACAGTGTGGATCCTTCCTTTTGATAGAGCAGTTTTGAAACACCGTTTTTGTAGTATTTCCAAGCGGATATTTGGAACGCCTTGAAGCGTATGGTAGAAAAGGAAATATCTTCCCATAAAACCTAGACAGAACCCATCTCAGAAACGACTTTGTGATGTCTGCATTCAACTCACAGAGTTGAACATTTCTCTTGATAGAGCAGTTTTGAAACCCTCTTTCTGAAGGATCTGCAAGTGGATATTTGGAACTCCTTTGGGTCTTCGTTGGAAACGGGATTTCTTCGTATAAATCCAGACAGAAGAATTCTCCAAAACTTCTTTGGTTGTGTGCATTCAAGTCACAGAGTGGAACCTTCCTTTGGATAGAGCAGTTTGAAACGCTCTGGTTGTAGTATTTCCAAGCGGATATTAGAGAGCCTTGAAGCCTATGGTAGAAAAGGAAATATCTTCCCATAAAACCTAGACGGAAGCAATCTCAGAAACTACTGTGTGATGGCTGCATTCCACACACACGGTGGAACATTTCTCTTGATAGAGCAGTTTTGAAACACTCTTTCTGTAGAATCTGCAAGTGGATAATTGGACCGCCTTGAGGCCTTCGTTGGAAACGGGATTTCTTCATGTTACTCTAGACAGAAGAATTCTCAAACACTGCTATGTGATGTTTGCATGCAAGTCACAGAGTGCAACATTCCTCTTGATAGAGCAGTTGGGAAACACTCCTTTTGTAGAATTTGCAATGGGATATTTGGACTTCTTTGAGGCCTTCGTTGGAAACGGGATTTCTTCGTATGAATCTAGACAGAAGAATTCTCAGAAACTTCCTTGTGATGTGTGTATTCAACTCAGCGAGTGGCACCTTCCTTTGGATACAGCAGTTTTGAAACACTGTTTTTGTAGTATTTCCAAGCGGATATTTAGAGCGCCTTGAAGCCTATGCTAGAAATGGAAATATCTCCCCATAAAACCAAGACAGAAGCAATCTCAGAAACTAATGTGTGATGGCTGCATTCCACACACACGGTGGACCATTTCTCTTGATAGAGCAGTTTTGAAACACTCTTTCTGTAGAATCTGCAAGTGGATAATTGGACCTCCTAGAGGCCTTCGTTGGAAACGGGATTTCTTCATCTAAACCTACAGAGAAGAATTCTCAGTAACTTCTTCGGATGTGTGCATTCGACTCACAGAATGGAACATTCCCTTTGATAGAGCAGTTTTGAGACACCGTTTTTGTAGAATTCCCAAGTGGATATTTAGAGCACTTTGAAGTCTCTGCTAGAAAAGGAAACATCTTCATGTAAAAAGTAGATAGAATCGTTCTCAGAAAGTGCTTAGTGACGTGTGCGTTCAACTCACAGAGTTTAACGTTTCTTTTGATAGAGCGTTTCTGAAACACCCTTCTTGTAGTAGCTGCAAGTGGATATTTGGACCTATTTGAGGCCTTCTTTGGAAACGGGATTTCTTCATGTAACTCTAGATTGAAGAATTTTCAGAAACTCCTTTGTGATGTGTGCATTCAATTCAAAGAGTGAAACCTCCCTTTTCACAGAGCAGTTTTGAAACACTGTTTTTGTAGGACTTCCAAGGGGATATTTATAGCGCATTGAGCCTATGGCAGAAAAAGAAACATCTTCCTATAAAAACTAGACAGAATAATTCTCAGAATCTGCTTTGCGATGTGTGCGTTCAACCCACAGAGTAAAACTTTTCTTTTGATAGAGCAGTTTTGAAACACTCTTTTTGTAGTATTTGCATGTGTATATTTAGAGCGCATTGAAGCCCAGAGTAGAAAAGGAAATAACTTCACCTAAAACCTAGACAGAAGCAATCTCAGAAACTACTTTGTGATGTGTACATTCAACTCACAGAGTGGAACTTTCCTCTTTATAGAGCAGTGTTGAAACACTCTTTTTGTAGAAACTGCAAGTGGATATTTGGACCTCTTTGAGGCCTTCGTTGGAAACGGGATTTCTTCCTATAACCCTAGACAGAAGAATTTTCAGAAACCTCATTGTGATGTCTGCGTTCATCTCACAGAGTGGAGTCTTCCGTTTGATAGAGAAGCTTTGAAACCCTGTTCTTGTAGGATTTCCAAGTGGATATTTAGACCACTTTGAAGCCTATGATAGAAAAGGAAACATCTTCATGGAAAACATAGATAGAATCATTCTCAAAAACAACTTTGTGATGTGTGCGTTGAACTCACCGTCTTTAACCTTTCTTTTGGTAGAGAAGTTTTGAAACACTCTCTTTGTAAAGTCTACAAGTGGATATTTTGAGCCCTTGGAGGCATTCTTTGGAAAAGGGAATGTCTTCACATAAAAGGCAGACAGAAGTGTTCTCAGAAACTGCTTTGTGATGTCTGTGTTCAACTCACAGAGTTTAACATTTCCATTGAGAGAGCGGTTTAGTAACACTCTCTTTGTAGAATTTGAAAGTGTATACTAAGAGCGCTTTGAGGCCTATGGTAGAAAAGGAATTATCTTTCCATAAAAGCTAGACAGAAGCAATCTCAGAAACTCCTTTGTGATGTCTGCATTCAACTCACCGAGTGGAACATTCCTCTTGATAGAGCAGTTTGGAAACACTCTTTCTGTAGAATCAGCTTGTTTGTATTTGGACCTCCTTGAGGCCTTCGTTGGAAACGGGTTTTCATCTTATAAACCCAGACAGAAGAATTCTCAGAGTCTTCTTTGTGATGTGTGCTTTCAACTCACCGAGATAAAGATTTCTCTTGATAGAGCAATTTGGAAACACTCTTTTTGTAGAATTTGCAAGGGTACATTGAGAGCGCTTTCAGGCCTATGGTAGAAAAGGGAATATCTTTCCATAAAAGGTAGACAGAAGCAATCTCAGAAACTACTTTGTGATGTGTGCATTCAACTCACCGAGTGCAACATTCCTCTTGATAGAGCAGTTTGGAAACATTGTTTCTGTAGAATCTGCAAGTGGATATATGGACCGCTTTGAGGCCTTCGTTGGAAACGGGATTTCTTCCTATAAACCCAGACAGAAGAATTCTCAGAGACTTCTTTGTGATGTGTGAATTCAACTCACAGTGTGGATCCTTCCTTTTGATAGAGCAGTTTTGAAACACTGTTTTTGTAGTATTTCCAAGCGGATATTTGGAACGCCTTGAAGCGTATGGTAGAAAAGGAAATATCTTCCCATAAAACCTAGACAGAACCAATCTCAGAAACGACTTTGTGATGTCTGCATTCAACTCACAGAGTTGAACATTTCTCTTGATAGAGCAGTTTTGAAACCCTCTTTCTGAAGGATCTGCAAGTGGATATTTGGAACTCCTTTGGGTCTTCGTTGGAAACGGGATTTCTTCGTATAAATCTAGACAGAAGAATTCTCCGAAACTTCTTTGGTTGTGTGCATTCAAGTCACAGAGTGGAACCTTCCTTTGGATAGAGCAGTTTGAAACGCTGTGGTTGTAGTATTTCCAAGCGGATATTAGAGCGCCTTGAGGCCTATGGTAGAAAAGGAAATATCTTCCCATAAAACCTAGACGGAAGCAATCTCAGAAACTACTGTGTGATGGCTGCATTCCACACACACGGTGGAACATTTCTCTTGATAGAGCAGTTTTGAAACACTCTTTCTGTAGAATCTGCAAGTGGATAATTGGACCGCCTTGAGGCCTTCGTTGGAAACGGGATTTCTTCATGTTACTCTAGACAGAAGAATTCTCAAACACTGCTGTGTGATGTTTGCATGCAAGTCACAGAGTGCAACATTCCTCTTGATAGAGCAGTTGGGAAACACTCCTTTTGTAGAATTTGCAATGGGATATTTGGACTTCTTTGAGGCCTTCGTTGGAAACGGGATTTCTTCGTATGAATCTAGACAGAAGAATTCTCAGAAACTTCCTTGTGATGTGTGCATTCAACTCAGCGAGTGGCACCTTCCTTTGGATACAGCAGTTTTGAAACACTGTTTTTGTAGTATTTCCAAGCGGATATTTAGAGCGCCTTGAAGCCTATGCTAGAAATGGAAATATCTCCCCATAAAACCAAGACAGAAGCAATCTCAGAAACTAATGTGTGATGGCTGCATTCCACACACACGGTGGACCATTTCTCTTGATAGAGCAGTTTTGAAACACTCTTTCTGTAGAATCTGCAAGTGGATAATTGGACCTCCTAGAGGCCTTCGTTGGAAACGGGATTTCTTCATCTAAACCTACAGAGAAGAATTCTCAGTAACTTCTTCGGATGTGTGCATTCGACTCACAGAATGGAACATTCCGTTTGATAGAGCAGTTTTGAGACACCGTTTTTGTAGAATTCCCAAGTGGATATTTAGAGCACTTTGAAGTCTCTGCTAGAAAAGGAAACATCTTCATGTAAACAGTAGATAGAATCGTTCTCAGAAACTGCTTAGTGACGTGTGCGTTCAACTCACAGAGTTTAACGTTTCTTTTGATAGAGCGTTTCTGAAACACCCTGCTTGTAGTAGCTGCAAGTGGTTATTTGGACCTATTTGAGGCCTTCTTTGGAAACGGGATTTCTTCATGTAACTCTAGTTTGAAGAATTTTCAGAAACTCCTTTGTGATGTGTGCATTCAATTCAAAGAGTGAAACCTCCCTTTTCACAGAGCAGTTTTGAAACACTGTTTTTGTAGGACTTCCAAGGGGATATTTATAGCGCATTGATCCTATGGCAGAAAAAGAAACATCTTCCTATAAAAACTAGACAGAATAATTCTCAGAATCTGCTTTGCGATGTGTGCGTTCAACTCACAGAGTAAAACTTTTCTTTTGATAGAGCAGTTTTGAAACACTCTTTTTGTAGTATTTGCATGTGTATATTTAGAGCGCATTGAAGCCCACAGTAGAAAAGGAAATAACTTCACCTAAAACCTAGACAGAAGCAATCTCAGAAACTACTTTGTGATGTGTACATTCAACTCACAGAGTGGAACTTTCCTCTTTATAGAGCAGTGTTGAAACACTCTTTTTGTAGAAACTGCAAGTGGATATTTGGACCTCTTTGAGGCCTTCGTTGGAAACGGGATTTCTTCCTATAACCCTAGACAGAAGAATTTTCAGAAACCTCATTGTGATGTGTGCTGTTCATCTCACAGAGTGGAGTCTTCCGTTTGATAGAGAAGTTTTGAAACCCTGTTCTTGTAGGATTTCCAAGTGGATATTTAGACCACTTTGAAGCCTATGATAGAAAAGGAAACATCTTCATGGAAAACATAGATAGAATCATTCTCAGAAACAACTTTGTGATGTGTGCGTTGAACTCACCGTCTTTAACCTTTCTTTTGGTAGAGAAGTTTTGAAACACTCTCTTTGTAAAGTCTACAAGTGGATATTTTGAGCCCTTGGAGGCATTCTTTGGAAAAGGGAATGTCTTCACATAAAAGGCAGACAGAAGTGTTCTCAGAAACTGCTTTGTGATGTCTGTGTTCAACTCACAGAGTTTAACATTTCCTTTGAGAGAGCGGTTTAGTAACACTCTCTTTGTAGAATTTGGAAGTGTATACTAAGAGCGCTTTGAGGCCTATGGTAGAAAAGGAAATATCTTTCCATAAAAGCTAGACAGAAGCAATCTCAGAAACTCCTTTGTGATGTCTGCATTCAACTCACCGAGTGGAACATTCCTCTTGATAGAGCAGTTTGGAAACACTCTTTCTGTAGAATCAGCTTGTTTGTATTTGGACCTCCTTGAGGCCTTCGTTGGAAACGGGTTTTCATCTTATAAACCCAGACAGAAGAATTCTCAGAGTCTTCTTTGTGATGTGTGCTTTCAACTCACCGAGATAAAGATTTCTCTTGATAGAGCAATTTGGAAACACTCTTTTTGTAGAATTTGCAAGGGTACATTGAGAGCGCTTTCAGGCCTATGGTAGAAAAGGGAATATCTTTCCATAAAAGGTAGACAGAAGCAATCTCAGAAACTACTTTGTGATGTGTGCATTCAACTCACCGAGTGCAACATTCCTCTTGACCGAGCAGTTTGGAAACATTGTTTCTGTAGAATCTGCAAGTGGATATTTGGACCTCTTTGAGGCCTTCGTTGGAAACGGGATTTCTTCCTATAAACCCAGACAGAAGAATTCTCAGAGACTTCTTTGTGATGTGTGAATTCAACTCACAGTGTGGATCCTTCCTTTTGATAGAGCAGTTTTGAAACACTGTTTTTGTAGTATTTCCAAGCGGATATTTGGAACGCCTTGAAGCGTATGGTAGAAAAGGAAATATCTTCCCATAAAACCTAGACAGAACCAATCTCAGAAACGACTTTGTGATGTCTGCATTCAACTCACAGAGTTGAACATTTCTCTTGATAGAGCAGTTTTGAAACCCTCTTTCTGAAGGATCTGCAAGTGGATATTTGGAACTCCTTTGGGTCTTCGTTGGAAACGGGATTTCTTCGTATAAATCTAGACAGAAGAATTCTCCGAAACTTCTTTGGTTGTGTGCATTCAACTCACAGAGTGGAACCTTCCTTTGGATAGAGCAGTTTGAAACGCTGTGGTTGTAGTATTTCCAAGCGGATATTAGAGCGCCTTGAGGCCTATGGTAGAAAAGGAAATATCTTCCCATAAAACCTAGACGGAAGCAATCTCAGAAACTACTGTGTGATGGCTGCATTCCACACACACGGTGGAACATTTCTCTTGATAGAGCAGTTTTGAAACACTCTTTCTGTAGAATCTGCAAGTGGATAATTGGACCGCCTTGAGGCCTTCGTTGGAAACGGGATTTCTTCATGTTACTCTAGACAGAAGAATTCTCAAACACTGCTGTGTGATGTTTGCATGCAAGTCACAGAGTGCAACATTCCTCTTGATAGAGCAGTTGGGAAACACTCCTTTTGTAGAATTTGCAATGGGATATTTGGACTTCTTTGAGGCCTTCGTTGGAAACGGGATTTCTTCGTATGAATCTAGACAGAAGAATTCTCAGAAACTTCCTTGTGATGTGTGCATTCAACTCAGCGAGTGGCACCTTCCTTTGGATACAGCAGTTTTGAAACACTGTTTTTGTAGTATTTCCAAGCGGATATTTAGAGCGCCTTGAAGCCTATGCTAGAAATGGAAATATCTCCCCATAAAACCAAGACAGAAGCAATCTCAGAAACTAATGTGTGATGGCTGCATTCCACACACACGGTGGACCATTTCTCTTGATAGAGCAGTTTTGAAACACTCTTTCTGTAGAATCTGCAAGTGGATAATTGGACCTCCTAGATGCCTTCGTTGGAAACGGGATTTCTTCATCTAAACCTACAGAGAAGAATTCTCAGTAACTTCTTCGGATGTGTGCATTCGACTCACAGAATGGAACATTCCCTTTGATAGAGCAGTTTTGAGACACCGTTTTTGTAGAATTCCCAAGTGGATATTTAGAGCACTTTGAAGTCTCTGCTAGAAAAGGAAACATCTTCATGTAAAAAGTAGATAGAATCGTTCTCAGAAAGTGCTTAGTGACGTGTGCGTTCAACTCACAGAGTTTAACGTTTCTTTTGATAGAGCGTTTCTGAAACACCCTTCTTGTAGTAGCTGCAAGTGGATATTTGGACCTATTTGAGGCCTTCTTTGGAAACGGGATTTCTTCATGTAACTCTAGATTGAAGAATTTTCAGAAACTCCTTTGTGATGTGTGCATTCAATTCAAAGAGTGAAACCTCCCTTTTCACAGAGCAGTTTTGAAACACTGTTTTTGTAGGATTTCCAAGGGGATATTTATAGCGCATTGAGCCTATGGCAGAAAAAGAAACATCTTCCTATAAAAACTAGACAGAATAATTCTCAGAATCTGCTTTGCGATGTGTGCGTTCAACTCACAGAGTAAAACTTTTCTTTTGATAGAGCAGTTTTGAAACACTCTTTTTGTAGTATTTGCATGTGTATATTTAGAGCGCATTGAAGCCCACAGTAGAAAAGGAAATAACTTCACCTAAAACCTAGACAGAAGCAATCTCAGAAACTACTTTGTGATGTGTACATTCAACTCACAGAGTGGAACTTTTCTCTTTATAGAGCAGTGTTGAAACACTCTTTTTGTAGAAACTGCAAGTGGATATTTGGACCTCTTTGAGGCCTTCGTTGGAAACGGGATTTCTTCCTATAACCCTAGACAGAAGAATTTTCAGAAACCTCATTGTGATGTGTGCGTTCATCTCACAGAGTGGAGTCTTCCGTTTGATAGAGAAGTTTTGAAACCCTGTTCTTGTAGGATTTCCAAGTGGATATTTAGACCACTTTGAAGCCTATGATAGAAAAGGAAACATCTTCATGGAAAACATAGATAGAATCATTCTCAGAAACAACTTTGTGATGTGTGCGTTGAACTCACCGTCTTTAACCTTTCTTTTGGTAGAGAAGTTTTGAAACACTCTCTTTGTAAAGTCTACAAGTGGATATTTTGAGCCCTTGGAGGCATTCTTTGGAAAAGGGAATGTCTTCACATAAAAGGCAGACAGAAGTGTTCTCAGAAACTGCTTTGTGATGTCTGTGTTCAACTCACAGAGTTTAACATTTCCTTTGAGAGAGCGGTTTAGTAACACTCTCTTTGTAGAATTTGGAAGTGTATACTAAGAGCGCTTTGAGGCCTATGGTAGAAAAGGAAATATCTTTCCATAAAAGCTAGACAGAAGCAATCTCAGAAACTCCTTTGTGATGTCTGCATTCAACTCACCGAGTGGAACATTCCTCTTGATAGAGCAGTTTGGAAACACTCTTTCTGTAGAATCAGCTTGTTTGTATTTGGACCTCCTTGAGGCCTTCGTTGGAAACGGGTTTTCATCTTATAAACCCAGACAGAAGAATTCTCAGAGTCTTCTTTGTGATGTGTGCTTTCAACTCACCGAGATAAAGATTTCTCTTGATAGAGCAATTTGGAAACACTCTTTTTGTAGAATTTGCAAGGGTACATTGAGAGCGCTTTCAGGCCTATGGTAGAAAAGGGAATATCTTTCCATAAAAGGTAGACAGAAGCAATCTCAGAAACTACTTTGTGATGTGTGCATTCAACTCACCGAGTGCAACATTCCTCTTGACCGAGCAGTTTGGAAACATTGTTTCTGTAGAATCTGCAAGTGGATATATGGACCTCTTTGAGGCCTTCGTTGGAAACGGGATTTCTTCCTATAAACCCAGACAGAAGAATTCTCAGAGATTTCTTTGTGATGTGTGAATTCAACTCACAGTGTGGATCCTTCCTTTTGATAGAGCAGTTTTGAAACACTGTTTTTGTAGTATTTCCAAGCGGATATTTGGAACGCCTTGAAGCGTATGGTAGAAAAGGAAATATCTTCCCATAAAACCTAGACAGAACCCATCTCAGAAACGACTTTGTGATGTCTGCATTCAACTCACAGAGTTGAACATTTCTCTTGATAGAGCAGTTTTGAAACCCTCTTTCTGAAGGATCTGCAAGTGGATATTTGGAACTCCTTTGGGTCTTCGTTGGAAACGGGATTTCTTCGTATAAATCCAGACAGAAGAATTCTCCGAAACTTCTTTGGTTGTGTGCATTCAAGTCACAGAGTGGAACCTTCCTTTGGATAGAGCAGTTTGAAACGCTGTGGTTGTAGTATTTCCAAGCGGATATTAGAGCGCCTTGAAGCCTATGGTAGAAAAGGAAATATCTTCCCATAAAACCTAGACGGAAGCAATCTCAGAAACTACTGTGTGATGGCTGCATTCCACACACACGGTGGAACATTTCTCTTGATAGAGCAGTTTTGAAACACTCTTTCTGTAGAATCTGCAAGTGGATAATTGGACCGCCTTGAGGCCTTCGTTGGAAACGGGATTTCTTCATGTTACTCTAGACAGAAGAATTCTCAAACACTGCTATGTGATGTTTGCATTCAAGTCACAGAGTGCAACATTCCTCTTGATAGAGCAGTTGGGAAACACTCCTTTTGTAGAATTTGCAATGGGATATTTGGACTTCTTTGAGGCCTTCGTTGGAAACGGGATTTCTTCGTATGAATCTAGACAGAAGAATTCTCAGAAACTTCCTTGTGATGTGTGCATTCAACTCAGCGAGTGGCACCTTCCTTTGGATACAGCAGTTTTGAAACACTGTTTTTGTAGTATTTCCAAGCGGATATTTAGAGCGCCTTGAAGCCTATGCTAGAAATGGAAATATCTCCCCATAAAACCAAGACAGAAGCAATCTCAGAAACTAATGTGTGATGGCTGCATTCCACACACACGGTGGACCATTTCTCTTGATAGAGCAGTTTTGAAACACTCTTTCTGTAGAATCTGCAAGTGGATAATTGGACCTCCTAGAGGCCTTCGTTGGAAACGGGATTTCTTCATCTAAACCTACAGAGAAGAATTCTCAGTAACTTCTTCGGATGTGTGCATTCGACTCACAGAATGGAACATTCCGTTTGATAGAGCAGTTTTGAGACACCGTTTTTGTAGAATTCCCAAGTGGATATTTAGAGCACTTTGAAGTCTCTGCTAGAAAAGGAAACATCTTCATGTAAAAAGTAGATAGAATCGTTCTCAGAAAGTGCTTAGTGACGTGTGTGTTCAACTCACAGAGTTTAACGTTTCTTTTGATAGAGCGTTTCTGAAACACCCTTCTTGTAGTAGCTGCAAGTGGATATTTGGACCTATTTGAGGCCTTCTTTGGAAACTGGATTTCTTCATGTAACTCTAGTTTGAAGAATTTTCAGAAACTCCTTTGTGATGTGTGCATTCAATTCAAAGAGTGAAACCTCCCTTTTCACAGAGCAGTTTTGAAACACTGTTTTTGTAGGATTTCCAAGGGGATATTTATAGCGCATTGATCCTACGGCAGAAAAAGAAACATCTTCCTATAAAAACTAGACAGAATAATTCTCAGAATCTGCTTTGCGATGTGTGCGTTCAACCCACAGAGTAAAAGTTTTCTTTTGATAGAGCAGTTTTGAAACACTCTTTTTGTAGTATTTGCATGTGTATATTTAGAGCGCATTGAAGCCCACAGTAGAAAAGGAAATAACTTCACCTAAAACCTAGACAGAAGCAATCTCAGAAACTACTTTGTGATGTGTACATTCAACTCACAGAGTGGAACTTTCCTCTTTATAGAGCAGTGTTGAAACACTCTTTTTGTAGAAACTGCAAGTGGATATTTGGACCTCTTTGAGGCCTTCGTTGGAAACGGGATTTCTTCCTATAACCCTAGACAGAAGAATTTTCAGAAACCTCATTGTGATGTGTGCGTTCATCTCACAGAGTGGAGTCTTCCGTTTGATAGAGAAGTTTTGAAACCCTGTTCTTGTAGGATTTCCAAGTGGATATTTAGACCACTTTGAAGCCTATGATAGAAAAGGAAACATCTTCATGGAAAACATAGATAGAATCATTCTCAGAAACAACTTTGTGATGTGTGCGTTGAACTCACCGTCTTTAACCTTTCTTTTGGTAGAGAAGTTTTGAAACACTCTCTTTGTAAAGTCTACAAGTGGATATTTTGAGCCCTTGGAGGCATTCTTTGGAAAAGGGAATGTCTTCACATAAAAGGCAGACAGAAGTGTTCTCAGAAACTGCTTTGTGATGTCTGTGTTCAACTCACAGAGTTTAACATTTCCTTTGAGAGAGCGGTTTAGTAACACTCTCTTTGTAGAATTTGGAAGTGTATACTAAGAGCGCTTTGAGGCCTATGGTAGAAAAGGAAATATCTTTCCATAAAAGCTAGACAGAAGCAATCTCAGAAACTCCTTTGTGATGTCTGCATTCAACTCACCGAGTGGAACATTCCTCTTGATAGTGCAGTTTGGAAACACTCTTTCTGTAGAATCAGCTTGTTTGTATTTGGACCTCCTTGAGGCCTTCGTTGGAAACGGGTTTTCATCTTATAAACCCAGACAGAAGAATTCTCAGAGTCTTCTTTGTGATGTGTGCTTTCAACTCACCGAGATAAAGATTTCTCTTGATAGAGCAATTTGGAAACACTCTTTTTGTAGAATTTGCAAGGGTACATTGAGAGCGCTTTCAGGCCTATGGTAGAAAAGGGAATATCTTTCCATAAAAGGTAGACAGAAGCAATCTCAGAAACTACTTTGTCATGTGTGCATTCAACTCACCGAGTGCAACATTCCTCTTGACCGAGCAGTTTGGAAACATTGTTTCTGTAGAATCTGCAAGTGGATATTTGGACCTCTTTGAGGCCTTCGTTGGAAACGGGATTTCTTCCTATAAACCCAGACAGAAGAATTCTCAGAGACTTCTTTGTGATGTGTGAATTCAACTCACAGTGTGGATCCTTCCTTTTGATAGAGCAGTTTTGAAACACTGTTTTTGTAGTATTTCCAAGCGGATATTTGGAACGCCTTGAAGCGTATGGTAGAAAAGGAAATATCTTCCCATAAAACCTAGACAGAACCAATCTCAGAAACGACTTTGTGATGTCTGCATTCAACTCACAGAGTTGAACATTTCTCTTGATAGAGCAGTTTTGAAACCCTCTTTCTGAAGGATCTGCAAGTGGATATTTGGAACTCCTTTGGGTCTTCGTTGGAAACGGGATTTCTTCGTATAAATCTAGACAGAAGAATTCTCCGAAACTTCTTTGGTTGTGTGCATTCAAGTCACAGAGTGGAACCTTCCTTTGGATAGAGCAGTTTGAAACGCTGTGGTTGTAGTATTTCCAAGCGGATATTAGAGCGCCTTGAGGCCTATGGTAGAAAAGGAAATATCTTCCCATAAAACCTAGACGGAAGCAATCTCAGAAACTACTGTGTGATGGCTGCATTCCACACACACGGTGGAACATTTCTCTTGATAGAGCAGTTTTGAAACACTCTTTCTGTAGAATCTGCAAGTGGATAATTGGACCGCCTTGAGGCCTTCGTTGGAAACGGGATTTCTTCATGTTACTCTAGACAGAAGAATTCTCAAACACTGCTGTGTGATGTTTGCATGCAAGTCACAGAGTGCAACATTCCTCTTGATAGAGCAGTTGGGAAACACTCCTTTTGTAGAATTTGCAATGGGATATTTGGACTTCTTTGAGGCCTTCGTTGGAAACGGGATTTCTTCGTATGAATCTAGACAGAAGAATTCTCAGAAACTTCCTTGTGATGTGTGCATTCAACTCAGCGAGTGGCACCTTCCTTTGGATACAGCAGTTTTGAAACACTGTTTTTGTAGTATTTCCAAGCGGATATTTAGAGCGCCTTGAAGCCTATGCTAGAAATGGAAATATCTCCCCATAAAACCAAGACAGAAGCAATCTCAGAAACTAATGTGTGATGGCTGCATTCCACACACACGGTGGACCATTTCTCTTGATAGAGCAGTTTTGAAACACTCTTTCTGTAGAATCTGCAAGTGGATAATTGGACCTCCTAGAGGCCTTCGTTGGAAACGGGATTTCTTCATCTAAACCTACAGAGAAGAATTCTCAGTAACTTCTTCGGATGTGTGCATTCGACTCACAGAATGGAACATTCCCTTTGATAGAGCAGTTTTGAGACACCGTTTTTGTAGAATTCCCAAGTGGATATTTAGAGCACTTTGAAGTCTCTGCTAGAAAAGGAAACATCTTCATGTAAAAAGTAGATAGAATCGTTCTCAGAAAGTGCTTAGTGACGTGTGTGTTCAACTCACAGAGTTTAACGTTTCTTTTGATAGAGCGTTTCTGAAACACCCTGCTTGTAGTAGCTGCAAGTGGATATTTGGACCTATTTGAGGCCTTCTTTGGAAACGGGATTTCTTCATGTAACTCTAGATTGAAGAATTTTCAGAAACTCCTTTGTGATGTGTGCATTCAATTCAAAGAGTGAAACCTCCCTTTTCATAGAGCAGTTTTGAAACACTGTTTTTGTAGGATTTCCAAGGGGATATTTATAGCGCATTGAGCCTATGGCAGAAAAAGAAACATCTTCGTATAAAAACTAGACAGAATAATTCTCAGAATCTGCTTTGCGATGTGTGCGTTCAACTCACAGAGTAAAACTTTTCTTTTGATAGAGCAGTTTTGAAACACTCTTTTTGTAGTATTTGCATGTGTATATTTAGAGCGCATTGAAGCCCACAGTAGAAAAGGAAATAACTTCACCTAAAACCTAGACAGAAGCAATCTCAGAAACTACTTTGTGATGTGTACATTCAACTCACCGAGTGGAACTTTCCTCTTTATAGAGCAGTGTTGAAAGACTCTTTTTGTAGAAACTGCAAGTGGATATTTGGACCTCTTTGAGGCCTTCGTTGGAAACGGGATTTCTTCCTATAACCCTAGACAGAAGAATTTTCAGAAACCTCATTGTGATGTGTGCGTTCATCTCACAGAGTGGAGTCTTCCGTTTGATAGAGAAGTTTTGAAACCCTGTTCTTGTAGGATTTCCAAGTGGATATTTAGACCACTTTGAAGCCTATGATAGAAAAGGAAACATCTTCATGGAAAACATAGATAGAATCATTCTCAGAAACAACTTTGTGATGTGTGCGTTGAACTCACCGTCTTTAACCTTTCTTTTGGTAGAGAAGTTTTGAAACACTCTCTTTGTAAAGTCTACAAGTGGATATTTTGAGCCCTTGGAGGCATTCTTTGGAAAAGGGAATGTCTTCACATAAAAGGCAGACAGAAGTGTTCTCAGAAACTGCTTTGTGATGTCTGTGTTCAACTCACAGAGTTTAACATTTCCTTTGAGAGAGCGGTTTAGTAACACTCTCTTTGTAGAATTTGGAAGTGTATACTAAGAGCGCTTTGAGGCCTATGGTAGAAAAGGAAATATCTTTCCATAAAAGCTAGACAGAAGCAATCTCAGAAACTCCTTTGTGATGTCTGCATTCAACTCACCGAGTGGAACATTCCTCTTGATAGAGCAGTTTGGAAACACTCTTTCTGTAGAATCAGCTTGTTTGTATTTGGACCTCCTTGAGGCCTTCGTTGGAAACGGGTTTTCATCTTATAAACCCAGACAGAAGAATTCTCAGAGTCTTCTTTGTGATGTGTGCTTTCAACTCACCGAGATAAAGATTTCTCTTGATAGAGCAATTTGGAAACACTCTTTTTGTAGAATTTGCAAGGGTACATTGAGAGCGCTTTCAGGCCTATGGTAGAAAAGGGAATATCTTTCCATAAAAGGTAGACAGAAGCAATCTCAGAAACTACTTTGTGATGTGTGCATTCAACTCACCGAGTGCAACATTCCTCTTGATAGAGCAGTTTGGAAACATTGTTTCTGTAGAATCTGCAAGTGGATATATGGACCGCTTTGAGGCCTTCGTTGGAAACGGGATTTCTTCCTATAAACCCAGACAGAAGAATTCTCAGAGACTTCTTTGTGATGTGTGAATTCAACTCACAGTGTGGATCCTTCCTTTTGATAGAGCAGTTTTGAAACACCGTTTTTGTAGTATTTCCAAGCGGATATTTGGAACGCCTTGAAGCGTATGGTAGAAAAGGAAATATCTTCCCATAAAACCTAGACAGAACCAATCTCAGAAACGACTTTGTGATGTCTGCATTCAACTCACAGAGTTGAACATTTCTCTTGATAGAGCAGTTTTGAAACCCTCTTTATGAAGGATCTGCAAGTGGATATTTGGAACTCCTTTGGGTCTTCGTTGGAAACGGGATTTCTTCGTATAAATCCAGACAGAAGAATTCTCCGAAACTTCTTTGGTTGTGTGCATTCAAGTCACAGAGTGGAACCTTCCTTTGGATAGAGCAGTTTGAAACGCTGTGGTTGTAGTATTTCCAAGCGGATATTAGAGCGCCTTGAGGCCTATGGTAGAAAAGGAAATATCTTCCCATAAAACCTAGACGGAAGCAATCTCAGAAACTACTGTGTGATGGCTGCATTCCACACACACGGTGGAACATTTCTCTTGATAGAGTAGTTTTGAAACACTCTTTCTGTAGAATCTGCAAGTGGATAATTGGACCGCCTTGAGGCCTTCGTTGGAAACGGGATTTCTTCATGTTACTCTAGACAGAAGAATTCTCAAACACTGCTATGTGATGTTTGCATTCAAGTCACAGAGTGCAACATTCCTCTTGATAGAGCAGTTGGGAAACACTCCTTTTGTAGAATTTGCAATGGGATATTTGGACTTCTTTGAGGCCTTCGTTGGAAACGGGATTTCTTCGTATGAATCTAGACAGAAGAATTCTCAGAAACTTCCTTGTGATGTGTGCATTCAACTCAGCGAGTGGCACCTTCCTTTGGATACAGCAGTTTTGAAACACTGTTTTTGTAGTATTTCCAAGCGGATATTTAGAGCGCCTTGAAGCCTATGCTAGAAATGGAAATATCTCCCCATAAAACCAAGACAGAAGCAATCTCAGAAACTAATGTGTGATGGCTGCATTCCACACACACGGTGGACCATTTCTCTTGATAGAGCAGTTTTGAAACACTCTTTCTGTAGAATCTGCAAGTGGATAATTGGACCTCCTAGAGGCCTTCGTTGGAAACGGGATTTCTTCATCTAAACCTACAGAGAAGAATTCTCAGTAACTTCTTCGGATGTGTGCATTCGACTCACAGAATGGAACATTCCCTTTGATAGAGCAGTTTTGAGACACCGTTTTTGTAGAATTCCCAAGTGGATATTTAGAGCACTTTGAAGTCTCTGCTAGAAAAGGAAACATCTTCATGTAAAAAGTAGATAGAATCGTTCTCAGAAAGTGGTTAGTGACGTGTGTGTTCAACTCACAGAGTTTAACGTTTCTTTTGATAGAGCGTTTCTGAAACACCCTGCTTGTAGTAGCTGCAAGTGGATATTTGGACCTATTTGAGGCCTTCTTTGGAAACGGGATTTCTTCATGTAACTCTAGTTTGAAGAATTTTCAGAAACTCCTTTGTGATGTGTGCATTCAATTCAAAGAGTGAAACCTCCCTTTTCACAGAGCAGTTTTGAAACACTGTTTTTGTAGGATTTCCAAGGGGATATTTATAGTGCATTGAGCCTATGGCAGAAAAAGAAACATCTTCCTATAAAAACTAGACAGAATAATTCTCAGAATCTGCTTTGCGATGTGTGCGTTCAACCCACAGAGTAAAACTTTTCTTTTGATAGAGCAGTTTTGAAACACTCTTTTTGTAGTATTTGCATGTGTATATTTAGAGCGCATTGAAGCCCACAGTAGAAAAGGAAATAACTTCACCTAAAACCTAGACAGAAGCAATCTCAGAAACTACTTTGTGATGTGTACATTCAACTCACAGAGTGGAACTTTCCTCTTTATAGAGCAGTGTTGAAACACTCTTTTTGTAGAAACTGCAAGTGGATATTTGGACCTCTTTGAGGCCTTCGTTGGAAACGGGATTTCTTCCTATAACCCTAGACAGAAGAATTTTCAGAAACCTCATTGTGATGTGTGCGTTCATCTCACAGAGTGGAGTCTTCCGTTTGATAGAGAAGTTTTGAAACCCTGTTCTTCTAGGATTTCCAAGTGGATATTTAGACCACTTTGAAGCCTATGATAGAAAAGGAAACATCTTCATGGAAAACATAGATAGAATCATTGTCAGAAACAACTTTGTGATGTGTGCGTTGAACTCACCGTCTTTAACCTTTCTTTTGGTAGAGAAGTTTTGAAACACTCTCTTTGTAAAGTCTACAAGTGGATATTTTGAGCCCTTGGAGGCATTCTTTGGAAAAGGGAATGTCTTCACATGAAAGGCAGACAGAAGTGTTCTCAGAAACTGCTTTGTGATGTCTGTGTTCAACTCACAGAGTTTAACATTTCCTTTGAGAGAGCGGTTTAGTAACACTCTCTTTGTAGAATTTGGAAGTGTATACTAAGAGCGCTTTGAGGCCTATGGTAGAAAAGGAAATATCTTTCCACAAAAGCTAGACAGAAGCAATCTCAGAAACTCCTTTGTGATGTCTGCATTCAACTCACCGAGTGGAACATTCCTCTTGATAGAGCAGTTTGGAAACACTCTTTCTGTAGAATCAGCTTGTTTGTATTTGGACCTCCTTGAGGCCTTCGTTGGAAACGGGTTTTCATCTTATAAACCCAGACAGAAGAATTCTCAGAGTCTTCTTTGTGATGTGTGCTTTCAACTCACCGAGATAAAGATTTCTCTTGATAGAGCAATTTGGAAACACTCTTTTTGTAGAATTTGCAAGGGTACATTGAGAGCGCTTTCAGGCCTATGGTAGAAAAGGGAATATCTTTCCATAAAAGGTAGACAGAAGCAATCTCAGAAACTACTTTGTGATGTGTGCATTCAACTCACCGAGTGCAACATTCCTCTTGATAGAGCAGTTTGGAAACATTGTTTCTGTAGAATCTGCAAGTGGATATATGGACCGCTTTGAGGCCTTCGTTGGAAACGGGATTTCTTCCTATAAACCCAGACAGAAGAATTCTCAGAGATTTCTTTGTGATGTGTGAATTCAACTCACAGTGTGGATCCTTCCTTTTGATAGAGCAGTTTTGAAACACTGTTTTTGTAGTATTTCCAAGCGGATATTTGGAACGCCTTGAAGCGTAAGGTAGAAAAGGAAATATCTTCCCATAAAACCTAGACAGAACCCATCTCAGAAACGACTTTGTGATGTCTGCATTCAACTCACAGAGTTGAACATTTCTCTTGATAGAGCAGTTTTGAAACCCTCTTTCTGAAGGATCTGCAAGTGGATATTTGGAACTCCTTTGGGTCTTCGTTGGAAACGGGATTTCTTCGTATAAATCCAGACAGAAGAATTCTCCGAAACTTCTTTGGTTGTGTGCATTCAAGTCACAGAGTGGAACCTTCCTTTGGATAGAGCAGTTTGAAACGCTGTGGTTGTAGTATTTCCAAGCGGATATTAGAGCGCCTTGAAGCCTATGGTAGAAAAGGAAATATCTTCCCATAAAACCTAGACGGAAGCAATCTCAGAAACTACTGTGTGATGGCTGCATTCCACACACACGGTGGAACATTTCTCTTGATAGAGCAGTTTTGAAACACTCTTTCTGTAGAATCTGCAAGTGGATAATTGGACGGCCTTGAGGCCTTCGTTGGAAACGGGATTTCTTCATGTTACTCTAGACAGAAGAATTCTCAAACACTGCTATGTGATGTTTGCATTCAAGTCACAGAGTGCAACATTCCTCTTGATAGAGCAGTTGGGAAACACTCCTTTTGTAGAATTTGCAATGGGATATTTGGACTTCTTTGAGGCCTTCGTTGGAAACGGGATTTCTTCGTATGCATCTAGACAGAAGAATTCTCAGAAACTTCCTTGTGATGTGTGCATTCAACTCAGCGAGTGGCACCTTCCTTTCGATACAGCAGTTTTGAAACACTGTTTTTGTAGTATTTCCAAGCGGATATTTAGAGCGCCTTGAAGCCTATGCTAGAAATGGAAATATCTCCCCATAAAACCAAGACAGAAGCAATCTCAGAAACTAATGTGTGATGGCTGCATTCCACACACACGGTGGACCATTTCTCTTGATAGAGCAGTTTTGAAACACTCTTTCTGTAGAATCTGCAAGTGGATAATTGGACCTCCTAGAGGCCTTCGTTGGAAACGGGATTTCTTCATCTAAACCTACAGAGAAGAATTCTCAGTAACTTCTTCGGATGTGTGCATTCGACTCACAGAATGGAACATTCCGTTTGATAGAGCAGTTTTGAGACACCGTTTTTGTAGAATTCCCAAGTGGATATTTAGAGCACTTTGAAGTCTCTGCTAGAAAAGGAAACATCTTCATGTAAAAAGTAGATAGAATCGTTCTCAGAAAGTGCTTAGTGACGTGTGTGTTCAACTCACAGAGTTTATCGTTTCTTTTGATAGAGCGTTTCTGAAACACCCTTCTTGTAGTAGCTGCAAGTGGATATTTGGACCTATTTGAGGCCTTCTTTGGAAACGGGATTTCTTCATGTAACTCTAGATTGAAGAATTTTCAGAAACTCCTTTGTGATGTGTGCATTCAATTCAAAGAGTGAAACCTCCCTTTTCACAGAGCAGTTTTGAAACACTGTTTTTGTAGGATTTCCAAGGGGATATTTATAGCGCATTGAGCCTATGGCAGAAAAAGAAACATCTTCCTATAAAAACTAGACAGAATAATTCTCAGAATCTGCTTTGCGATGTGTGCGTTCAACTCACAGAGTAAAACTTTTCTTTTGATAGAGCAGTTTTGAAACACTCTTTTTGTAGTATTTGCATGTGTATATTTAGAGCGCATTGAAGCCCACAGTAGAAAAGGAAATAACTTCACCTAAAACCTAGACAGAAGCAATCTCAGAAACTACTTTGTGATGTGTACATTCAACTCACAGAGTGGAACTTTTCTCTTTATAGAGCAGTGTTGAAACACTCTTTTTGTAGAAACTGCAAGTGGATATTTGGACCTCTTTGAGGCCTTCGTTGGAAACGGGATTTCTTCCTATAACCCTAGACAGAAGAATTTTCAGAAACCTCATTGTGATGTGTGCGTTCATCTCACAGAGTGGAGTCTTCCGTTTGATAGAGAAGTTTTGAAACCCTGTTCTTGTAGGATTTCCAAGTGGATATTTAGACCACTTTGAAGCCTATGATAGAAAAGGAAACATCTTCATGGAAAACATAGATAGAATCATTCTCAGAAACAACTTTGTGATGTGTGCGTTGAACTCACCGTCTTTAACCTTTCTTTTGGTAGAGAAGTTTTGAAACACTCTCTTTGTAAAGTCTACAAGTGGATATTTTGAGCCCTTGGAGGCATTCTTTGGAAAAGGGAATGTCTTCACATAAAAGGCAGACAGAAGTGTTCTCAGAAACTGCTTTGTGATGTCTGTGTTCAACTCACAGAGTTTAACATTTCCTTTGAGAGAGCGGTTTAGTAACACTCTCTTTGTAGAATTTGGAAGTGTATACTAAGAGCGCTTTGAGGCCTATGGTAGAAAAGGAAATATCTTTCCATAAAAGCTAGACAGAAGCAATCCCAGAAACTCCTTTGTGATGTCTGCATTCAACTCACCGAGTGGAACATTCCTCTTGATAGAGCAGTTTGAAAACACTCTTTCTGTAGAATCAGCTTGTTTGTATTTGGACCTCCTTGAGGCCTTCGTTGGAAACGGGTTTTCATCTTATAAACCCAGACAGAAGAATTCTCAGAGTCTTCTTTGTGATGTGTGCTTTCAACTCACCGAGATAAAGATTTCTCTTGATAGAGCAATTTGGAAACACTCTTTTTGTAGAATTTGCAAGGGTACATTGAGAGCGCTTTCAGGCCTATGGTAGAAAAGGGAATATCTTTCCATAAAAGGTAGACAGAAAGCAATCTCAGAAACTACTTTGTGATGTGTGCATTCAACTCACCGAGTGCAACATTCCTCTTGACCGAGCAGTTTGGAAACATTGTTTCTGTAGAATCTGCAAGTGGATATTTGGACCTCTTTGAGGCCTTCGTTGGAAACGGGATTTCTTCCTATAAACCCAGACAGAAGAATTCTCAGAGACTTCTTTGTGATGTGTGAATTCAACTCACAGTGTGGATCCTTCCTTTTGATAGAGCAGTTTTGAAACACTGTTTTTGTAGTATTTCCAAGCGGATATTTGGAACGCCTTGAAGCGTATGGTAGAAAAGGAAATATCTTCCCATAAAACCTAGACAGAACCAATCTCAGAAACGACTTTGTGATGTCTGCATTCAACTCACAGAGTTGAACATTTCTCTTGATAGAGCAGTTTTGAAACCCTCTTTCTGAAGGATCTGCAAGTGGATATTTGGAACTCCTTTGGGTCTTCGTTGGAAACGGGATTTCTTCGTATAAATCTAGACAGAAGAATTCTCCGAAACTTCTTTGGTTGTGTGCATTCAAGTCACAGAGTGGAACCTTCCTTTGGATAGAGCAGTTTGAAACGCTGTGGTTGTAGTATTTCCAAGCGGATATTAGAGCGCCTTGAGGCCTATGGTAGAAAAGGAAATATCTTCCCATAAAACCTAGACGGAAGCAATCTCAGAAACTACTGTGTGATGGCTGCATTCCACACACACGGTGGAACATTTCTCTTGATAGAGCAGTTTTGAAACACTCTTTCTGTAGAATCTGCAAGTGGATAATTGGACCGCCTTGAGGCCTTCGTTGGAAACGGGATTTCTTCATGTTACTCTAGACAGAAGAATTCTCAAACACTGCTATGTGATGTTTGCATGCAAGTCACAGAGTGCAACATTCCTCTTGATAGAGCAGTTGGGAAACCCTCCTTTTGTAGAATTTGCAATGGGATATTTGGACTTCTTTGAGGCCTTCGTTGGAAACGGGATTTCTTCGTATGAATCTAGACAGAAGAATTCTCAGAAACTTCCTTGTGATGTGTGCATTCAACTCAGCGAGTGGCACCTTCCTTTGGATACAGCAGTTTTGAAACACTGTTTTTGTAGTATTTCCAAGCGGATATTTAGAGCGCCTTGAAGCCTATGCTAGAAATGGAAATATCTCCCCATAAAACCAAGACAGAAGCAATCTCAGAAACTAATGTGTGATGGCTGCATTCCACACACACGGTGGACCATTTCTCTTGATAGAGCAGTTTTGAAACACTCTTTCTGTAGAATCTGCAAGTGGATAATTGGACCTCCTAGAGGCCTTCGTTGGAAACGGGATTTCTTCATCTAAACCTACAGAGAAGAATTCTCAGTAACTTCTTCGGATGTGTGCATTCGACTCACAGAATGGAACATTCCCTTTGATAGAGCAGTTTTGAGACACCGTTTTTGTAGAATTCCCAAGTGGATATTTAGAGCACTTTGAAGTCTCTGCTAGAAAAGGAAACATCTTCATGTAAAAAGTAGATAGAATCGTTCTCAGAAAGTGCTTAGTGACGTGTGTGTTCAACTCACAGAGTTTAACGTTTCTTTTGATAGAGCGTTTCTGAAACACCCTTCTTGTAGTAGCTGCAAGTGGATATTTGGACCTATTTGAGGCCTTCTTTGGAAACGGGATTTCTTCATGTAACTCTAGTTTGAAGAATTTTCAGAAACTCCTTTGTGATGTGTGCATTCAATTCAAAGAGTGAAACCTCCCTTTTCACAGAGCAGTTTTGAAACACTGTTTTTGTAGGATTTCCAAGGGGATATTTATAGCGCATTGAGCCTACGGCAGAAAAAGAAACATCTTCCTATAAAAACTAGACAGAATAATTCTCAGAATCTGCTTTGCGATGTGTGCGTTCAACCCACAGAGTAAAACTTTTCTTTTGATAGAGCAGTTTTGAAACACTCTTTTTGTAGTATTTGCATGTGTATATTTAGAGCGCATTGAAGCCCACAGTAGAAAAGGAAATAACTTCACCTAAAACCTAGACAGAAGCAATCTCAGAAACTACTTTGTGATGTGTACATTCAACTCACAGAGTGGAACTTTCCTCTTTATAGAGCAGTGTTGAAACACTCTTTTTGTAGAAACTGCAAGTGGATATTTGGACCTCTTTGAGGCCTTCGTTGGAAACGGGATTTCTTCCTATAACCCTAGACAGAAGAATTTTCAGAAACCTCATTGTGATGTGTGCGTTCATCTCACAGAGTGGAGTCTTCCGTTTGATAGAGAAGTTTTGAAACCCTGTTCTTGTAGGATTTCCAAGTGGATATTTAGACCACTTTGAAGCCTATGATAGAAAAGGAAACATCTTCATGGAAAACATAGATAGAATCATGCTCAGAAACAACTTTGTGATGTGTGCGTTGAACTCACCGTCTTTAACCTTTCTTTTGGTAGAGAAGTTTTGAAACACTCTCTTTGTAAAGTCTACAAGTGGATATTTTGAGCCCTTGGAGGCATTCTTTGGAAAAGGGAATGTCTTCACATAAAAGGCAGACAGAAGTGTTCTCAGAAACTGCTTTGTGATGTCTGTGTTCAACTCACAGAGTTTAATATTTCCTTTGAGAGAGCGGTTTAGTAACACTCTCTTTGTAGAATTTGGAAGTGTATACTAAGAGCGTTTTGAGGCCTATGGTAGAAAAGGAATTATCTTTCCATAAAAGCTAGACAGAAGCAATCTCAGAAACTCCTTTGTGATGTCTGCATTCAACTCACCGAGTGGAACATTCCTCTTGATAGAGCAGTTTGGAAACACTCTTTCTGTAGAATCAGCTTGTTTGTATTTGGACCTCCTTGAGGCGTTCGTTGGAAACGGGTTTTCATCTTATAAACCCAGACAGAAGAATTCTCAGAGTCTTCTTTGTGATGTGTGCTTTCAACTCACCGAGATAAAGATTTCTGTTGATAGAGCAATTTGGAAACACTCTTTTTGTAGAATTTGCAAGGGTACATTGAGAGCGCTTTCAGGCCTATGGTAGAAAAGGGAATATCTTTCCATCAAAGGTAGACAGAAGCAATCTCAGAAACTACTTTGTGATGTGTGCATTCAACTCACCGAGTGCAACATTCCTCTTGATAGAGCAGTTTGGAAACATTGTTTCTGTAGAATCTGCAAGTGGATATTTGGACCTCTTTGAGGCCTTCGTTGGAAACGGGATTTCTTCCTATAAACCCAGACAGAAGAATTCTCAGAGATTTCTTTGTGATGTGTGAATTCAACTCACAGTGTGGATCCTTCCTTTTGATAGAGCAGTTTTGAAACACTGTTTTTGTAGTATTTCCAAGCGGATATTTGGAACGCCTTGAAGCGTATGGTAGAAAAGGAAATATCTTCCCATAAAACCTAGACAGAACCCATCTCAGAAACGACTTTGTGATGTCTGCATTCAACTCACAGAGTTGAACATTTCTCTTGATAGAGCAGTTTTGAAACCCTCTTTCTGAAGGATCTGCAAGTGGATATTTGGAACTCCTTTGGGTCTTCGTTGGAAATGGGATTTCTTCGTATAAATCCAGACAGAAGAATTCTCCGAAACTTCTTTGGTTGTGTGCATTCAAGTCACAGAGTGGAACCTTCCTTTGGATAGAGCAGTTTGAAACGCTGTGGTTGTAGTATTTCCAAGCGGATATTAGAGCGCCTTGAGGCCTATGGTAGAAAAGGAAATATCTTCCCATAAAACCTAGACGGAAGCAATCTCAGAAACTACTGTGTGATGGCTGCATTCCACACACACGGTGGAACATTTCTCTTGATAGAGCAGTTTTGAAACACTCTTTCTGTAGAATCTGCAAGTGGATAATTGGACCGCCTTGAGGCCTTCGTTGGAAACGGGATTTCTTCATGTTACTCTAGACAGAAGAATTCTCAAACACTGCTGTGTGATGTTTGCATGCAAGTCACAGAGTGCAACATTCCTCTTGATAGAGCAGTTGGGAAACACTCCTTTTGTAGAATTTGCAATGGGATATTTGGACTTCTTTGAGGCCTTCGTTGGAAACGGGATTTCTTCGTATGAATCTAGACAGAAGAATTCTCAGAAACTTCCTTGTGATGTGTGCATTCAACTCAGCGAGTGGCACCTTCCTTTGGATACAGCAGTTTTGAAACACTGTTTTTGTAGTATTTCCAAGCGGATATTTAGAGCGCCTTGAAGCCTATGCTAGAAATGGAAATATCTCCCCATAAAACCAAGACAGAAGCAATCTCAGAAACTAATGTGTGATGGCTGCATTCCACACACACGGTGGACCATTTCTCTTGATAGAGCAGTTTTGAAACACTCTTTCTGTAGAATCTGCAAGTGGATAATTGGACCTCCTAGAGGCCTTCGTTGGAAACGGGATTTCTTCATCTAAACCTACAGAGAAGAATTCTCAGTAACTTCTTCGGATGTGTGCATTCGACTCACAGAATGGAACATTCCCTTTGATAGAGCAGTTTTGAGACACCGTTTTTGTAGAATTCCCAAGTGGATATTTAGAGCACTTTGAAGTCTCTGCTAGAAAAGGAAACATCTTCATGTAAAAAGTAGATAGAATCGTTCTCAGAAAGTGCTTAGTGACGTGTGCGTTCAACTCACAGAGTTTAACGTTTCTTTTGATAGAGCGTTTCTGAAACACCCTTCTTGTAGTAGCTGCAAGTGGATATTTGGACCTATTTGAGGCCTTCTTTGGAAACGGGATTTCTTCATGTAACTCTAGTTTGAAGAATTTTCAGAAACTCCTTTGTGATGTGTGCATTCAATTCAAAGAGTGAAACCTCCCTTTTCACAGAGCAGTTTTGAAACACTGTTTTTGTAGGATTTCCAAGGGGATATTTATAGCGCATTGAGCCTATGGCAGAAAAAGAAACATCTTCCTATAAAAACTAGACAGAATAATTCTCAGAATCTGCTTTGCGATGTGTGCGTTCAACCCACAGAGTAAAACTTTTCTTTTGATAGAGCAGTTTTGAAACACTCTTTTTGTAGTATTTGCATGTGTATATTTAGAGCGCATTGAAGCCCACAGTAGAAAAGGAAATAACTTCACCTAAAACCTAGACAGAAGCAATCTCAGAAACTACTTTGTGATGTGTACATTCAACTCACAGAGTGGAACTTTTCTCTTTATAGAGCAGTGTTGAAACACTCTTTTTGTAGAAACTGCAAGTGGATATTTGGACCTCTTTGAGGCCTTCGTTGGAAACGGGATTTCTTCCTATAACCCTAGACAGAAGAATTTTCAGAAACCTCATTGTGATGTGTGCGTTCATCTCACAGAGTGGAGTCTTCCGTTTGATAGAGAAGTTTTGAAACCCTGTTCTTGTAGGATTTCCAAGTGGATATTTAGACCACTTTGAAGCCTATGATAGAAAAGGAAACATCTTCATGGAAAACATAGATAGAATCATTCTCAGAAACAACTTTGTGATGTGTGCGTTGAACTCACCGTCTTTAACCTTTCTTTTGGTAGAGAAGTTTTGAAACACTCTCTTTGTAAAGTCTACAAGTGGATATTTTGAGCCCTTGGAGGCATTCTTTGGAAAAGGGAATGTCTTCACATAAAAGGCAGACAGAAGTGTTCTCAGAAACTGCTTTGTGATGTCTGTGTTCAACTCACAGAGTTTAACATTTCCTTTGAGAGAGCGGTTTAGTAACACTCTCTTTGTAGAATTTGGAAGTGTATACTAAGAGCGCTTTGAGGCCTATGGTAGAAAAGGAAATATCTTTCCATAAAAGCTAGACAGAAGCAATCTCAGAAACTCCTTTGTGATGTCTGCATTCAACTCACCGAGTGGAACATTCCTCTTGATAGAGCAGTTTGGAAACACTCTTTCTGTAGAATCAGCTTGTTTGTATTTGGACCTCCTTGAGGCCTTCGTTGGAAACGGGTTTTCATACTTATAAACCCAGACAGAAGAATTCTCAGAGTCTTCTTTGTGATGTGTGCTTTCAACTCACCGAGTATAAAGATTTCTCTTGATAGAGCAATTTGGAAACACTCTTTTTGTAGAATTTGCAAGGGTACATTGAGAGCGCTTTCAGGCCTATGGTAGAAAAGGGAATATCTTTCCATAAAAGGTAGACAGAAGCAATCTCAGAAACTACTTTGTGATGTGTGCATTCAACTCACCGAGTGCAACATTCCTCTTGATAGAGCAGTTTGGAAACATTGTTTCTGTAGAATCTGCAAGTGGATATATGGACCGGCTTTGAGGCCTTCGTTGGAAACGGGATTTCTTCCTATAAACCCAGACAGAAGAATTCTCAGAGACTTCTTTGTGATGTGTGAATTCAACTCACAGTGTGGATCCTTCCTTTTGATAGAGCAGTTTTGAAACACCGTTTTTGTAGTATTTCCAAGCGGATATTTGGAACGCCTTGAAGCGTATGGTAGAAAAGGAAATATCTTCCCATAAAACCTAGACAGAACCAATCTCAGAAACGACTTTGTGATGTCTGCATTCAACTCACAGAGTTGAACATTTCTCTTGATAGAGCAGTTTCGAAACCCTCTTTCTGAAGGATCTGCAAGTGGATATTTGGAACTCCTTTGGGTCTTCGTTGGAAACGGGATTTCTTCGTATAAATCCAGACAGAAGAATTCTCCGAAACTTCTTTGGTTGTGTGCATTCAAGTCACAGAGTGGAACCTTCCTTTGGATAGAGCAGTTTGAAACGCTGTGGTTGTAGTATTTCCAAGCGGATATTAGAGCACCTTGTGGCCTATGGTAGAAAAGGAAATATCTTCCCATAAATCCTAGACGGAAGCAATCTCAGAAACTACTGTGTGATGGCTGCATTCCACACACACGGTGGAACATTTCTCTTGATAGAGCAGTTTTGAAACACTCTTTCTGTAGAATCTGCAAGTGGATAGTTGGACCACCTTGAGGCCTTCGTTGGAAACGGGAGTTCTTCATGTTACTCTAGACAGAAGAATTCTCAAACACTGCTATGTGATGTTTGCATTCAAGTCACAGAGTGCAACATTCCTCTTGATAGAGCAGTTGGGAAACACTCCTTTTGTAGAATTTGCAATGGGATATTTGGACTTCTTTGAGGCCTTCGTTGGAAACGGGATTTCTTCGTATGAATCTAGACAGAAGAATTCTCAGAAACTTCCTTGTGATGTGTGCATTCAACTCAGCGAGTGGCACCTTCCTTTGGATACAGCAGTTTTGAAACACTGTTTTTGTAGTATTTCCAAGCGGATATTTAGAGCGCCTTGAAGCCTATGCTAGAAATGGAAATATCTCCCCATAAAACCAAGACAGAAGCAATCTCAGAAACTAATGTGTGATGGCTGCATTCCACACACACGGTGGACCATTTCTCTTGATAGAGCAGTTTTGAAACACTCTTTCTGTAGAATCTGCAAGTGGATAATTGGACCTCCTAGAGGCCTTCGTTGGAAACGGGATTTCTTCATCTAAACCTACAGAGAAGAATTCTCAGTAACTTCTTCGGATGTGTGCATTCGACTCACAGAATGGAACATTCCCTTTGATAGAGCAGTTTTGAGACACCGTTTTTGTAGAATTCCCAAGTGGATATTTAGAGCACTTTGAAGTCTCTGCTAGAAAAGGAAACATCTTCATGTAAAAAGTAGATAGAATCGTTCTCAGAAAGTGCTTAGTGACGTGTGTGTTCAACTCACAGAGTTTAACGTTTCTTTTGATAGAGCGTTTCTGAAACACCCTTCTTGTAGTAGCTGCAAGTGGATATTTGGACCTATCCCTTCTTTGGAAACGGGATTTCTTCATGTAACTCTAGTTTGAAGAATTTTCAGAAACTCCTTTGTGATGTGTGCATTCAATTCAAAGAGTGAAACCTCCCTTTTCACAGAGCAGTTTTGAAACACTGTTTTTGTAGGATTTCCAAGGGGATATTTATAGCGCATTGATCCTATGGCAGAAAAAGAAACATCTTCCTATAAAAACTAGACAGAATAATTCTCAGAATCTGCTTTGCGATGTGTGCGTTCAACCCACAGAGTAAAACTTTTCTTTTGATAGAGCAGTTTTGAAACACTCTTTTTGTAGTATTTGCATGTGTATATTTAGAGCGCATTGAAGCCCACAGTAGAAAAGGAAATAACTTCACCTAAAACCTAGACAGAAGCAATCTCAGAAACTACTTTGTGATGTGTACATTCAACTCACAGAGTGGAACTTTCCTCTTTATAGAGCAGTGTTGAAACACTCTTTTTGTAGAAACTGCAAGTGGATATTTGGACCTCTTTGAGGCCTTCGTTGGAAACGGGATTTCTTCCTATAACCCTAGACAGAAGAATTTTCAGAAACCTCATTGTGATGTGTGCGTTCATCTCACAGAGTGGAGTCTTCCGTTTGATAGAGAAGTTTTGAAACCCTGTTCTTGTAGGATTTCCAAGTGGATATTTAGACCACTTTGAAGCCTATGATAGAAAAGGAAACATCTTCATGGAAAACATAGATAGAATCATTCTCAGAAACAACTTTGTGATGTGTGCGTTGAACTCACCGTCTTTAACCTTTCTTTTGGTAGAGAAGTTTTGAAACACTCTCTTTGTAAAGTCTACAAGTGGATATTTTGAGCCCTTGGAGGCATTCTTTGGAAAAGGGAATGTCTTCACATAAAAGGCAGACAGAAGTGTTCTCAGAAACTGCTTTGTGATGTCTGTGTTCAACTCACAGAGTTTAACATTTCCTTTGAGAGAGCGGTTTAGTAACACTCTCTTTGTAGAATTTGGAAGTGTATACTAAGAGCGCTTTGAGGCCTATGGTAGAAAAGGAAATATCTTCCATAAAAGCTAGACAGAAGCAATCTCAGAAACTCCTTTGTGATGTCTGCATTCAACTCACCGAGTGGAACATTCCTCTTGATAGAGCAGTTTGGAAACACTCTTTCTGTAGAATCAGCTTGTTTGTATTTGGACCTCCTTGAGGCCTTCGTTGGAAACGGGTTTTCATCTTATAAACCCAGACAGAAGAATTCTCAGAGTCTTCTTTGTGATGTGTGCTTTCAACTCACCGAGATAAAGATTTCTCTTGATAGAGCAATTTGGAAACACTCTTTTTGTAGAATTTGCAAGGGTACATTGAGAGCGCTTTCAGTCCTATGGTAGAAAAGGGAATATCTTTCCATAAAATGTAGACAGAAGCAATCTCAGAAACTACTTTGTGATGTGTGCATTCAACTCACCGAGTGCAACATTCCTCTTGATAGAGCAGTTTGGAAACATTGTTTCTGTAGAATCTGCAAGTGGATATATGGACCGCTTTGAGGCCTTCGTTGGAAACGGGATTTCTTCCTATAAACCCAGACAGAAGAATTCTCAGAGATTTCTTTGTGATGTGTGAATTCAACTCACAGTGTGGATCCTTCCTTTTGATAGAGCAGTTTTGAAACACTGTTTTTGTAGTATTTCCAAGCGGATATTTGGAACGCCTTGAAGCGTATGGTAGAAAAGGAAATATCTTCCCATAAAACCTAGACAGAACCCATCTCAGAAACGACTTTGTGATGTCTGCATTCAACTCACAGAGTTGAACATTTCTCTTGATAGAGCAGTTTTGAAACCCTCTTTCTGAAGGATCTGCAAGTGGATATTTGGAACTCCTTTGGGTCTTCGTTGGAAACGGGATTTCTTCGTATAAATCCAGACAGAAGAATTCTCCGAAACTTCTTTGGTTGTGTGCATTCAAGTCACAGAGTGGAACCTTCCTTTGGATAGAGCAGTTTGAAACGCTGTGGTTGTAGTATTTCCAAGCGGATATTAGAGCGCCTTGAAGCCTATGGTAGAAAAGGAAATATCTTCCCATAAAACCTAGACGGAAGCAATCTCAGAAACTACTGTGTGATGGCTGCATTCCACACACACGGTGGAACATTTCTCTTGATAGAGCAGTTTTGAAACACTCTTTCTGTAGAATCTGCAAGTGGATAATTGGACCGCCTTGAGGCCTTCGTTGGAAACGGGATTTCTTCATGTTACTCTAGACAGAAGAATTCTCAAACACTGCTATGTGATGTTTGCATTCAACTCACAGAGTGCAACATTCCTCTTGATAGAGCAGTTGGGAAACACTCCTTTTGTAGAATTTGCAATGGGATATTTGGACTTCTTTGAGGCCTTCGTTGGAAACGGGATTTCTTCGTATGAATCTAGACAGAAGAATTCTCAGAAACTTCCTTGTGATGTGTGCATTCAACTCAGCGAGTGGCACCTTCCTTTGGATACAGCAGTTTTGAAACACTGTTTTTGTAGTATTTCCAAGCGGATATTTAGAGCGCCTTGAAGCCTATGCTAGAAATGGAAATATCTCCCCATAAAACCAAGACAGAAGCAATCTCAGAAACTAATGTGTGATGGCTGCATTCCACACACACGGTGGACCATTTCTCTTGATAGAGCAGTTTTGAAACACTCTTTCTGTAGAATCTGCAAGTGGATAATTGGACCTCCTAGAGGCCTTCGTTGGAAACGGGATTTCTTCATCTAAACCTACAGAGAAGAATTCTCAGTAACTTCTTCGGATGTGTGCATTCGACTCACAGAATGGAACATTCCCTTTGGTAGAGCAGTTTTGAGACACCGTTTTTGTAGAATTCCCAAGTGGATATTTAGAGCACTTTGAAGTCTCTGCTAGAAAAGGAAACATTCTTCATGTAAAAAGTAGATAGAATCGTTCTCAGAAAGTGCTTAGTGACGTGTGTGTTCAACTCACAGAGTTTAACGTTTCTTTTGATAGAGCGTTTCTGAAACACCCTTCTTGTAGTAGCTGCAAGTGGATATTTGGACCTATTTGAGGCCTTCTTTGGAAACGGGATTTCTTCATGTAACTCTAGATTGAAGAATTTTCAGAAACTCCTTTGTGATGTGTGCATTCAATTCAAAGAGTGAAACCTCCCTTTTCACAGAGCAGTTTTGAAACACTGTTTTTGTAGGATTTCCAAGGGGATATTTATAGCGCATTGATCCTATGGCAGAAAAAGAAACATCTTCCTATAAAAACTAGACAGAATAATTCTCAGAATCTGCTTTGCGATGTGTGCGTTCAACCCACAGAGTAAAACTTTTCTTTTGATAGAGCAGTTTTGAAACACTCTTTTTGTAGTATTTGCATGTGTATATTTAGAGCGCATTGAAGCCCACAGTAGAAAAGGAAATAACTTCACCTAAAACCTAGACAGAAGCAATCTCAGAAACTACTTTGTGATGTGTACATTCAACTCACAGAGTGGAACTTTCCTCTTTATAGAGCAGTGTTGAAACACTCTTTTTGTAGAAACTGCAAGTGGATATTTGGACCTCTTTGAGGCCTTCGTTGGAAACGGGATTTCTTCCTATAACCCTAGACAGAAGAATTTTCAGAAACCTCATTGTGATGTGTGCGTTCATCTCACAGAGTGGAGTCTTCCGTTTGATAGAGAAGTTTTGAAACCCTGTTCTTGTAGGATTTCCAAGTGGATATTTAGACCACTTTGAAGCCTATGATAGAAAAGGAAACATCTTCATGGAAAACATAGATAGAATCATTCTCAGAAACAACTTTGTGATGTGTGCGTTGAACTCACCGTCTTTAACCTTTCTTTTGGTAGAGAAGTTTTGAAACACTCTCTTTGTAAAGTCTACAAGTGGATATTTTGAGCCCTTGGAGGCATTCTTTGGAAAAGGGAATGTCTTCACATAAAAGGCAGACAGAAGTGTTCTCAGAAACTGCTTTGTGATGTCTGTGTTCAACTCACAGAGTTTAACATTTCCTTTGAGAGAGCGGTTTAGTAACACTCTCTTTGTAGAATTTGGAAGTGTATACTAAGAGCGCTTTGAGGCCTATGGTAGAAAAGGAAATATCTTTCCATAAAAGCTAGACAGAAGCAATCTCAGAAACTCCTTTGTGATGTCTGCATTCAACTCACCGAGTGGAACATTCCTCTTGATAGAGCAGTTTGGAAACACTCTTTCTGTAGAATCAGCTTGTTTGTATTTGGACCTCCTTGAGGCCTTCGTTGGAAACGGGTTTTCATCTTATAAACCCAGACAGAAGAATTCTCAGAGTCTTCTTTGTGATGTGTGCTTTCAACTCACCGAGATAAAGATTTCTCTTGATAGAGCAATTTGGAAACACTCTTTTTGTAGAATTTGCAAGGGTACATTGAGAGCGCTTTCAGGCCTATGGTAGAAAAGGGAATATCTTTCCATAAAAGGTAGACAGAAGCAATCTCAGAAACTACTTTGTGATGTGTGCATTCAACTCACCGAGTGCAACATTCCTCTTGATAGAGCAGTTTGGAAACATTGTTTCTGTAGAATCTGCAAGTGGATATATGGACCGCTTTGAGGCCTTCGTTGGAAACGGGATTTCTTCCTATAAACCCAGACAGAAGAATTCTCAGAGATTTCTTTGTGATGTGTGAATTCAACTCACAGTGTGGATCCTTCCTTTTGATAGAGCAGTTTTGAAACACCGTTTTTGTAGTATTTCCAAGCGGATATTTGGAACGCCTTGAAGCGTATGGTAGAAAAGGAAATATCTTCCCATAAAACCTAGACAGAACCAATCTCAGAAACGACTTTGTGATGTCTGCATTCAACTCACAGAGTTGAACATTTCTCTTGATAGAGCAGCTTTGAAACCCTGTTTCTGAAGGATCTGCAAGTGGATATTTGGAACTCCTTTGGGTCTTCGTTGGAAACGGGATTTCTTCGTATAAATCCAGACAGAAGAATTCTCCGAAACTTCTTTGGTTGTGTGCATTCAAGTCACAGAGTGGAACCTTCCTTTGGATAGAGCAGTTTGAAACGCTCTGGTTGTAGTATTTCCAAGCGGATATTAGAGCGCCTTGAGGCCTATGGTAGAAAAGGAAATATCTTCCCATAAAACCTAGACGGAAGCAATCTCAGAAACTACTGTGTGATGGCTGCATTCCACACACACGGTGGAACATTTCTCTTGATAGAGCAGTTTTGAAACACTCTTTCTGTAGAATCTGCAAGTGGATAATTGGACCGCCTTGAGGCCTTCGTTGGAAACGGGATTTCTTCATGTTACTCTAGACAGAAGAATTCTCAAACACTGCTATGTGATGTTTGCATTCAAGTCACAGAGTGCAACATTCCTCTTGATAGAGCAGTTGGGAAACACTCCTTTTGTAGAATTTGCAATGGGATATTTGGACTTCTTTGAGGCCTTCGTTGGAAACGGGATTTCTTCGTATGAATCTAGACAGAAGAATTCTCAGAAACTTCCTTGTGATGTGTGCATTCAACTCAGCGAGTGGCACCTTCCTTTGGATACAGCAGTTTTGAAACACTGTTTTTGTAGTATTTCCAAGCGGATATTTAGAGCGCCTTGAAGCCTATGCTAGAAATGGAAATATCTCCCCATAAAACCAAGACAGAAGCAATCTCAGAAACTAATGTGTGATGGCTGCATTCCACACACACGGTGGACCATTTCTCTTGATAGAGCAGTTTTGAAACACTCTTTCTGTAGAATCTGCAAGTGGATAATTGGACCTCCTAGAGGCCTTCGTTGGAAACGGGATTTCTTCATCTAAACCTACAGAGAAGAATTCTCAGTAACTTCTTCGGATGTGTGCATTCGACTCACAGAATGGAACATTCCGTTTGATAGAGCAGTTTTGAGACACCGTTTTTGTAGAATTCCCAAGTGGATATTTAGAGCACTTTGAAGTCTCTGCTAGAAAAGGAAACATCTTCATGTAAAAAGTAGATAGAATCGTTCTCAGAAAGTGCTTAGTGACGTGTGTGTTCAACTCACAGAGTTTAACGTTTCTTTTGATAGAGCGTTTCTGAAACACCCTGCTTGTAGTAGCTGCAAGTGGATATTTGGACCTATTTGAGGCCTTCTTTGGAAACGGGATTTCTTCATGTAACTCTAGTTTGAAGAATTTTCAGAAACTCCTTTGTGATGTGTGCATTCAATTCAAAGAGTGAAACCTCCCTTTTCACAGAGCAGTTTTGAAACACTGTTTTTGTAGGATTTCCAAGGGGATATTTATAGCGCATTGAGCCTACGGCAGAAAAAGAAACATCTTCCTATAAAAACTAGACAGAATAATTCTCAGAATGTGCTTTGCGATGTGTGCGTTCAACCCACAGAGTAAAACTTTTCTTTTGATAGAGCAGTTTTGAAACACTCTTTTTGTAGTATTTGCATGTGTATATTTAGAGCGCATTGAAGCCCACAGTAGAAAAGGAAATAACTTCACCTAAAACCTAGACAGAAGCAATCTCAGAAACTACTTTGTGATGTGTACATTCAACTCACAGAGTGGAACTTTCCTCTTTATAGAGCAGTGTTGAAACACTCTTTTTGTAGAAACTGCAAGTGGATATTTGGACCTCTTTGAGGCCTTCGTTGGAAACGGGATTTCTTCCTATAACCCTAGACAGAAGAATTTTCAGAAACCTCATTGTGATGTGTGCGTTCATCTCACAGAGTGGAGTCTTCCGTTTGATAGAGAAGTTTTGAAACCCTGTTCTTGTAGGATTTCCAAGTGGATATTTAGACCACTTTGAAGCCTATGATAGAAAAGGAAACATCTTCATGGAAAACATAGATAGAATCATTCTCAGAAACAACTTTGTGATGTGTGCGTTGAACTCACCGTCTTTAACCTTTCTTTTGGTAGAGAAGTTTTGAAACACTCTCTTTGTAAAGTCTACAAGTGGATATTTTGAGCCCTTGGAGGCATTCTTTGGAAAAGGGAATGTCTTCACATAAAAGGCAGACAGAAGTGTTCTCAGAAACTGCTTTGTGATGTCTGTGTTCAACTCACAGAGTTTAACATTTCCTTTGAGAGAGCGGTTTAGTAACACTCTCTTTGTAGAATTTGGAAGTGTATACTAAGAGCGCTTTGAGGCCTATGGTAGAAAAGGAAATATCTTTCCATAAAAGCTAGACAGAAGCAATCTCAGAAACTCCTTTGTGATGTCTGCATTCAACTCACCGAGTGGAACATTCCTCTTGATAGAGCAGTTTGGAAACACTCTTTCTGTAGAATCAGCTTGTTTGTATTTGGACCTCCTTGAGGCCTTCGTTGGAAACGGGTTTTCATCTTATAAACCCAGACAGAAGAATTCTCAGAGTCTTCTTTGTGATGTGTGCTTTCAACTCACCGAGATAAAGATTTCTCTTGATAGAGCAATTTGGAAACACTCTTTTTGTAGAATTTGCAAGGGTACATTGAGAGCGCTTTCAGGCCTATGGTAGAAAAGGGAATATCTTTCCATAAAAGGTAGACAGAAGCAATCTCAGAAACTACTTTGTGATGTGTGCATTCAACTCCCCGAGTGCAACATTCCTCTTGATAGAGCAGTTTGGAAACATTGTTTCTGTAGAATCTGCAAGTGGATATATGGACCGCTTTGAGGCCTTCGTTGGAAACGGGATTTCTTCCTATAAACCCAGACAGAAGAATTCTCAGAGATTTCTTTGTGATGTGTGAATTCAACTCACAGTGTGGATCCTTCCTTTTGATAGAGCAGTTTTGAAACACTGTTTTTGTAGTATTTCCAAGCGGATATTTGGAACGCCTTGAATCGTATGGTAGAAAAGGAAATATCTTCCCATAAAACCTAGACAGAACCCATCTCAGAAACGACTTTGTGATGTCTGCATTCAACTCACAGAGTTGAACATTTCTCTTGATAGAGCAGTTTTGAAACCCTCTTTCTGAAGGATCTGCAAGTGGATATTTGGAACTCCTTTGGGTCTTCGTTGGAAACGGGATTTCTTCGTATAAATCCAGACAGAAGAATTCTCCGAAACTTCTTTGGTTGTGTGCATTCAAGTCACAGAGTGGAACCTTCCTTTGGATAGAGCAGTTTGAAACGCTGTGGTTGTAGTATTTCCAAGCGGATATTAGAGCGCCTTGAGGCCTATGGTAGAAAAGGAAATATCTTCCCATAAAACCTAGACGGAAGCAATCTCAGAAACTACTGTGTGATGGCTGCATTCCACACACACGGTGGAACATTTCTCTTGATAGAGCAGTTTTGAAACACTCTTTCTGTAGAATCTGCAAGTGGATAATTGGACCGCCTTGAGGCCTTCGTTGGAAACGGGATTTCTTCATGTTACTCTAGACAGAAGAATTCTCAAACACTGCTATGTGATGTTTGCATTCAAGTCACAGAGTGCAACATTCCTCTTGATAGAGCAGTTGGGAAACACTCCTTTTGTAGAATTTGCAATGGGATATTTGGACTTCTTTGAGGCCTTCGTTGGAAACGGGATTTCTTCGTATGAATCTAGACAGAAGAATTCTCAGAAACGTCCTTGTGATGTGTGCATTCAACTCAGCGAGTGGCACCTTCCTTTGGATACAGCAGTTTTGAAACACTGTTTTTGTACTATTTCCAAGCGGATATTTAGAGCGCCTTGAAGCCTATGCTAGAAATGGAAATATCTCCCCATAAAACCAAGACAGAAGCAATCTCAGAAACTAATGTGTGATGGCTGCATTCCACACACACGGTGGACCATTTCTCTTGATAGAGCAGTTTTGAAACACTCTTTCTGTAGAATCTGCAAGTGGATAATTGGACCTCCTAGAGGCCTTCGTTGGAAACGGGATTTCTTCATCTAAACCTACAGAGAAGAATTCTCAGTAACTTCTTCGGATGTGTGCATTCGACTCACAGAATGGAACATTCCGTTTGATAGAGCAGTTTTGAGACACCGTTTTTGTAGAATTCCCAAGTGGATATTTAGAGCACTTTGAAGTCTCTGCTAGAAAAGGAAACATCTTCATGTAAAAAGTAGATAGAATCGTTCTCAGAAAGTGCTTAGTGACGTGTGCGTTCAACTCACAGAGTTTAACGTTTCTTTTGATAGAGCGTTTCTGAAACACCCTTCTTGTAGTAGCTGCAAGTGGATATTTGGACCTATTTGAGGCCTTCTTTGGAAACGGGATTTCTTCATGTAACTCTCGTTTGAAGAATTTTCAGAAACTCCTTTGTGATGTGTGCATTCAATTCAAAGAGTGAAACCTCCCTTTTCACAGAGCAGTTTTGAAACACTGTTTTTGTAGGATTTCCAAGGGGATATTTATAGCGCATTGAGCCTACGGCAGAAAAAGAAACATCTTCCTATAAAAACTAGACAGAATAATTCTCAGAATCTGCTTTGCGATGTGTGCGTTCAACCCACAGAGTAAAACTTTTCTTTTGATAGAGCAGTTTTGAAACACTCTTTTTGTAGTATTTGCATGTGTATATTTAGAGCGCATTGAAGCCCACAGTAGAAAAGGAAATAACTTCACCTAAATCCTAGACAGAAGCAATCTCAGAAACTACTTTGTGATGTGTACATTCAACTCACAGAGTGGAACTTTCCTCTTTATAGAGCAGTGTTGAAACACTCTTTTTGTAGAAACTGCAAGTGGATATTTGGACCTCTTTGAGGCCTTCGTTGGAAACGGGATTTCTTCCTATAACCCTAGACAGAAGAATTTTCAGAAACCTCATTGTGATGTGTGCGTTCATCTCACAGAGTGGAGTGTTCCGTTTGATAGAGAAGTTTTGAAACCCTGTTCTTGTAGGATTTCCAAGTGGATATTTAGACCACTTTGAAGCCTATGATAGAAAAGGAAACATCTTCATGGAAAACATAGATAGAATCATTCTCAGAAACAACTTTGTGATGTGTGCGTTGAACTCACCGTCTTTAACCTTTCTTTTGGTAGAGAAGTTTTGAAACACTCTCTTTGTAAAGTCTACAAGTGGATATTTTGAGCCCTTGGAGGCATTCTTTGGAAAAGGGAATGTCTTCACATAAAAGGCAGACAGAAGTGTTCTCAGAAACTGCTTTGTGATGTCTGTGTTCAACTCACAGAGTTTAACATTTCCTTTGAGAGAGCGGTTTAGTAACACTCTCTTTGTAGAATTTGGAAGTGTATACTAAGAGCGCTTTGAGGCCTATGGTAGAAAAGGAAATATCTTTCCATAAAAGCTAGACAGAAGCAATCTCAGAAACTCCTTTGTGATGTCTGCATTCAACTCACCGAGTGGAACATTCCTCTTGATAGAGCAGTTTGGAAACACTCTTTCTGTAGAATCAGCTTGTTTGTATTTGGACCTCCTTGAGGCCTTCGTTGGAAACGGGTTTTCATCTTATAAACCCAGACAGAAGAATTCTCAGAGTCTTCTTTGTGATGTGTGCTTTCAACTCACCGAGATAAAGATTTCTCTTGATAGAGCAATTTGGAAACACTCTTTTTGTAGAATTTGCAAGGGTACATTGAGAGCGCTTTCAGGCCTATGGTAGAAAAGGGAATATCTTTCCATAAAAGGTAGACAGAAGCAATCTCAGAAACTACTTTGTGATGTGTGCATTCAACTCACCGAGTGCAACATTCCTCTTGACCGAGCAGTTTGGAAACATTGTTTCTGTAGAATCTGCAAGTGGATATTTGGACCTCTTTGAGGCCTTCGTTGGAAACGGGATTTCTTCCTATAAACCCAGACAGAAGAATTCTCAGAGACTTCTTTGTGATGTGTGAATTCAACTCACAGTGTGGATCCTTCCTTTTGATAGAGCAGTTTTGAAACACTGTTTTTGTAGTATTTCCAAGCGGATATTTGGAACGCCTTGAAGCGTGTGGTAGAAAAGGAAATATGTTCCCATAAAACCTAGACAGAACCAATCTCAGAAACGACTTTGTGATGTCTGCATTCAACTCACAGAGTTGAACATTTCTCTTGATAGAGCAGTTTTGAAACCCTCTTTCTGAAGGATCTGCAAGTGGATATTTGGAACTCCTTTGGGTCTTCGTTGGAAACGGGATTTCTTCGTATAAATCTAGACAGAAGAATTCTCCGAAACTTCTTTGGTTGTGTGCATTCAAGTCACAGAGTGGAACCTTCCTTTGGATAGAGCAGTTTGAAACGCTGTGGTTGTAGTATTTCCAAGCGGATATTAGAGCGCCTTGAGGCCTATGGTAGAAAAGGAAATATCTTCCCATAAAACCTAGACGGAAGCAATCTCAGAAACTACTGTGTGATGGCTGCATTCCACACACACGGTGGAACATTTCTCTTGATAGAGCAGTTTTGAAACACTCTTTCTGTAGAATCTGCAAGTGGATAATTGGACCGACTTGAGGCCTTCGTTGGAAACGGGATTTCTTCATGTTACTCTAAACAGAAGAATTCTCAAACACTGCTATGTGATGTTTGCATGCAAGTCACAGAGTGCAACATTCCTCTTGATAGAGCAGTTGGGAAACACTCCTTTTGTAGAATTTGCAATGGGATATTTGGACTTCTTTGAGGCCTTCGTTGGAAACGGGATTTCTTCGTATGAATCTAGACAGAAGAATTCTCAGAAACTTCCTTGTGATGTGTGCATTCAACTCAGCGAGTGGCACCTTCCTTTGGATACAGCAGTTTTGAAACACTGTTTTTGTAGTATTTCCAAGCGGATATTTAGAGCGCCTTGAAGCCTATGCTAGAAATGGAAATATCTCCCCATAAAACCAAGACAGAAGCAATCTCAGAAACTAATGTGTGATGGCTGCATTCCACACACACGGTGGACCATTTCTCTTGATAGAGCAGTTTTGAAACACTCTTTCTGTAGAATCTGCAAGTGGATAATTGGACCTCCTAGAGGCCTTCGTTGGAAACGGGATTTCTTCATCTAAACCTACAGAGAAGAATTCTCAGTAACTTCTTCGGATGTGTGCATTCGACTCACAGAATGGAACATTCCCTTTGATAGAGCAGTTTTGAGACACCGTTTTTGTAGAATTCCCAAGTGGATATTTAGAGCACTTTGAAGTCTCTGCTAGAAAAGGAAACATCTTCATGTAAAAAGTAGATAGAATCGCTCTCAGAAAGTGCTTAGTGACGTGTGCGTTCAACTCACAGAGTGTAACGTTTCTTTTGATAGAGCGTTTCTGAAACACCCTTCTTGTAGTAGCTGCAAGTGGATGTTTGGTCCTATTGGAGGCCTTCTTTGGAAACGGGATTTCTTCATGTAACTCTAGATTGAAGAATTCTCAGAAACTCCTTTGTGATGTGTGCATTCAATTCAAAGAGTGAAACCTCCCTTTTCACAGAGCAGTTTTGAAACACTGTTTTTGTAGGATTTCCAAGGGGATATTTATAGCGCATTGAGCCTACGGCAGAAAAAGAAACACCTTCCTATAAAAACTAGACAGAATAATTCTCAGAATCTGCTTTGCGATGTGTGCGTTCAACTCACAGAGTAAAACTTTTCTTTTGATAGAGCAGTTTTGAAACACTCTCTTTGTAGTATTTGCATGTGTATATTTAGAGCACATTGAAGCCCACAGTAGAGAAGGAAATAACTTCACCTAAAACCTAGACAGAAGCAATCTCAGAAACTACTTTGTGATGTGTACATTCAACTCACAGAGTGGAACTTTCCTCTTTATAGAGCAGTGTTGAAACACTCTTTTTGTAGAAACTGCAAGTGGATATTTGGACCTCTTTGAGGCCCTCGTTGGAACCGGGATTTCTTCCTATAACAATAGACAGGAGAATTTTCAGAAACCTCATTGTGATGTGTGCGTTCATCTCACAGAGTGGAGTCTTCCGTTTGATAGAGAAGTTTTGAAACCCTGTTATTGTAGGATTTCCAAGTGGATATTTAGACCACTTTGAAGCCTATGATAGAAAAGGAAGCATCTTCATGGAAAACATAGATAGAATCATTCTCAGAAACAACTTTGTGATGTGTGCGTTGAACTCACCGTCTTTAACCTTTCTTTTGGTAGAGAAGTTTTGAAACACTCTCTTTGTAAAGTCTACAAGTGGATATTTTGAGCCCTTGGAGGCATTCTTTGGAAAAGGGAATGTCTTCACGTAAAAGGCAGACAGAAGTGTTCTCAGAAACTGCTTTGTGATGTCTGTGTTCAACTCACAGAGTTTAACATTTCCTTTGATAGAGCAGTTTAGTAACACTCTCTTTGTAGAATTTGGAAGTGTATACTAAGAGCGCTTTGAGGCCTATGGTAGAAAAGGAAATATCTTTCCATAAAAGCTAGACAGAAGCAATCTCAGAAACTCCTTTGTGATGTCTGCATTCAACTCACCGAGTGGAACATTCCTCTTGATAGAGCAGTTTGGAAACGCTCTTTCTGTAGAATCAGCTTGTTTGTAGTTGGACCTCCTTGAGGCCTTCGTTGGAAACGGGTTTTCATCTTATAAACCCAGACAGAAGAATTCTCAGGTTCTTCTTTGTGATGTGTGCTTTCAACTCACCGAGATAAAGATTTCTCTTGATAGAGCAATTTGGAAACACTCTTTTTGTAGAATTTGCAAGGGTACATTGAGAGCGCTTTCAGGCCTATGGTAGAAAAGGGAATATCTTTCCATAAAAGGTAGACAGAAACAATCTCAGAAACTACTTTGTGATGTGTGCATTCAACTCACCGAGTGCAACATTCCTCTTGATAGAGCAGTTTGGAAACATTGTTTCTGTAGAATCTGCAAGTGGATATTTGGACCTCTTTGAGGCCTTCGTTGGAAACGGGATTTCTTCCTATAAACCCAGACAGAAGAATTCTCAGAGATTTCTTTGTGATGTGTGAATTCAACTCACAGTGTGGATCCTTCCTTTTGATAGAGCAGTTTTGAAACACCGTTTTTGTAGTATTTCCAAGCGGATATTTGGAACGCCTTGAAGCGTATGGTAGAAAAGGAAATATCTTCCCATAAAACCTAGACAGAACCCATCTCAGAAACGACTTTGTGATGTCTGCATTCAACTCACAGAGTTGAACATTTCTCTTGATAGAGCAGTTTTGAAACCCTCTTTCTGAAGGATCTGCAAGTGGATATTTGGAACTCCTTTGGGTCTTCGTTGGAAACGGGATTTCTTCGTATAAATCCAGACAGAAGAATTCTCCGAAACTTCTTTGGTTGTGTGCATTCAAGTCACAGAGTGGAACCTTCCTTTGGATAGAGCAGTTTGAAACGCTGTGGTTGTAGTATTTCCAAGCGGATATTAGAGCGCCTTGAAGCCTATGGTAGAAAAGGAAATATCTTCCCATAAAACCTAGACGGAAGCAATCTCAGAAACTACTTTGTGATGGCTGCATTCCACACACACGGTGGAACATTTCTCTTGATAGAGCAGTTTTGAAACACTCTTTCTGTAGAATCTGCAAGTGGATAATTGGACCGCCTTGAGGCCTTCGTTGGAAACGGGATTTCTTCATGTTACTCTAGACAGAAGAATTCTCAAACACTGCTATGTGATGTTTGCATTCAAGTCACAGAGTGCAACATTCCTCTTGATAGAGCAGTTGGGAAACACTCCTTTTGTAGAATTTGCAATGGGATATTTGGACTTCTTTGAGGCCTTCGTTGGAAACGGGATTTCTTCGTATGAATCTAGACAGAAGAATTCTCAGAAACTTCCTTGTGATGTGTGCATTCAACTCAGCGAGTGGCACCTTCCTTTGGATACAGCAGTTTTGAAACACTGTTTTTGTAGTATTTCCAAGCGGATATTTAGAGCGCCTTGAAGCCTATGCTAGAAATGGAAATATCTCCCCATAAAACCAAGACAGAAGCAATCTCAGAAACTAATGTGTGATGGCTGCATTCCACACACACGGTGGACCATTTCTCTTGATAGAGCAGTTTTGAAACACTCTTTCTGTAGAATCTGCAAGTGGATAATTGGACCTCCTAGAGGCCTTCGTTGGAAACGGGATTTCTTCATCTAAACCTACAGAGAAGAATTCTCAGTAACTTCTTCGGATGTGTGCATTCGACTCACAGAATGGAACATTCCCTTTGATAGAGCAGTTTTGAGACACCGTTTTTGTAGAATTCCCAAGTGGATATTTAGAGCACTTTGAAGTCTCTGCTAGAAAAGGAAACATCTTCATGTAAAAAGTAGATAGAATCGTTCTCAGAAAGTGCTTAGTGACGTGTGTGTTCAACTCACAGAGTTTAACGTTTCTTTTGATAGAGCGTTTCTGAAACACCCTTCTTGTAGTAGCTGCAAGTGGATATTTGGACCTACTTGAGGCCTTCTTTGGAAACGGGATTTCTTCATGTAACTCTAGTTTGAAGAATTTTCAGAAACTCCTTTGTGATGTGTGCATTCAATTCAAAGAGTGAAACGTCCCTTTTCACAGAGCAGTTTTAAAACACTGTTTTTGTAGGATTTCCAAGGGGATATTTATAGCGCATTGAGCCTACGGCAGAAAAAGAAACATCTTCCTATAAAAACTAGACAGAATAATTCTCAGAATCTGCTTTGCGATGTGTGCGTTCAACTCACAGAGTAAAACTTTTCTTTTGATAGAAAAGTTTTGAAACACTCTTTTTGTAGTATTTGCATGTGTATATTTAGAGCGCATTGAAGCCCACAGTAGAAAAGGAAATAACTTCACCTAAAACCTAGACAGAAGCAATCTCAGAAACTACTTTGTGATGTGTACATTCAACTCACAGAGTGGAACTTTCCTCTTTATAGAGCAGTGTTGAAACACTCTTTTTGTAGAAACTGCAAGTGGATATTTGGACCTCTTTGAGGCCTTCGTTGGAAACGGGATTTCTTCCTATAACCCTAGACAGAAGAATTTTCAGAAACCTCATTGTGATGTGTGCGTTCATCTCACAGAGTGGAGTCTTCCGTTTGATAGAGAAGTTTTGAAACCCTGTTCTTGTAGGATTTCCAAGTGGATATTTAGACCACTTTGAAGCCTATGATAGAAAAGGAAACATCTTCATGGAAAACATAGATAGAATCATTCTCAGAAACAACTTTGTGATGTGTGCGTTGAACTCACCGTCTTTAACCTTTCTTTTGGTAGAGAAGTTTTGAAACACTCTCTTTGTAAAGTCTACAAGTGGATATTTTGAGCCCTTGGAGGCATTCTTTGGAAAAGGGAATGTCTTCACATAAAAGGCAGACAGAAGTGTTCTCAGAAACTGCTTTGTGATGTCTGTGTTCAACTCACAGAGTTTAACATTTCCTTTGAGAGAGCGGTTTAGTAACACTCTCTTTGTAGAATTTGGAAGTGTATACTAAGAGTGCTTTGAGGCCTATGGTAGAAAAGGAAATATCTTTCCATAAAAGCTAGACAGAAGCAATCTCAGAAACTCCTTTGTGATGTCTGCATTCAACTCACCGAGTGGAACATTCCTCTTGATAGAGCAGTTTGGAAACACTGTTTCTGTAGAATCAGCTTGTTTGTATTTGGACCTCCTTGAGGCCTTCGTTGGAAACGGGTTTTCATCTTATAAACCCAGACAGAAGAATTCTCAGAGTCTTCTTTGTGATGTGTGCTTTCAACTCACCGAGATAAAGATTTCTCTTGATAGAGCAATTTGGAAACAATCTTTTTGTAGAATTTGCAAGGGTACATTGAGAGCGCTTTCAGGCCTATGGTAGAAAAGGGAATATCTTTCCATAAAAGGTAGACAGAAGCAATCTCAGAAACTACTTTGTGATGTGTGCATTCAACTCACCGAGTGCAACATTCCTCTTGATAGAGCAGTTTGGAAACATTGTTTCTGTAGAATCTGCAAGTGGATATATGGACCGCTTTGAGGCCTTCGTTGGAAACGGGATTTCTTCCTATAAACCCAGACAGAAGAATTCTCAGAGATTTCTTTGTGATGTGTGAATTCAACTCACAGTGTGGATCCTTCCTTTTGATAGAGCAGTTTTGAAACACCGTTTTTGTAGTATTTCCAAGCGGATATTTGGAACGCCTTGAAGCGTATGGTAGAAAAAGAAATATCTTCCCATAAAACCTAGACAGAACCCATCTCAGAAACGACTTTGTGATGTCTGCATTCAACTCACAGAGTTGAACATTTCTCTTGATAGAGCAGTTTTGAAACCCTCTTTCTGAAGGATCTGCAAGTGGATATTTGGAACTCCTTTGGGTCTTCGTTGGAAATGGGATTTCTTCGTATAAATCCAGACAGAAGAATTCTCCGAAACTTCTTTGGTTGTGTGCATTCAAGTCACAGAGTGGAACCTTCCTTTGGATAGAGCAGTTTGAAACGCTGTGGTTGTAGTATTTCCAAGCGGATATTAGAGCGCCTTGAGGCCTATGGTAGAAAAGGAAATATCTTCCCATAAAACCTAGACGGAAGCAATCTCAGAAACTACTGTGTGATGGCTGCATTCCACACACACGGTGGAACATTTCTCTTGATAGAGCAGTTTTGAAACACTCTTTCTGTAGAATCTGCAAGTGGATAATTGGACCGCCTTGAGGCCTTCGTTGGAAACGGGATTTCTTCATGTTACTCTAGACAGAAGAATTCTCAAACACTGCTATGTGATGTTTGCATGCAAGTCACAGAGTGCAACATTCCTCTTGATAGAGCAGTTGGGAAACACTCCTTTTGTAGAATTCGCAATGGGATATTTGGACTTCTTTGAGGCCTTCGTTGGAAACGGGATTTCTTCGTATGAATCTAGACAGAAGAATTCTCAGAAACTTCCTTGTGATGTGTGCATTCAACTCAGCGAGTGGCACCTTCCTTTGGATACAGCAGTTTTGAAACACTGTTTTTGTAGTATTTCCAAGCGGATATTTAGAGCGCCTTGAAGCCTATGCTAGAAATGGAAATATCTCCCCATAAAACCAAGACAGAAGCAATCTCAGAAACTAATGTGTGATGGCTGCATTCCACACACACGGTGGACCATTTCTCTTGATAGAGCAGTTTTGAAACACTCTTTCTGTAGAATCTGCAAGTGGATAATTGGACCTCCTAGAGGCCTTCGTTGGAAACGGGATTTCTTCATCTAAACCTACAGAGAAGAATTCTCAGTAACTTCTTCGGATGTGTGCATTCGACTCACAGAATGGAACATTCCGTTTGATAGAGCAGTTTTGAGACACCGTTTTTGTAGAATTCCCAAGTGGATATTTAGAGCACTTTGAAGTCTCTGCTAGAAAAGGAAACATCTTCATGTAAAAAGTAGATAGAATCGTTCTCAGAAAGTGCTTAGTGACGTGTGCGTTCAACTCACAGAGTTTAACGTTTCTTTTGATAGAGCGTTTCTGAAACACCCTTCTTGTAGTAGCTGCAAGTGGATATTTGGACCTATTTGAGGCCTTCTTTGGAAACGGGATTTCTTCATGTAACTCTAGATTGAAGAATTTTCAGAAACTCCTTTGTGATGTGTGCATTCAATTCAAAGAGTGAAACCTCCCTTTTCACAGAGCAGTTTTGAAACACTGTTTTTGTAGGATTTCCAAGGGGATATTTATAGCGCATTGAGCCTATGGCAGAAAAAGAAACATCTTCCTATAAAAACTAGACAGAATAATTCTCAGAATCTGCTTTGCGATGTGTGCGTTCAACTCACAGAGTAAAACTTTTCTTTTGATAGAGCAGTTTTGAAACACTCTTTTTGTAGTATTTGCATGTGTATATTTAGAGCGCATTGAAGCCCACAGTAGAAAAGGAAATAACTTCACCTAAAACCTAGACAGAAGCAATCTCAGAAACTACTTTGTGATGTGTACATTCAACTCACAGAGTGGAACTTTTCTCTTTATAGAGCAGTGTTGAAACACTCTTTTTGTAGAAACTGCAAGTGGATATTTGGACCTCTTTGAGGCCTTCGTTGGAAACGGGATTTCTTCCTATAACCCTAGACAGAAGAATTTTCAGAAACCTCATTGTGATGTGTGCGTTCATCTCACAGAGTGGAGTCTTCCGTTTGATAGAGAAGTTTTGAAACCCTGTTCTTGTAGGATTTCCAAGTGGATATTTAGACCACTTTGAAGCCTATGTTAGAAAAGGAAACATCTTCATGGAAAACATAGATAGAATCATTCTCAGAAACAACTTTGTGATGTGTGCGTTGAACTCACCGTCTTTAACCTTTCTTTTGGTAGAGAAGTTTTGAAACACTCTCTTTGTAAAGTCTACAAGTGGATATTTTGAGCCCTTGGAGGCATTCTTTGGAAAAGGGAATGTCTTCACATAAAAGGCAGACAGAAGTGTTCTCAGAAACTGCTTTGTGATGTCTGTGTTCAACTCACAGAGTTTAACATTTCCTTTGAGAAAGCGGTTTAGTAACACTCTCTTTGTAGAATTTGGAAGTGTATACTAAGAGCGCTTTGAGGCCTATGGTAGAAAAGGAAATATCTTTCCATAAAAGCTAGACAGAAGCAATCTCAGAAACTCCTTTGTGATGTCTGCATTCAACTCACCGAGTGGAACATTCCTCTTGATAGAGCAGTTTGGAAACACTCTTTCTGTAGAATCAGCTTGTTTGTATTTGGACCTCCTTGAGGCCTTCGTTGGAAACGGGTTTTCATCTTATAAACCCAGACAGAAGAATTCTCAGAGTCTTCTTTGTGATGTGTGCTTTCAACTCACCGAGATAAAGATTTCTCTTGATAGAGCAATTTGGAAACACTCTTTTTGTAGAATTTGCAAGGGTACATTGAGAGCGCTTTCAGGCCTATGGTAGAAAAGGGAATATCTTTCCATAAAAGGTAGACAGAAGCAATCTCAGAAACTACTTTGTGATGTGTGCATTCAACTCACCGAGTGCAACATTCCTCTTGACCGAGCAGTTTGGAAACATTGTTTCTGTAGAATCTGCAAGTGGATATTTGGACCTCTTTGAGGCCTTCGTTGGAAACGGGATTTCTTCCTATAAACCCAGACAGAAGAATTCTCAGAGACTTCTTTGTGATGTGTGAATTCAACTCACAGTGTGGATCCTTCCTTTTGATAGAGCAGTTTTGAAACACTGTTTTTGTAGTATTTCCAAGCGGATATTTGGAACGCCTTGAAGCGTATGGTAGAAAAGGAAATATCTTCCCATAAAACCTAGACAGAACCAATCTCAGAAACGACTTTGTGATGTCTGCATTCAACTCACAGAGTTGAACATTTCTCTTGATAGAGCAGTTTTGAAACCCTCTTTCTGAAGGATCTGCAAGTGGATATTTGGAACTCCTTTGGGTCTTCGTTGGAAACGGGATTTCTTCGTATAAATCTAGACAGAAGAATTCTCCGAAACTTCTTTGGTTGTGTGCATTCAAGTCACAGAGTGGAACCTTCCTTTGGATAGAGCAGTTTGAAACGCTGTGGTTGTAGTATTTCCAAGCGGATATTAGAGCGCCTTGAGGCCTATGGTAGAAAAGGAAATATCTTCCCATAAAACCTAGACGGAAGCAATCTCAGAAACTACTGTGTGATGGCTGCATTCCACACACACGGTGGAACATTTCTCTTGATAGAGCAGTTTTGAAACACTCTTTCTGTAGAATCTGCAAGTGGATAATTGGACCGCCTTGAGGCCTTCGTTGGAAACGGGATTTCTTCATGTTACTCTAGACAGAAGAATTCTCAAACACTGCTGTGTGATGTTTGCATGCAAGTCACAGAGTGCAACATTCCTCTTGATAGAGCAGTTGGGAAACACTCCTTTTGTAGAATTTGCAATGGGATATTTGGACTTCTTTGAGGCCTTCGTTGGAAACGGGATTTCTTCGTATGAATCTAGACAGAAGAATTCTCAGAAACTTCCTTGTGATGTGTGCATTCAACTCAGCGAGTGGCACCTTCCTTTGGATACAGCAGTTGTGAAACACTGTTTTTGTAGTATTTCCAAGCGGATATTTAGAGCGCCTTGAAGCCTATGCTAGAAATGGAAATATCTCCCCATAAAACCAAGATGGAAGCCATCTCAGAAACTAATGTGTGATGGCTGCATTCCACACACACGGTGGACCATTTCTCTTGATAGAGCAGTTTTGAAACACTCTTTCTGTAGAATCTGCAAGTGGATAATTGGACCTCCTAGAGGCCTTCGTTGGAAACGGGATTTCTTCATCTAAACCTACAGAGAAGAATTCTCAGTAACTTCTTCGGATGTGTGCATTCGACTCACAGAATGGAACATTCCCTTTGATAGAGCAGTTTTGAGACACCGTTTTTGTAGAATTCCCAAGTGGATATATAGAGCACTTTGAAGTCTCTGCTAGAAAAGGAAACATCTTCATGTAAAAAGTAGATAGAATCGTTCTCAGAAAGTGCTTAGTGACGTGTGTGTTCAACTCACAGAGTTTAACGTTTCTTTTGATAGAGCGTTTCTGAAACACCCTTCTTGTAGTAGCTGCAAGTGGATATTTGGACCTATTTGAGGCCTTCTTTGGAAACGGGATTTCTTCATGTAACTCTAGATTGAAGAATTTTCAGAAACTCCTTTGTGATGTGTGCATTCAATTCAAAGAGTGAAACCTCCCTTTTCACAGAGCAGTTTTGAAACACTGTTTTTGTAGGACTTCCAAGGGGATATTTATAGCGCATTGATCCTATGGCAGAAAAAGAAACATCTTCCTATAAAAACTAGACAGAATAATTCTCAGAATCTGCTTTGCGATGTGTGCGTTCAACCCACAGAGTAAAACTTTTCTTTTGATAGAGCAGTTTTGAAACACTCTTTTTGTAGTATTTGCATGTGTATATTTAGAGCGCATTGAAGCCCACAGTAGAAAAGGAAATAACTTCACCTAAAACCTAGACAGAAGCAATCTCAGAAACTACTTTGTGATGTGTACATTCAACTCACAGAGTGGAACTTTCCTCTTTATAGAGCAGTGTTGAAACACTCTTTTTGTAGAAACTGCAAGTGGATATTTGGACCTCTTTGAGGCCTTCGTTGGAAACGGGATTTCTTCCTATAACCCTAGACAGAAGAATTTTCAGAAACCTCATTGTGATGTGTGCGTTCATCTCACAGAGTGGAGTCTTCCGTTTGATAGAGAAGCTTTGAAACCCTGTTCTTGTAGGATTTCCAAGTGGATATTTAGACCACTTTGAAGCCTATGATAGAAAAGGAAACATCTTCATGGAAAACATAGATAGAATCATTCTCAGAAACAACTTTGTGATGTGTGCGTTGAACTCACCGTCTTTAACCTTTCTTTTGGTAGAGAAGTTTTGAAACACTCTCTTTGTAAAGTCTACAAGTGGATATTTTGAGCCCTTGGAGGCATTCTTTGGAAAAGGGAATGTCTTCACATAAAAGGCAGACAGAAGTGTTCTCAGAAACTGCTTTGTGATGTCTGTGTTCAACTCACAGAGTTTAACATTTCCTTTGAGAGAGCGGTTTAGTAACACTCTCTTTGTAGAATTTGAAAGTGTATACTAAGAGCGCTTTGAGGCCTATGGTAGAAAAGGAATTATCTTTCCATAAAAGCTAGACAGAAGCAATCTCAGAAACTCCTTTGTGATGTCTGCATTCAACTCACCGAGTGGAACATTCCCTTGATAGAGCAGTTTGGAAACACTCTTTCTGTAGAATCAGCTTGTTTATATTTGGACCTCCTTGAGGCCTTCGTTGGAAACGGGTTTTCATCTTATAAACCCAGACAGAAGAATTCTCAGAGTCTTCTTTGTGATGTGTGCTTTCAACTCACCGAGATAAAGATTTCTCTTGATAGAGCAATTTGGAAACACTCTTTTTGTAGAATTTGCAAGGGTACATTGAGAGCGCTTTCAGGCCTATGGTAGAAAAGGGAATATCTTTCCATAAAAGGTAGACAGAAGCAATCTCAGAAACTACTTTGTGATGTGTGCATTCAACTCCCCGAGTGCAACATTCCTCTTGATAGAGCAGTTTGGAAACATTGTTTCTGTAGAATCTGCAAGTGGATATATGGACCGCTTTGAGGCCTTCGTTGGAAACGGGATTTCTTCCTATAAACCCAGACAGAAGAATTCTCAGAGACTTCTTTGTGATGTGTGAATTCAACTCACAGTGTGGATCCTTCCTTTTGATAGAGCAGTTTTGAAACACTGTTTTTGTAGTATTTCCAAGCGGATATTTGGAACGCCTTGAAGCGTATGGTAGAAAAGGAAATATCTTCCCATAAAACCTAGACAGAACCCATCTCAGAAACGACTTTGTGATGTCTGCATTCAACTCACAGAGTTGAACATTTCTCTTGATAGAGCAGTTTTGAAACCCTCTTTCTGAAGGATCTGCAAGTGGATATTTGGAACTCCTTTGGGTCTTCGTTGGAAACGGGATTTCTTCGTATAAATCTAGACAGAAGAATTCTCCGAAACTTCTTTGGTTGTGTGCATTCAAGTCACAGAGTGGAACCTTCCTTTGGATAGAGCAGTTTGAAACGCTGTGGTTGTAGTATTTCCAAGCGGATATTAGAGCGCCTTGAGGCCTATGGTAGAAAAGGAAATATCTTCCCATAAAACCTAGACGGAAGCAATCTCAGAAACTACTGTGTGATGGCTGCATTCCACACACACGGTGGAACATTTCTCTTGATAGAGCAGTTTTGAAACACTCTTTCTGTAGAATCTGCAAGTGGATAATTGGACCGCCTTGAGGCCTTCGTTGGAAACGGGATTTCTTCATGTTACTCTAGACAGAAGAATTCTCAAACACTGCTATGTGATGTTTGCATGCAAGTCACAGAGTGCAACATTCCTCTTGATAGAGCAGTTGGGAAACACTCCTTTTGTAGAATTTGCAATGGGATATTTGGACTTCTTTGAGGCCTTCGTTGGAAACGGGATTTCTTCGTATGAATCTAGACAGAAGAATTCTCAGAAACTTCCTTGTGATGTGTGCATTCAACTCAGCGAGTGGCACCTTCCTTTGGATACAGCAGTTTTGAAACACTGTTTTTGTAGTATTTCCAAGCGGATATTTAGAGCGCCTTGAAGCCTATGCTAGAAATGGAAATATCTCCCCATAAAACCAAGACAGAAGCAATCTCAGAAACTAATGTGTGATGGCTGCATTCCACACACACGGTGGACCATTTCTCTTGATAGAGCAGTTTTGAAACACTCTTTCTGTAGAATCTGCAAGTGGATAATTGGACCTCCTAGAGGCCTTCGTTGGAAACGGGATTTCTTCATCTAAACCTACAGAGAAGAATTCTCAGTAACTTCTTCGGATGTGTGCATTCGACTCACAGAATGGAACATTCCCTTTGGTAGAGCAGTTTTGAGACACCGTTTTTGTAGAATTCCCAAGTGGATATTTAGAGCACTTTGAAGTCTCTGCTAGAAAAGGAAACATCTTCATGTAAAAAGTAGATAGAATCGTTCTCAGAAAGTGCTTAGTGACGTGTGCGTTCAACTCACAGAGTTTAACGTTTCTTTTGATAGAGCGTTTCTGAAACACCCTTCTTGTAGTAGCTGCAAGTGGATATTTGGACCTATTTGAGGCCTTCTTTGGAAACGGGATTTCTTCATGTAACTCTAGATTGAAGAATTTTCAGAAACTCCTTTGTGATGTGTGCATTCAATTCAAAGAGTGAAACGTCCCTTTTCACAGAGCAGTTTTGAAACACTGTTTTTGTAGGATTTCCAAGGGGATATTTATAGCGCATTGATACCTATGGCAGAAAAAGAAACATCTTCCTATAAAAACTAGACAGAATAATTCTCAGAATCTGCTTTGCGATGTGTGCGTTCAACTCACAGAGTAAAACTTTTCTTTTGATAGAGCAGTTTTGAAACACTCTTTTTGTAGTATTTGCATGTGTATATTTAGAGCGCATTGAAGCCCACAGTAGAAAAGGAAATAACTTCACCTAAAACCTAGACAGAAGCAATCTCAGAAACTACTTTGTGATGTGTACATTCAACTCACAGAGTGGAACTTTTCTCTTTATAGAGCAGTGTTGAAACACTCTTTTTGTAGAAACTGCAAGTGGATATTTGGACCTCTTTGAGGCCTTCGTTGGAAACGGGATTTCTTCCTATAACCCTAGACAGAAGAATTTTCAGAAACCTCATTGTGATGTGTGCGTTCATCTCACAGAGTGGAGTCTTCCGTTTGATAGAGAAGTTTTGAAACCCTGTTCTTGTAGGATTTCCAAGTGGATATTTAGACCACTTTGAAGCCTATGATAGAAAAGGAAACATCTTCATGGAAAACATAGATAGAATCATTCTCAGAAACAACTTTGTGATGTGTGCGTTGAACTCACCGTCTTTAACCTTTCTTTTGGTAGAGAAGTTTTGAAACACTCTCTTTGTAAAGTCTACAAGTGGATATTTTGAGCCCTTGGAGGCATTCTTTGGAAAAGGGAATGTCTTCACATAAAAGGCAGACAGAAGTGTTCTCAGAAACTGCTTTGTGATGTCTGTGTTCAACTCACAGAGTTTAACATTTCCTTTGAGAGAGCGGTTTAGTAACACTCTCTTTGTAGAATTTGGAAGTGTATACTAAGAGCGCTTTGAGGCCTATGGTAGAAAAGGAAATATCTTCCATAAAAGCTAGACAGAAGCAATCTCAGAAACTCCTTTGTGATGTCTGCATTCAACTCACCGAGTGGAACATTCCTCTTGATAGAGCAGTTTGGAAACACTCTTTCTGTAGAATCAGCTTGTTTGTATTTGGACCTCCTTGAGGCCTTCGTTGGAAACGGGTTTTCATCTTATAAACCCAGACAGAAGAATTCTCAGAGTCTTCTTTGTGATGTGTGCTTTCAACTCACCGAGATAAAGATTTCTCTTGATAGAGCAATTTGGAAACACTCTTTTTGTAGAATTTGCAAGGGTACATTGAGAGCGCTTTCAGTCCTATGGTAGAAAAGGGAATATCTTTCCATAAAATGTAGACAGAAGCAATCTCAGAAACTACTTTGTGATGTGTGCATTCAACTCACCGAGTGCAACATTCCTCTTGACCGAGCAGTTTGGAAACATTGTTTCTGTAGAATCTGCAAGTGGATATATGGACCGCTTTGAGGCCTTCGTTGGAAACGGGATTTCTTCCTATAAACCCAGACAGAAGAATTCTCAGAGATTTCTTTGTGATGTGTGAATTCAACTCACAGTGTGGATCCTTCCTTTTGATAGAGCAGTTTTGAAACACTGTTTTTGTAGTATTTCCAAGCAGATATTTGGAACGCCTTGAAGCGTATGCTAGAAAAGGAAATAACTTCCCATAAAACCTAGACAGAACCCATCTCAGAAACGACTTTGTGATGTCTGCATTCAACTCACAGAGTTGAACATTTCTCTTGATAGAGCAGTTTTGAAACCCTCTTTCTGAAGGATCTGCAAGTGGATATTTGGAACTCCTTTGGGTCTTCGTTGGAAACGGGATTTCTTCGTATAAATCCAGACAGAAGAATTCTCCGAAACTTCTTTGGTTGTGTGCATTCAAGTCACAGAGTGGAACCTTCCTTTGGATAGAGCAGTTTGAAACGCTGTGGTTGTAGTATTTCCAAGCGGATATTAGAGCGCCTTGAAGCCTATGGTAGAAAAGGAAATATCTTCCCATAAAACCTAGACGGAAGCAATCTCAGAAACTACTGTGTGATGGCTGCATTCCACACACACGGTGGAACATTTCTCTTGATAGAGCAGTTTTGAAACACTCTTTCTGTAGAATCTGCAAGTGGATAATTGGACCGCCTTGAGGCCTTCGTTGGAAACGGGATTTCTTCATGTTACTCTAGACAGAAGAATTCTCAAACACTGCTATGTGATGTTTGCATTCAAGTCACAGAGTGCAACATTCCTCTTGATAGAGCAGTTGGGAAACACTCCTTTTGTAGAATTTGCAATGGGATATTTGGACTTCTTTGAGGCCTTCGTTGGAAACGGGATTTCTTCGTATGAATCTAGACAGAAGAATTCTCAGAAACTTCCTTGTGATGTGTGCATTCAACTCAGCGAGTGGCACCTTCCTTTGGATACAGCAGTTTTGAAACACTGTTTTTGTAGTATTTCCAAGCGGATATTTAGAGCGCCTTGAAGCCTATGCTAGAAATGGAAATATCTCCCCATAAAACCAAGACAGAAGCAATCTCAGAAACTAATGTGTGATGGCTGCATTCCACACACACGGTGGACCATTTCTCTTGATAGAGCAGTTTTGAAACACTCTTTCTGTAGAATCTGCAAGTGGATAATTGGACCTCCTAGAGGCCTTCGTTGGAAACGGGATTTCTTCATCTAAACCTACAGAGAAGAATTCTCAGTAACTTCTTCGGATGTGTGCATTCGACTCACAGAATGGAACATTCCCTTTGATAGAGCAGTTTTGAGACACCGTTTTTGTAGAATTCCCAAGTGGATATTTAGAGCACTTTGAAGTCTCTGCTAGAAAAGGAAACATCTTCATGTAAAAAGTAGATAGAATCGTTCTCAGAAAGTGCTTAGTGACGTGTGTGTTCAACTCACAGAGTTTAACGTTTCTTTTGATAGAGCGTTTCTGAAACACCCTTCTTGTAGTAGCTGCAAGTGGATATTTGGACCTATTTGAGGCCTTCTTTGGAAACGGGATTTCTTCATGTAACACTAGATTGAAGAATTTTCAGAAACTCCTTTGTGATGTGTGCATTCAATTCAAAGAGTGAAACCTCCATTTTCACAGAGCAGTTTTGAAACACTGTTTTTGTAGGATTTCCAAGGGGATATTTATAGCGCATTGATCCTATGGCAGAAAAAGAAACATCTTCCTATAAAAACTAGACAGAATAATTCTCAGAATCTGCTTTGCGATGTGTGCGTTCAACTCACAGAGTAAAACTTTTCTTTTGATAGAGCAGTTTTGAAACACTCTTTTTGTAGTATTTGCATGTGTATATTTAGAGCGCATTGAAGCCCACAGTAGAAAAGGAAATAACTTCACCTAAAACCTAGACAGAAGCAATCTCAGAAACTACTTTGTGATGTGTACATTCAACTCACAGAGTGGAACTTTCCTCTTTATAGAGCAGTGTTGAAACACTCTTTTTGTAGAAACTGCAAGTGGATATTTGGACCTCTTTGAGGCCTTCGTTGGAAACGGGATTTCTTCCTATAACCCTAGACAGAAGAATTTTCAGAAACCTCATTGTGATGTGTGCGTTCATCTCACAGAGTGGAGTCTTCCGTTTGATAGAGAAGTTTTGAAACCCTGTTCTTGTAGGATTTCCAAGTGGATATTTAGACCACTTTGAAGCCTATGATAGAAAAGGAAACATCTTCATGGAAAACATAGATAGAATCATTCTCAGAAACAACTTTGTGATGTGTGCGTTGAACTCACCGTCTTTAACCTTTCTTTTGGTAGAGAAGTTTTGAAACACTCTCTTTGTAAAGTCTACAAGTGGATATTTTGAGCCCTTGGAGGCATTCTTTGGAAAAGGGAATGTCTTCACATAAAAGGCAGACAGAAGTGTTCTCAGAAACTGCTTTGTGATGTCTGTGTTCAACTCACAGAGTTTAACATTTCCTTTGAGAGAGCGGTTTAGTAACACTCTCTTTGTAGAATTTGGAAGTGTATACTAAGAGCGCTTTGAGGCCTATGGTAGAAAAGGAAATATCTTTCCATAAAAGCTAGACAGAAGCAATCTCAGAAACTCCTTTGTGATGTCTGCATTCAACTCACCGAGTGGAACATTCCTCTTGATAGAGCAGTTTGGAAACACTCTTTCTGTAGAATCAGCTTGTTTGTATTTGGACCTCCTTGAGGCCTTCGTTGGAAACGGGTTTTCATCTTATAAACCCAGACAGAAGAATTCTCAGAGTCTTCTTTGTGATGTGTGCTTTCAACTCACCGAGATAAAGATTTCTCTTGATAGAGCAATTTGGAAACACTCTTTTTGTAGAATTTGCAAGGGTACATTGAGAGCGCTTTCAGTCCTACGGTAGAAAAGGGAATATCTTTCCATAAAAGGTAGACAGAAGCAATCTCAGAAACTACTTTGTGATGTGTGCATTCAACTCACCGAGTGCAACATTCCTCTTGATAGAGCAGTTTGGAAACATTGTTTCTGTAGAATCTGCAAGTGGATATATGGACCGCTTTGAGGCCTTCGTTGGAAACGGGATTTCTTCCTATAAACCCAGACAGAAGAATTCTCAGAGATTTCTTTGTGATGTGTGAATTCAACTCACAGTGTGGATCCTTCCTTTTGATAGAGCAGTTTTGAAACACTGTTTTTGTAGTATTTCCAAGCGGATATTTGGAACGCCTTGAAGCGTAAGGTAGAAAAGGAAATATCTTCCCATAAAACCTAGACAGAACCCATCTCAGAAACGACTTTGTGATGTCTGCATTCAACTCACAGAGTTGAACATTTCTCTTGATAGAGCAGTTTTGAAACCCTCTTTCTGAAGGAGCTGCAAGTGGATATTTGGAACTCCTTTGGGTCTTCGTTGGAAACGGGATTTCTTCGTATAAATCCAGACAGAAGAATTCTCCGAAACTTCTTTGGTTGTGTGCATTCAAGTCACAGAGTGGAACCTTCCTTTGGATAGAGCAGTTTGAAACGCTGTGGTTGTAGTATTTCCAAGCGGATATTAGAGCGCCTTGAGGCCTATGGTAGAAAAGGAAATATCTTCCCATAAAACCTAGACGGAAGCAATCTCAGAAACTACTGTGTGATGGCTGCATTCCACACACACGGTGGAACATTTCTCTTGATAGAGCAGTTTTGAAACACTCTTTCTGTAGAATCTGCAAGTGGATAATTGGACCGCCTTGAGGCCTTCGTTGGAAACGGGATTTCTTCATGTTACTCTAGACAGAAGAATTCTCAAACACTGCTATGTGATGTTTGCATTCAAGTCACAGAGTGCAACATTCCTCTTGATAGAGCAGTTGGGAAACACTCCTTTTGTAGAATTTGCAATGGGATATTTGGACTTCTTTGAGGCCTTCGTTGGAAACGGGATTTCTTCGTATGAATCTAGACAGAAGAATTCTCAGAAACTTCCTTGTGATGTGTGCATTCAACTCAGCGAGTGGCACCTTCCTTTGGATACAGCAGTTTTGAAACACTGTTTTTGTAGTATTTCCAAGCGGATATTTAGAGCGCCTTGAAGCCTATGCTAGAAATGGAAATATCTCCCCATAAAACCAAGACAGAAGCAATCTCAGAAACTAATGTGTGATGGCTGCATTCCACACACACGGTGGACCATTTCTCTTGATAGAGCAGTTTTGAAACACTCTTTCTGTAGAATCTGCAAGTGGATAATTGGACCTCCTAGAGGCCTTCGTTGGAAACGGGATTTCTTCATCTAAACCTACAGAGAAGAATTCTCAGTAACTTCTTCGGATGTGTGCATTCGACTCACAGAATGGAACATTCCCTTTGGTAGAGCAGTTTTGAGACACCGTTTTTGTAGAATTCCCAAGTGGATATTTAGAGCACTTTGAAGTCTCTGCTAGAAAAGGAAACATCTTCATGTAAAAAGTAGATAGAATCGTTCTCAGAAAGTGCTTAGTGACGTGTGCGTTCAACTCACAGAGTTTAACGTTTCTTTTGATAGAGCGTTTCTGAAACACCCTTCTTGTAGTAGCTGCAAGTGGATATTTGGACCTATTTGAGGCCTTCTTTGGAAACGGGATTTCTTCATGTAACTCTAGATTGAAGAATTTTCAGAAACTCCTTTGTGATGTGTGCATTCAATTCAAAGAGTGAAACCTCCCTTTTCACAGAGCAGTTTTGAAACACTGTTTTTGTAGGATTTCCAAGGGGATATTTATAGCGCATTGAGCCTATGGCAGAAAAAGAAACATCTTCCTATAAAAACTAGACAGAATAATTCTCAGAATCTGCTTTGCGATGTGTGCGTTCAACCCACAGAGTAAAACTTTTCTTTTGATAGAGCAGTTTTGAAACACTCTTTTTGTAGTATTTGCATGTGTATATTTAGAGCGCATTGAAGCCCACAGTAGAAAAGGAAATAACTTCACCTAAAACCTAGACAGAAGCAATCTCAGAAACTACTTTGTGATGTGTACATTCAACTCACAGAGTGGAACTTTTCTCTTTATAGAGCAGTGTTGAAACACTCTTTTTGTAGAAACTGCAAGTGGATATTTGGACCTCTTTGAGGCCTTCGTTGGAAACGGGATTTCTTCCTATAACCCTAGACAGAAGAATTTTCAGAAACCTCATTGTGATGTGTGCGTTCATCTCACAGAGTGGAGTCTTCCGTTTGATAGAGAAGTTTTGAAACCCTGTTCTTGTAGGATTTCCAAGTGGATATTTAGACCACTTTGAAGCCTATGATAGAAAAGGAAACATCTTCATGGAAAACATAGATAGAATCATTCTCAGAAACAACTTTGTGATGTGTGCGTTGAACTCACCGTCTTTAACCTTTCTTTTGGTAGAGAAGTTTTGAAACACTCTCTTTGTAAAGTCTACAAGTGGATATTTTGAGCCCTTGGAGGCATTCTTTGGAAAAGGGAATGTCTTCACATAAAAGGCAGACAGAAGTGTTCTCAGAAACTGCTTTGTGATGTCTGTGTTCAACTCACAGAGTTTAACATTTCCTTTGAGAGAGCAGTTTAGTAACACTCTCTTTGTAGAATTTGGAAGTGTATACTAAGAGCGCTTTGAGGCCTATGGTAGAAAAGGAAATATCTTTCCATAAAAGCTAGACAGAAGCAATCTCAGAAACTCCTTTGTGATGTCTGCATTCAACTCACCGAGTGGAACATTCCTCTTGATAGAGCAGTTTGGAAACACTCTTTCTGTAGAATCAGCTTGTTTGTATTTGGACCTCCTTGAGGCCTTCGTTGGAAACGGGTTTTCATCTTATAAACCCAGACAGAAGAATTCTCAGAGTCTTCTTTGTGATGTGTGCTTTCAACTCACCGAGATAAAGATTTCTCTTGATAGAGCAATTTGGAAACACTCTTTTTGTAGAATTTGCAAGGGTACATTGAGAGCGCTTTCAGGCCTATGGTAGAAAAGGGAATATCTTTCCATAAAAGGTAGACAGAAGCAATCTCAGAAACTACTTTGTGATGTGTGCATTCAACTCACCGAGTGCAACATTCCTCTTGACCGAGCAGTTTGGAAACATTGTTTCTGTAGAATCTGCAAGTGGATATTTGGACCTCTTTGAGGCCTTCGTTGGAAACGGGATTTCTTCCTATAAACCCAGACAGAAGAATTCTCAGAGACTTCTTTGTGATGTGTGAATTCAACTCACAGTGTGGATCCTTCCTTTTGATAGAGCAGTTTTGAAACACTGTTTTTGTAGTATTTCCAAGCGGATATTTGGAACGCCTTGAAGCGTATGGTAGAAAAGGAAATATCTTCCCATAAAACCTAGACAGAACCAATCTCAGAAACGACTTTGTGATGTCTGCATTCAACTCACAGAGTTGAACATTTCTCTTGATAGAGCAGTTTTGAAACCCTCTTTCTGAAGGATCTGCAAGTGGATATTTGGAACTCCTTTGGGTCTTCGTTGGAAACGGGATTTCTTCGTATAAATCTAGACAGAAGAATTCTCCGAAACTTCTTTGGTTGTGTGCATTCAAGTCACAGAGTGGAACCTTCCTTTGGATAGAGCAGTTTGAAACGCTGTGGTTGTAGTATTTCCAAGCGGATATTAGAGCGCCTTGAGGCCTATGGTAGAAAAGGAAATATCTTCCCATAAAACCTAGACGGAAGCAATCTCAGAAACTACTGTGTGATGGCTGCATTCCACACACACGGTGGAACATTTCTCTTGATAGAGCAGTTTTGAAACACTCTTTCTGTAGAATCTGCAAGTGGATAATTGGACCGCCTTGAGGCCTTCGTTGGAAACGGGATTTCTTCATGTTACTCTAGACAGAATAATTCTCAAACACTGCTATAAGATGTTTGCATGCAAGTCACAGAGTGCAACATTCCTCTTGATAGAGCAGTTGGGAAACACTCCTTTTGTAGAATTTGCAATGGGATATTTGGACTTCTTTGAGGCCTTCGTTGGAAACGGGATTTCTTCGTATGAATCTAGACAGAAGAATTCTCAGAAACTTCCTTGTGATGTGTGCATTCAACTCAGCGAGTGGCACCTTCCTTTGGATACAGCAGTTTTGAAACACTGTTTTTGTAGTATTTCCAAGCGGATATTTAGAGCGCCTTGAAGCCTATGCTAGAAATGGAAATATCTCCCCATAAAACCAAGACAGAAGCAATATCAGAAACTAATGTGTGATGGCTGCATTCCACACACACGGTGGACCATTTCTCTTGATAGAGCAGTTTTGAAACACTCTTTCTGTAGAATCTGCAAGTGGATAATTGGACCTCCTAGAGGCCTTCGTTGGAAATGGGATTTCTTCATCTAAACCTACAGAGAAGAATTCTCAGTAACTTCTTCGGATGTGTGCATTCGACTCACAGAATGGAACATTCCCTTTGATAGAGCAGTTTTGAGACACCGTTTTTGTAGAATTCCCAAGTGGATATTTAGAGCACTTTGAAGTCTCTGCTAGAAAAGGAAACATCTTCATGTAAAAAGTAGATAGAATCGTTCTCAGAAAGTGCTTAGTGACGTGTGTGTTCAACTCACAGAGTTTAACGTTTCTTTTGATAGAGCGTTTCTGAAACACCCTTCTTGTAGTAGCTGCAAGTGGATATTTGGACCTATTTGAGGCCTTCTTTGGAAACGGGATTTCTTCATGTAACTCTAGATTGAAGAATTTTCAGAAACTCCTTTGTGATGTGTGCATTCAATTCAAAGAGTGAAACCTCCCTTTTCACAGAGCAGTTTTGAAACACTGTTTTTGTAGGATTTCCAAGGGGATATTTATAGCGCATTGAGCCTATGGCAGAAAAAGAAACATCTTCCTATAAAAACTAGACAGAATAATTCTCAGAATCTGCTTTGCGATGTGTGCGTTCAACTCACAGAGTAAAACTTTTCTTTTGATAGAGCAGTTTTGAAACACTCTTTTTGTAGTATTTGCATGTGTATATTTAGAGTGCATTGAAGCCCACAGTAGAAAAGGAAATAACTTCACCTAAAACCTAGACAGAAGCAATCTCAGAAACTACTTTGTGATGTGTACATTCAACTCACAGAGTGGAACTTTTCTCTTTATAGAGCAGTGTTGAAACACTCTTTTTGTAGAAACTGCAAGTGGATATTTGGACCTCTTTGAGGCCTTCGTTGGAAACGGGATTTCTTCCTATAACCCTAGACAGAAGAATTTTCAGAAACCTCATTGTGATGTGTGCGTTCATCTCACAGAGTGGAGTCTTCCGTTTGATAGAGAAGTTTTGAAACCCTGTTCTTGTAGGATTTCCAAGTGGATATTTAGACCACTTTGAAGCCTATGATAGAAAAGGAAACATCTTCATGGAAAACATAGATAGAATCATTCTCAGAAACAACTTTGTGATGTGTGCGTTGAACTCACCGTCTTTAACCTTTCTTTTGGTAGAGAAGTTTTGAAACACTCTCTTTGTAAAGTCTACAAGTGGATATTTTGAGCCCTTGGAGGCATTCTTTGGAAAAGGGAATGTCTTCACATAAAAGGCAGACAGAAGTGTTCTCAGAAACTGCTTTGTGATGTCTGTGTTCAACTCACAGAGTTTAACATTTCCTTTGAGAGAGCGGTTTAGTAACACTCTCTTTGTAGAATTTGGAAGTGTATACTAAGAGCGCTTTGAGGCCTATGGTAGAAAAGGAAATATCTTTCCATAAAAGCTAGACAGGAGCAATCTCAGAAACACCTTTGTGATGTCTGCATTCAACTCACCGAGTGGAACATTCCTCTTGATAGAGCTGTTTGGAAACACTCTTTCTGTAGAATCAGCTTGTTTGTATTTGGACCTCCTTGAGGCCTTCGTTGGAAACGGGTTTTCATCTTATAAACCCAGACAGAAGAATTCTCAGAGTCTTCTTTGTGATGTGTGCTTTCAACTCACCGAGATAAAGATTTCTCTTGATAGAGCAATTTGGAAACACTCTTTTTGTAGAATTTGCAAGGGTACATTGAGAGCGCTTTCAGGCCTATGGTAGAAAAGGGAATATCTTTCCATAAAAGGTAGACAGAAGCAATCTCAGAAACTACTTTGTCATGTGTGCATTCAACTCACCGAGTGCAACATTCCTCTTGACCGAGCAGTTTGGAAACATTGTTTCTGTAGAATCTGCAAGTGGATATATGGACCGCTTTGAGGCCTTCGTTGGAAACGGGATTTCTTCCTATAAACCCAGACAGAAGAATTCTCAGACATTTCTTTGTGATGTGTGAATTCAACTCACAGTGTGGATCCTTCCTTTTGATAGAGCAGTTTTGAAACACTGTTTTTGTAGTATTTCCAAGCAGATATTTGGAACGCCTTGAAGCGTATAGTAGAAAAGGAAATATCTTCCCATAAAACCTAGACAGAACCAATCTCAGAAACGACTTTGTGATGTCTGCATTCAACTCACAGAGTTGAACATTTCTCTTGATAGAGCAGTTTTGAAACCCTCTTTCTGAAGGATCTGCAAGTGGATATTTGGAACTCCTTTGGGTCTTCGTTGGAAACGGGATTTCTTCGTATAAATCTAGACAGAAGAATTCTCCGAAACTTCTTTGGTTGTGTGCATTCAAGTCACAGAGTGGAACCTTCCTTTGGATAGAGCAGTTTGAAACGCTGTGGTTGTAGTATTTCCAAGCGGATATTAGAGCGCCTTGAGGCCTATGGTAGAAAAGGAAATATCTTCCCATAAAACCTAGACGGAAGCAATCTCAGAAACTACTGTGTGATGGCTGCATTCCACACACACGGTGGAACATTTCTCTTGATAGAGCAGTTTTGAAACACTCTTTCTGTAGAATCTGCAAGTGGATAATTGGACCGCCTTGAGGCCTTCGTTGGAAACGGGATTTCTTCATGTTACTCTAGACAGAAGAATTCTCAAACACTGCTATGTGATGTTTGCATGCAAGTCACAGAGTGCAACATTCCTCTTGATAGAGCAGTTGGGAAACACTCCTTTTGTAGAATTTGCAATGGGATATTTGGACTTCTTTGAGGCCTTCGTTGGAAACGGGATTTCTTCGTATGAATCTAGACAGAAGAATTCTCAGAAACTTCCTTGTGATGTGTGCATTCAACTCAGCGAGTGGCACCTTCCTTTGGATACAGCAGTTTTGAAACACTGTTTTTGTAGTATTTCCAAGCGGATATTTAGAGCGCCTTGAAGCCTATGCTAGAAATGGAAATATCTCCCCATAAAACCAAGACAGAAGCAATCTCAGAAACTAATGTGTGATGGCTGCATTCCACACACACGGTGGACCATTTCTCTTGATAGAGCAGTTTTGAAACACTCTTTCTGTAGAATCTGCAAGTGGATAATTGGACCTCCTAGAGGCCTTCGTTGGAAACGGGATTTCTTCATCTAAACCTACAGAGAAGAATTCTCAGTAACTTCTTCGGATGTGTGCATTCGACTCACAGAATGGAACATTCCCTTTGGTAGAGCAGTTTTGAGACACCGTTTTTGTAGAATTCCCAAGTGGATATTTAGAGCACTTTGAAGTCTCTGCTAGAAAAGGAAACATCTTCATGTAAAAAGTAGATAGAATCGTTCTCAGTAAAGTGCTTAGTGACGTGTGTGTTCAACTCACAGAGTTTAACGTTTCTTTTGATAGAGCGTTTCTGAAACACCCTGCTTGTAGTAGCTGCAAGTGGATATTTGGACCTATTTGAGGCCTTCTTTGGAAACGGGATTTCTTCATGTAACTCTAGATTGAAGAATTTTCAGAAACTCCTTTGTGATGTGTGCATTCAATTCAAAGAGTGAAACCTCCCTTTTCACAGAGCAGTTTTGAAACACTGTTTTTGTAGGATTTCCAAGGGGATATTTATAGCGCATTGAGCCTATGGCAGAAAAAGAAACATCTTCCTATAAAAACTAGACAGAATAATTCTCAGAATCTGCTTTGCGATGTGTGCGTTCATCTCACAGAGTAAAACTTTTCTTTTGATAGAGCAGTTTTGAAACACTCTTTTTGTAGTATTTGCATGTGTATATTTAGAGCGCATTGAAGCACACAGTAGAAAAGGAAATAACTTCACCTAAAACCTAGACAGAAGCAATCTCAGAAACTACTTTGTGATGTGTACATTCAACTCACAGAGTGGAACTTTCCTCTTTATAGAGCAGTGTTGAAACACTCTTTTTGTAGAAACTGCAAGTGGATATTTGGACCTCTTTGAGGCCTTCGTTGGAAACGGGATTTCTTCCTATAACCCTAGACAGAAGAATTTTCAGAAACCTCATTGTGATGTGTGCGTTCATCTCACAGAGTGGAGTCTTCCGTTTGATAGAGAAGTTTTGAAACCCTGTTCTTGTAGGATTTCCAAGTGGATATTTAGACCACTTTGAAGCCTATGATAGAAAAGGAAACATCTTCATGGAAAACATAGATAGAATCATTCTCAGAAACAACTTTGTGATGTGTGCGTTGAACTCACCGTCTTTAACCTTTCTTTTGGTAGAGAAGTTTTGAAACACTCTCTTTGTAAAGTCTACAAGTGGATATTTTGAGCCCTTGGAGGCATTCTTTGGAAAAGGGAATGTCTTCACATAAAAGGCAGACAGAAGTGTTCTCAGAAACTGCTTTGTGATGTCTGTGTTCAACTCACAGAGTTTAACATTTCCTTTGAGAGAGCGGTTTAGTAACACTCTCTTTGTAGAATTTGGAAGTGTATACTAAGAGCGCTTTGAGGCCTATGGTAGAAAAGGAAATATCTTTCCATAAAAGCTAGACAGAAGCAATCTCAGAAACTCCTTTGTGATGTCTGCATTCAACTCACCGAGTGGAACATTCCTCTTGATAGAGCAGTTTGGAAACACTCTTTCTGTAGAATCAGCTTGTTTGTATTTGGACCTCCTTGAGGCCTTCGTTGGAAACGGGTTTTCATCTTATAAACCCAGACAGAAGAATTCTCAGAGTCTTCTTTGTGATGTGTGCTTTCAACTCACCGAGATAAAGATTTCTCTTGATAGAGCAATTTGGAAACACTCTTTTTGTAGAATTTGAAAGGGTACATTGAGAGCGCTTTCAGGCCTATGGTAGAAAAGGGAATATCTTTCCATCAAAGGTAGACAGAAGCAATCTCAGAAACTACTTTGTGATGTGTGCATTCAACTCACCGAGTGCAACATTCCTCTTGACTGAGCAGTTTGGAAACATTGTTTCTGTAGAATCTGCAAGTGGATATTTGGACCTCTTTGAGGCCTTCGTTGGAAACGGGATTTCTTCCTATAAACCCAGACAGAAGAATTCTCAGAGACTTCTTTGTGATGTGTGAATTCAACTCACAGTGTGGATCCTTCCTTTTGATAGAGCAGTTTCGAAACACTGTTTTTGTAGTATTTCCAAGCGGATATTTGGAACGCCTTGAAGCGTGTGGTAGAAAAGGAAATATCTTCCCATAAAACCTAGACAGAACCAATCTCAGAAACGACTTTGTGATGTCTGCATTCAACTCACAGAGTTGAACATTTCTCTTGATAGAGCAGTTTTGAAACCCTCTTTCTGAAGGATCTGCAAGTGGATATTTGGAACTCCTTTGGGTCTTCGTTGGAAACGGGATTTCTTCGTATAAATCTAGACAGAAGAATTCTCCGAAACTTCTTTGGTTGTGTGCATTCAAGTCACAGAGTGGAACCTTCCTTTGGATAGAGCAGTTTGAAACGCTGTGGTTGTAGTATTTCCAAGCGGATATTAGAGCGCCTTGAGGCCTATGGTAGAAAAGGAAATATCTTCCCATAAAACCTAGACGGAAGCAATCTCAGAAACTACTGTGTGATGGCTGCATTCCACACACACGGTGGAACATTTCTCTTGATAGAGCAGTTTTGAAACACTCTTTCTGTAGAATCTGCAAGTGGATAATTGGACCGCCTTGAGGCCTTCGTTGGAAACGGGATTTCTTCATGTTACTCTAGACAGAAGAATTCTCAAACACTGCTATGTGATGTTTGCATTCAAGTCACAGAGTGCAACATTCCTCTTGATAGAGCAGTTGGGAAACACTCCTTTTGTAGAATTTGCAATGGGATATTTGGACTTCTTTGAGGCCTTCGTTGGAAACGGGATTTCTTCGTATGAATCTAGACAGAAGAATTCTCAGAAACTTCCTTGTGATGTGTGCATTCAACTCAGCGAGTGGCACCTTCCTTTGGATACAGCAGTTTTGAAACACTGTTTTTGTAGTATTTCCAAGCGGATATTTAGAGCGCCTTGAAGCCTATGCTAGAAATGGAAATATCTCCCCATAAAACCAAGACAGAAGCAATCTCAGAAACTAATGTGTGATGGCTGCATTCCACACACACGGTGGACCATTTCTCTTGATAGAGCAGTTTTGAAACACTCTTTCTGTAGAATCTGCAAGTGGATAATTGGACCTCCTAGAGGCCTTCGTTGGAAACGGGATTTCTTCATCTAAACCTACAGAGAAGAATTCTCAGTAACTTCTTCGGATGTGTGCATTCGACTCACAGAATGGAACATTCCCTTTGATAGAGCAGTTTTGAGACACCGTTTTTGTAGAATTCCCAAGTGGATATTTAGAGCACTTTGAAGTCTCTGCTAGAAAAGGAAACATCTTCATGTAAAAAGTAGATAGAATCGTTCTCAGAAAGTGCTTAGTGACGTGTGCGTTCAACTCACAGAGTTTAACGTTTCTTTTGATAGAGCGTTTCTGAAACACCCTTCTTGTAGTAGCTGCAAGTGGATATTTGGACCTATTTGAGGCCTTCTTTGGAAACGGGATTTCTTCATGTAACTCTAGATTGAAGAATTTTCAGAAACTCCTTTGTGATGTGTGCATTCAATTCAAAGAGTGAAACCTCCCTTTTCACAGAGCAGTTTTGAAACACTGTTTTTGTAGGACTTCCAAGGGGATATTTATAGCGCATTGATCCTATGGCAGAAAAAGAAACATCTTCCTATAAAAACTAGACAGAATAATTCTCAGAATCTGCTTTGCGATGTGTGCGTTCAACCCACAGAGTAAAACTTTTCTTTTGATAGAGCAGTTTTGAAACACTCTTTTTGTAGTATTTGCATGTGTATATTTAGAGCGCATTGAAGCCCAAAGTAGAAAAGGAAATAACTTCACCTAAAACCTAGACAGAAGCAATCTCAGAAACTACTTTGTGATGTGTACATTCAACTCACAGAGTGGAACTTTCCTCTTTATAGAGCAGTGTTGAAACACTCTTTTTGTAGAAACTGCAAGTGGATATTTGGACCTCTTTGAGGCCTTCGTTGGAAACGGGATTTCTTCCTATAACCCTAGACAGAAGAATTTTCAGAAACCTCATTGTGATGTGTGCGTTCATCTCACAGAGTGGAGTCTTCCGTTTGATAGAGAAGTTTTGAAACCCTGTTCTTGTAGGATTTCCAAGTGGATATTTAGACCACTTTGAAGCCTATGATAGAAAAGGAAACATCTTCATGGAAAACATAGATAGAATCATTCTCAGAAACAACTTTGTGATGTGTGCGTTGAACTCACCGTCTTTAACCTTTCTTTTGGTAGAGAAGTTTTGAAACACTCTCTTTGTAAAGTCTACAAGTGGATATTTTGAGCCCTTGGAGGCATTCTTTGGAAAAGGGAATGTCTTCACATAAAAGGCAGACAGAAGTGTTCTCAGAAACTGCTTTGTGATGTCTGTGTTCAACTCACAGAGTTTAACATTTCCTTTGAGAGAGCGGTTTAGTAACACTCTCTTTGTAGAATTTGGAAGTGTATACTAAGAGCGCTTTGAGGCCTATGGTAGAAAAGGAAATATCTTTCCATAAAAGCTAGACAGAAGCAATCTCAGAAACTCCTTTGTGATGTCTGCATTCAACTCACCGAGTGGAACATTCCTCTTGATAGAGCAGTTTGGAAACACTCTTTCTGTAGAATCAGCTTGTTTGTATTTGGACCTCCTTGAGGCCTTCGTTGGAAACGGGTTTTCATCTTATAAACCCAGACAGAAGAATTCTCAGAGTCTTCTTTGTGATGTGTGCTTTCAACTCACCGAGATAAAGATTTCTCTTGATAGAGCAATTTGGAAACACTCTTTTTGTAGAATTTGCAAGGGTACATTGAGAGCGCTTTCAGGCCTATGGTAGAAAAGGGAATATCTTTCCATAAAAGGTAGACAGAAGCAATCTCAGAAACTACTTTGTGATGTGTGCATTCAACTCACCGAGTGCAACATTCCTCTTGATAGAGCAGTTTGGAAACATTGTTTCTGTAGAATCTGCAAGTGGATATATGGACCGCTTTGAGGCCTTCGTTGGAAACGGGATTTCTTCCTATAAACCCAGACAGAAGAATTCTCAGAGATTTCTTTGTGATGTGTGAATTCAACTCACAGTGTGGATCCTTCCTTTTGATAGAGCAGTTTTGAAACACTGTTTTTGTAGTATTTCCAAGCGGATATTTGGAAAGCCTTGAAGCGTATGGTAGAAAAGGAAATATCTTCCCATAAAACCTAGACAGAACCCATCTCAGAAACGACTTTGTGATGTCTGCATTCAACTCACAGAGTTGAACATTTCTCTTGATAGAGCAGTTTTGAAACCCTCTTTCTGAAGGATCTGCAAGTGGATATTTGGAACTCCTTTGGGTCTTCGTTGGAAACGGGATTTCTTCGTATAAATCCAGACAGAAGAATTCTCCGAAACTTCTTTGGTTGTGTGCATTCAAGTCACAGAGTGGAACCTTCCTTTGGATAGAGCAGTTTGAAACGCTGTGGTTGTAGTATTTCCAAGCGGATATTAGAGCGCCTTGAAGCCTATGGTAGAAAAGGAAATATCTTCCCATAAAACCTAGACGGAAGCAATCTCAGAAACTACTTTGTGATGGCTGCATTCCACACACACGGTGGAACATTTCTCTTGATAGAGCAGTTTTGAAACACTCTTTCTGTAGAATCTGCAAGTGGGTAATTGGACCGCCTTGAGGCCTTCGTTGGAAACGGGATTTCTTCATGTTACTCTAGACAGAAGAATTCTCAAACACTGCTATGTGATGTTTGCATTCAAGTCACAGAGTGCAACATTCCTCTTGATAGAGCAGTTGGGAAACACTCCTTTTGTAGAATTTGCAATGGGATATTTGGACTTCTTTGATGCCTTCGTTGGAAACGGGATTTCTTCGTATGAATCTAGACAGAAGAATTCTCAGAAACTTCCTTGTGATGTGTGCATTCAACTCAGCGAGTGGCACCTTCCTTTGGATACAGCAGTTTTGAAACACTATTTTTGTACTATTTCCAAGCGGATATTTAGAGCGCCTTGAAGCCTATGTTAGAAATGGAAATATCTCCCCATAAAACCAAGACAGAAGCAATCTCAGAAACTAATGTGTGATGGCTGCATTCCACACACACGGTGGACCATTTCTCTTGATAGAGCAGTTTTGAAACACTCTTTCTGTAGAATCTGCAAGTGGATAATTGGACCTCCTAGAGGCCTTCGTTGGAAACGGGATTTCTTCATCTAAACCTACAGAGAAGAATTCTCAGTAACTTCTTCGGATGTGTGCATTCGACTCACAGAATGGAACATTCCGTTTGATAGAGCAGTTTTGAGACACCGTTTTTGTAGAATTCCCAAGTGGATATTTAGAGCACTTTGAAGTCTCTGCTAGAAAAGGAAACATCTTTCATGTAAAAAGTAGATAGGATCGTTCTCAGAAAGTGCTTAGTGACGTGGGCGTTCAACTCACAGAGTGTAACGTTTCTTTTGATAGAGCGTTTCTGAAACACCCTTCTTGTAGTAGCTGTAAGTGGATATTTGGACCTATTGGAGGCCTTCTTTGGAAACGGGATTTCTTCATGTTACTCTAGATAGAAGAATTTTCAGAAACTCCTTTGTGATGTGTGCATTCAATTCAAAGAGTGAAACCTCCCTTTTCACAGAGCAGTTTTGAAACACTGTTTTTGTAGGATTTCCAAGGGGATATTTATAGCGCATTGAGCCTATGGCAGAAAAAGAAACATCTTCCTATAAAAACTAGACAGAATAATTCTCAGAATCTGCTTTGCGATGTGTGCGTTCAACCCACAGAGTAAAACTTTTCTTTTGATAGAGCAGTTTTGAAACACTCTTTTTGTAGTATTTGCATGTGTATATTTAGAGCGCATTGAAGCCCACAGTAGAAAAGGAAATAACTTCACCTAAAACCTAGACAGAAGCAATCTCAGAAACTACTTTGTGATGTGTACATTCAACTCACAGAGTGGAACTTTCCTCTTTATAGAGCAGTGTTGAAACACTCTTTTTGTAGAAACTGCAAGTGGATATTTGGACCTCTTTGAGGCCTTCGTTGGAAACGGGATTTCTTCCTATAACCCTAGACAGAAGAATTTTCAGAAACCTCATTGTGATGTGTGCGTTCATCTCACAGAGTGGAGTCTTCCGTTTGATAGAGAAGTTTTGAAACCCTGTTCTTGTAGGATTTCCAAGTGGATATTTAGACCACTTTGAAGCCTATGATAGAAAAGGAAACATCTTCATGGAAAACATAGATAGAATCATTCTCAGAAACAACTTTGTGATGTGTGCGTTGAACTCACCGTCTTTAACCTTTCTTTTGGTAGAGAAGTTTTGAAACACTCTCTTTGTAAAGTCTACGAGTGGATATTTTGAGCCCTTGGAGGCATTCTTTGGAAAAGGGAATGTCTTCACATAAAAGGCAGACAGAAGTGTTCTCAGAAACTGCTTTGTGATGTCTGTGTTCAACTCACAGAGTTTAACATTTCCTTTGAGAGAGCGGTTTAGTAACACTCTCTTTGTAGAATTTGGAAGTGTATACTAAGAGCGCTTTGAGGCCTATGGTAGAAAAGGAAATATCTTTCCATAAAAGCTAGACAGAAGCAATCTCAGAAACTCCTTTGTGATGTCTGCATTCAACTCACCGCGTGGAACATTCCTCTTGATAGAGCAGTTTGGAAACACTCTTTCTGTAGAATCAGCTTGTTTGTATTTGGACCTCCTTGAGGCCTTCGTTGGAAACGGGTTTTCATCTTATAAACCCAGACAGAAGAATTCTCAGAGTCTTCTTTGTGATGTGTGCTTTCAACTCACCGAGATAAAGATTTCTCTTGATAGAGCAATTTGGAAACACTCTTTTTGTAGAATTTGCAAGGGTACATTGAGAGCGCTTTCAGGCCTATGGTAGAAAAGGGAATATCTTTCCATAAAAGGTAGACAGAAGCAATCTCAGAAACTACTTTGTGATGTGTGCATTCAACTCACCGAGTGCAACATTCCTCTTGACCGAGCAGTTTGGAAACATTGTTTCTGTAGAATCTGCAAGTGGATATTTGGACCTCTTTGAGGCCTTCGTTGGAAACGGGATTTCTTCCTATAAACCCAGACAGAAGAATTCTCAGAGACTTCTTTGTGATGTGTGAATTCAACTCACAGTGTGGATCCTTCCTTTTGATAGAGCAGTTTTGAAACACTGTTTTTGTAGTATTTCCAAGCGGATATTTGGAACGCCTTGAAGCGTATGGTAGAAAAGGAAATATCTTCCCATAAAACCTAGACAGAACCAATCTCAGAAACGACTTTGTGATGTCTGCATTCAACTCACAGAGTTGAACATTTCTCTTGATAGAGCAGTTTTGAAACCCTCTTTCTGAAGGATCTGCAAGTGGATATTTGGAACTCCTTTGGGTCTTCGTTGGAAACGGGATTTCTTCGTATAAATCTAGACAGAAGAATTCTCCGAAACTTCTTTGGTTGTGTGCATTCAAGTCACAGAGTGGAACCTTCCTTTGGATAGAGCAGTTTGAAACGCTGTGGTTGTAGTATTTCCAAGCGGATATTAGAGCGCCTTGAGGCCTATGGTAGAAAAGGAAATATCTTCCCATAAAACCTAGACGGAAGCAATCTCAGAAACTACTGTGTGATGGCTGCATTCCACACACACGGTGGAACATTTCTCTTGATAGAGCAGTTTTGAAACACTCTTTCTGTAGAATCTGCAAGTGGATAATTGGACCGCCTTGAGGCTTTCATTGGAAACGGGATTTCTTCATGTTACTCTAGATAGAAGAATTCTCAAACACTTCTATGTGATGTTTGCATTCAAGTCACAGAGTGCCACATTCCTCTTGATAGAGCAGTTGGGAAAGACACCTTTTGTAGAATCTGCAATGGGATATTTGGACTTCTTTGAGGCCTTCGTTGGAAACGGGATTTCTTCGTATGAATCTAGACAGAAGAATTCTCAGAAACTTCCTTGTGATGTGTGCATTCAACTGAGCGAGTGTCACCTTCCTTTGGATACAGCAGTTTTGAAACACTGTTATTGTAGTATTTCCAAGCGGATATTTAGAGCGCCTTGAAGCCTATGCTAGAAATGGAAATATCTCCCCACAAAACCAAGACAGAAGCAATCTCAGAAACTAATGTGTGATGGCTGCATTCCGCACACACGGTGGACCATTTCTCTTGATAGAGCAGTTTTGAAACACTCTTTCTGTAGAATCTGCAAGTGGATAATTGGACCTCCTAGAGGCCTTCGTTGGAAACGGGATTTCTTCATCTAAACTTACAGAGAAGAATTCTCAGTAACTTCTTCGGATGTGTGCATTCGACTCACAGAATGGAAAATTCCGTTTGATAGAGCAGTTTTGAGACACCGTTTTTGTAGAATTCCCAAGTGGATATTTAGAGCACTTTGAAGTCTCTGCTAGAAAAGGAAACATCTTCATGTAAACAGTAGATAGAATCGTTCTCAGAAAGTGCTTAGTGACGTGTGCGTTCAACTCACAGAGTTTAACGTTTCTTTTGATAGAGCGTTTCTGAAACACCCTTCTTGTAGTAGCTGCAAGTGGATATTTGGACCTATTTGAGGCCTTCTTTGGAAACGGGATTTCTTCATGTAACTCTAGTTTGAAGAATTTTCAGAAACTCCTTTGTGATGTGTGCATTCAATTCAAAGAGTGAAACCTCCCTTTTCACAGAGCAGTTTTGAAACACTGTTTTTGTAGGATTTCCAAGGGGATATTTATAGCGCATTGAGCCTACGGCAGAAAAAGAAACATCTTCCTATAAAAACTAGACAGAATAATTCTCAGAATCTGCTTTGCGATGTGTGCGTTCAACCCACAGAGGAAAACTTTTCTTTTGATAGAGCAGTTTTGAAACACTCTTTTTGTAGTATTTGCATGTGTATATTTAGAGCGCATTGAAGCCCACAGTAGAAAAGGAAATAACTTCACCTAAAACCTAGACAGAAGCAATCTCAGAAACTATTTTGTGATGTGTACATTCAACTCACAGAGTGGAACTTTCCTCTTTATAGAGCAGTGTTGAAACACTCTTTTTGTAGAAACTGCAAGTGGATATTTGGACCTTCTTTGAGGCCTTCGTTGGAAACGGGATTTCTTCCTATAACCCTAGACAGAAGAATTTTCAGAAACCTCATTGTGATGTGTGCGTTCATCTCACAGAGTGGAGTCTTCCGTTTGATAGAGAAGTTTTGAAACCCTGTTCTTGTAGGATTTCCAAGTGGATATTTAGACCACTTTGAAGCCTATGATAGAAAAGGAAACATCTTCATGGAAAACATAGATAGAATCATTCCTCAGAACCAACTTTGTGATGTGTGCGTTGAACTCACCGTCTTTAACCTTTCTTTTGGTAGAGAAGTTTTGAAACACTCTCTTTGTAAAGTCTACAAGTGGATATTTTGAGCCCTTGGAGGCATTCTTTGGAAAAGGGAATGTCTTCACATAAAAGGCAGACAGAAGTGTTCTCAGAAACTGCTTTGTGATGTCTGTGTTCAACTCACAGAGTTTAACATTTCCTTTGAGAGAGCGGTTTAGTAACACTCTCTTTGTAGAATTTGGAAGTGTATACTAAGAGCGCTTTGAGGCCTATGGTAGAAAAGGAAATATCTTTCCATAAAAGCTAGACAGAAGCAATCTCAGAAACTCCTTTGTGATGTCTGCATTCAACTCACCGAGTGGAACATTCCTCTTGATAGAGCAGTTTGGAAACACTCTTTCTGTAGAATCAGCTTGTTTGTATTTGGACCTCCTTGAGGCCTTCGTTGGAAACGGGTTTTCATCTTATAAACCCAGACAGAAGAATTCTCAGAGTCTTCTTTGTGATGTGTGCTTTCAACTCACCGAGATAAAGATTTCTCTTGATAGAGCAATTTGGAAACACTCTTTTTGTAGAATTTGCAAGGGTACATTGAGAGCGCTTTCAGGCCTATGGTAGAAAAGGGAATATCTTTCCATAAAAGGTAGACAGAAGCAATCTCAGAAACTACTTTGTGATGTGTGCATTCAACTCACCGAGTGCAACATTCCTCTTGACCGAGCAGTTTGGAAACATTGTTTCTGTAGAATCTGCAAGTGGATATTTGGACCTCTTTGAGGCCTTCGTTGGAAACGGGATTTCTTCCTATAAACCCAGACAGAAGAATTCTCAGAGATTTCTTTGTGATGTGTGAATTCAACTCACAGTGTGGATCCTTCCTTTTGATAGAGCAGTTTTGAAACACCGTTTTTGTAGTATTTCCAAGCGGATATTTGGAACGCCTTGAAGCGTATGGTAGAAAAGGAAATATCTTCCCATAAAACCTAGACAGAACCCATCTCAGAAACGACTTTGTGATGTCTGCATTCAACTCACAGAGTTGAACATTTCTCTTGATAGAGCAGTTTTGAAACCCTCTTTCTGAAGGAGCTGCAAGTGGATATTTGGAACTCCTTTGGGTCTTCGTTGGAAACGGGATTTCTTCGTATAAATCCAGACAGAAGAATTCTCCGAAACTTCTTTGGTTGTGTGCATTCAAGTCACAGAGTGGAACCTTCCTTTGGATAGAGCAGTTTGAAACGCTGTGGTTGTAGTATTTCCAAGCGGATATTAGAGCGCCTTGAGGCCTATGGTAGAAAAGGAAATATCTTCCCATAAAACCTAGACGGAAGCAATCTCAGAAACTACTGTGTGATGGCTGCATTCCACACACACGGTGGAACATTTCTCTTGATAGAGCAGTTTTGAAACACTCTTTCTGTAGAATCTGCAAGTGGATAATTGGACCGCCTTGAGGCCTTCGTTGGAAACGGGATTTCTTCATGTTACTCTAGACAGAAGAATTCTCAAACACTGCTGTGTGATGTTTGCATGCAAGTCACAGAGTGCAACATTCCTCTTGATAGAGCAGTTGGGAAACACTCCTTTTGTAGAATTTGCAATGGGATATTTGGACTTCTTTGAGGCCTTCGTTGGAAACGGGATTTCTTCGTATGAATCTAGACAGAAGAATTCTCAGAAACTTCCTTGTGATGTGTGCATTCAACTCAGCGAGTGGCACCTTCCTTTGGATACAGCAGTTTTGAAACACTGTTTTTGTAGTATTTCCAAGCGGATATTTAGAGCGCCTTGAAGCCTATGCTAGAAATGGAAATATCTCCCCATAAAACCAAGACAGAAGCAATCTCAGAAACTAATGTGTGATGGCTGCATTCCACACACACGGTGGACCATTTCTCTTGATAGAGCAGTTTTGAAACACTCTTTCTGTAGAATCTGCAAGTGGATAATTGGACCTCCTAGAGGCCTTCGTTGGAAACGGGATTTCTTCATCTAAACCTACAGAGAAGAATTCTCAGTAACTTCTTCGGATGTGTGCATTCGACTCACAGAATGGAACATTCCGTTTGATAGAGCAGTTTTGAGACACCGTTTTTGTAGAATTCCCAAGTGGATATTTAGAGCACTTTGAAGTCTCTGCTAGAAAAGGAAACATCTTCATGTAAAAAGTAGATAGAATCGTTCTCAGAAAGTGCTTAGTGACGTGTGTGTTCAACTCACAGAGTTTAACGTTTCTTTTGATAGAGCGTTTCTGAAACACCCTGCTTGTAGTAGCTGCAAGTGGATATTTGGACCTATTTGAGGCCTTCTTTGGAAACGGGATTTCTTCATGTAACTCTAGATTGAAGAATTTTCAGAAACTCCTTTGTGATGTGTGCATTCAATTCAAAGAGTGAAACTTCCCTTTCCACAGAGCAGTTTTGAAACACTGTTTTTGTAGGATTTCCAAGGGGATATTTATAGCGCATTGAGCCTACGGCAGAAAAAGAAACATCTTCCTATAAAAACTAGACAGAATAATTCTCAGAATCTGCTTTGCGATGTGTGCGTTCAACCCACAGAGTAAAACTTTTCTTTTGATAGAGCAGTTTTGAAACACTCTTTTTGTAGTATTTGCATGTGTATATTTAGAGCGCATTGAAGCCCACAGTAGAAAAGGAAATAACTTCACCTAAAACCTAGACAGAAGCAATCTCAGAAACTACTTTGTGATGTGTACATTCAACTCACAGAGTGGAACTTTCCTCTTTATAGAGCAGTGTTGAAACACTCTTTTTGTAGAAACTGCAAGTGGATATTTGGACCTCTTTGAGGCCTTCGTTGGAAACGGGATTTCTTCCTATAACCCTAGACAGAAGAATTTTCAGAAACCTCATTGTGATGTGTGCGTTCATCTCACAGAGTGGAGTCTTCCGTTTGATAGAGAAGTTTTGAAACCCTGTTCTTGTAGGATTTCCAAGTGGATATTTAGACCACTTTGAAGCCTATGATAGAAAAGGAAACATCTTCATGGAAAACATAGATAGAATCATTGTCAGAAACAATTTTGTGATGTGTGCGTTGAACTCACCGTCTTTAACCTTTCTTTTGGTAGAGAAGTTTTGAAACACTCTCTTTGTAAAGTCTACAAGTGGATATTTTGAGCCCTTGGAGGCATTCTTTGGAAAAGGGAATGTCTTCACATAAAAGGCAGACAGAAGTGTTCTCAGAAACTGCTTTGTGATGTCTGTGTTCAACTCACAGAGTTTAACATTACCTTTGAGAGAGCGGTTTAGTAACACTCTCTTTGTAGAATTTGGAAGTGTATACTAAGAGCGCTTTGAGGCCTATGGTAGAAAAGGAATTATCTTTCCATAAAAGCTAGACAGAAGCAATCTCAGAAACTCCTTTGTGATGTCTGCATTCAACTCACCGAGTGGAACATTCCTCTTGATAGAGCAGTTTGGAAACACTCTTTCTGTAGAATCAGCTTGTTTGTATTTGGACCTCCTTGAGGCCTTCGTTGGAAACGGGTTTTCATCTTATAAACCCAGACAGAAGAATTCTCAGAGTCTTCTTTGTGATGTGTGCTTTCAACTCACCGAGATAAAGATTTCTCTTGATAGAGCAATTTGGAAACACTCTTTTTGTAGAATTTGCAAGGGTACATTGAGAGCGCTTTCAGGCCTATGGTAGAAAAGGGAATATCTTTCCATAAAAGGTAGACAGAAGCAATCTCAGAAACTACTTTGTGATGTGTGCATTCAACTCACCGAGTGCAACATTCCTCTTGACCGAGCAGTTTGGAAACATTGTTTCTGTAGAATCTGCAAGTGGATATTTGGACCTCTTTGAGGCCTTCGTTGGAAACGGGATTTCTTCCTATAAACCCAGACAGAAGAATTCTCAGAGACTTCTTTGTGATGTGTGAATTCAACTCACAGTGTGGATCCTTCCTTTTGATAGAGCAGTTTTGAAACACTGTTTTTGTAGTATTTCCAAGCGGATATTTGGAACGCCTTGAAGCGTATGGTAGAAAAGGAAATATCTTCCCATAAAACCTAGACAGAACCAATCTCAGAAACGACTTTGTGATGTCTGCATTCAACTCACAGAGTTGAACATTTCTCTTGATAGAGCAGTTTTGAAACCCTCTTTCTGAAGGATCTGCAAGTGGATATTTGGAACTCCTTTGGGTCTTCGTTGGAAACGGGATTTCTTCGTATAAATCTAGACAGAAGAATTCTCCGAAACATCTTTGGTTGTGTGCATTCAAGTCACAGAGTGGAACCTTCCTTTGGATAGAGCAGTTTGAAACGCTGTGGTTGTAGTATTTCCAAGCGGATATTAGAGCGCCTTGAGGCCTATGGTAGAAAAGGAAATATCTTCCCATAAAACCTAGACGGAAGCAATCTCAGAAACTACTGTGTGATGGCTGCATTCCACACACACGGTGGAACATTTCTCTTGATAGAGCAGTTTTGAAACACTCTTTCTGTAGAATCTGCAAGTGGATAATTGGACCGCCTTGAGGCCTTCGTTGGAAACGGGATTTCTTCATGTTACTCTAGACAGAAGAATTCTCAAACACTGCTATGTGATGTTTGCATGCAAGTCACAGAGTGCAACATTCCTCTTGATAGAGCAGTTGGGAAACACTCCTTTTGTAGAATTTGCAATGGGATATTTGGACTTCTTTGAGGCCTTCGTTGGAAACGGGATTTCTTCGTATGAATCTAGACAGAAGAATTCTCAGAAACTTCCTTGTGATGTGTGCATTCAACTCAGCGAGTGGCACCTTCCTTTGGATACAGCAGTTTTGAAACACTGTTTTTGTAGTATTTCCAAGCGGATATTTAGAGCGCCTTGAAGCCTATGCTAGAAATGGAAATATCTCCCCATAAAACCAAGACAGAAGCAATCTCAGAAACTAATGTGTGATGGCTGCATTCCACACACACGGTGGACCATTGCTCTTGATAGAGCAGTTTTGAAACACTCTTTCTGTAGAATCTGCAAGTGGATAATTGGACCTCCTAGAGGCCTTCGTTGGAAACGGGATTTCTTCATCTAAACCTACAGAGAAGAATTCTCAGTAACTTCTTCGGATGTGTGCATTCGACTCACAGAATGGAACATTCCGTTTGATAGAGCAGTTTTGAGACACCGTTTTTGTAGAATTCCCAAGTGGATATTTAGAGCACTTTGAAGTCTCTGCTAGAAAAGGAAACATCTTCATGTAAAAAGTAGATAGAATCGTTCTCAGAAAGTGCTTAGTGACGTGTGTGTTCAACTCACAGAGTTTAACGTTTCTTTTGATAGAGCGTTTCTGAAACACCCTGCTTGTAGTAGCTGCAAGTGGATATTTGGACCTATTTGAGGCCTTCTTTGGAAACGGGATTTCTTCATGTAACTCTAGATTGAAGAATTTTCAGAAACTCCTTTGTGATGTGTGCATTCAATTCAAAGAGTGAAACCTCCCTTTTCACAGAGCAGTTTTGAAACACTGTTTTTGTAGGATTTCCAAGGGGATATTTATAGCGCATTGATCCTATGGCAGAAAAAGAAACATCTTCCTATAAAAACTAGACAGAATAATTCTCAGAATCTGCTTTGCGATGTGTGCGTTCAACTCACAGAGTAAAACTTTTCTTTTGATAGAGCAGTTTTGAAACACTCTTTTTGTAGTATTTGCATGTGTATATTTAGAGCGCATTGAAGCCCACAGTAGAAAAGGAAATAACTTCACCTAAAACCTAGACAGAAGCAATCTCAGAAACTACTTTGTGATGTGTACATTCAACTCACAGAGTGGAACTTTCCTCTTTATAGAGCAGTGTTGAAACACTCTTTTTGTAGAAACTGCAAGTGGATATTTGGACCTCTTTGAGGCCTTCGTTGGAAACGGGATTTCTTCCTATAACCCTAGACAGAAGAATTTTCAGAAACCTCATTGTGATGTGTGCGTTCATCTCACAGAGTGGAGTCTTCCGTTTGATAGAGAAGTTTTGAAACCCTGTTCTTGTAGGATTTCCAAGTGGATATTTAGACCACTTTGAAGCCTATGATAGAAAAGGAAACATCTTCATGGAAAACATAGATAGAATCATTCTCAGAAACAACTTTGTGATGTGTGCGTTGAACTCACCGTCTTTAACCTTTCTTTTGGTAGAGAAGTTTTGAAACACTCTCTTTGTAAAGTCTACAAGTGGATATTTTGAGCCCTTGGAGGCATTCTTTGGAAAAGGGAATGTCTTCACATAAAAGGCAGACAGAAGTGTTCTCAGAAACTGCTTTGTGATGTCTGTGTTCAACTCACAGAGTTTAACATTTCCTTTGAGAGAGCGGTTTAGTAACACTCTCTTTGTAGAATTTGGAAGTGTATACTAAGAGTGCTTTGAGGCCTATGGTAGAAAAGGAAATATCTTTCCATAAAAGCTAGACAGAAGCAATCTCAGAAACTCCTTTGTGATGTCTGCATTCAACTCACCGAGTGGAACATTCCTCTTGATAGAGCAGTTTGGAAACACTCTTTCTGTAGAATCAGCTTGTTTGTATTTGGACCTCCTTGAGGCCTTCGTTGGAAACGGGTTTTCATCTTATAAACCAGACAGAAGAATTCTCAGAGTCTTCTTTGTGATGTGTGCTTTCAACTCACCGAGATAAAGATTTCTCTTGATAGAGCAATTTGGAAACACTCTTTTTGTAGAATTTGCAAGGGTACATTGAGAGCGCTTTCAGGCCTATGGTAGAAAAGGGAATATCTTTCCATAAAAGGTAGACAGAAGCAATCTCAGAAACTACTTTGTGATGTGTGCATTCAACTCACCGAGTGCAACATTCCTCTTGATAGAGCAGTTTGGAAACATTGTTTCTGTAGAATCTGCAAGTGGATATATGGACCGCTTTGAGGCCTTCGTTGGAAACGGGATTTCTTCCTATAAACCCAGACAGAAGAATTCTCAGAGATTTCTTTGTGATGTGTGAATTCAACTCACAGTGTGGATCCTTCCTTTTGATAGAGCAGTTTTGAAACACCGTTTTTGTAGTATTTCCAAGCGGATATTTGGAACGCCTTGAAGCGTATGGTAGAAAAAGAAATATCTTCCCATAAAACCTAGACAGAACCCATCTCAGAAACGACTTTGTGATGTCTGCATTCAACTCACAGAGTTGAACATTTCTCTTGATAGAGCAGTTTTGAAACCCTCTTTCTGAAGGATCTGCAAGTGGATATTTGGAACTCCTTTGGGTCTTCGTTGGAAACGGGATTTCTTCGTATAAATCCAGACAGAAGAATTCTCCGAAACTTCTTTGGTTGTGTGCATTCAAGTCACAGAGTGGAACCTTCCTTTGGATAGAGCAGTTTGAAACGCTGTGGTTGTAGTATTTCCAAGCGGATATTAGAGCGCCTTGAGGCCTATGGTAGAAAAGGAAATATCTTCCCATAAAACCTAGACGGAAGCAATCTCAGAAACTACTGTGTGATGGCTGCATTCCACACACACGGTGGAACATTTCTCTTGATAGAGCAGTTTTGAAACACTCTTTCTGTAGAATCTGCAAGTGGATAATTGGACCGCCTTGAGGCCTTCGTTGGAAACGGGATTTCTTCATGTTACTCTAGACAGAAGAATTCTCAAACACTGCTATGTGATGTTTGCATGCAAGTCACAGAGTGCAACATTCCTCTTGATAGAGCAGTTGGGAAACACTCCTTTTGTAGAATTTGCAATGGGATATTTGGACTTCTTTGAGGCCTTCGTTGGAAACGGGATTTCTTCGTATGAATCTAGACAGAAGAATTCTCAGAAACTTCCTTGTGATGTGTGCATTCAACTCAGTGAGTGGCACCTTCCTTTGGATACAGCAGTTTTGAAACACTGTTTTTGTAGTATTTCCAAGCGGATATTTAGAGCGCCTTGAACCCTATGCTAGAAATGGAAATATCTCCCCATAAAACCAAGACAGAAGCAATCTCAGAAACTAATGTGTGATGGCTGCATTCCACACACACGGTGGACCATTTCTCTTGATAGAGCAGTTTTGAAACACTCTTTCTGTAGAATCTGCAAGTGGATAATTGGACCTCCTAGAGGCCTTCGTTGGAAACGGGATTTCTTCATCTAAACCTACAGAGAAGAATTCTCAGTAACTTCTTCGGATGTGTGCATTCGACTCACAGAGTGGAACATTCCCTTCGATAGAGCAGTTTTGAGACACCGTTTTGGTAGAATTCCCAAGTGGATATTTAGAGCACTTTGAAGTCTCTGCTAGAAAAGGAAACATCTTCATGTAAAAAGTAGACAGAATCGTTCTCAGAAAGTGCTTAGTGACGTGTGCGTTTAACTCACAGAGTGTAACGTTTCTTTTGATAGAGCGTTTCTGAAACACCCTTCTTGTAGTAGCTGCAAGTGGATATTTGGAACTATTGGAGGCCTTCTTTGGAAACGGGATTTCTTCCTGTAACTCTAGATTGAAGAATTCTCAGAAACTCCTTTGTGATGTGTGCATTCAATTCAAAGAGTGAAACCTCCCTTTTCACAGAGCAGTTTTGAAACGCTGTTTTTGTAGGATTTCCAAGGGGATATTTATAGCGCATTGAGCCTACTGCAGAAAAAGAAACACCTTCCTATAAAAACTAGACAGAATAATTCTCAGAATCTGCTTTGCGATGTGTGCGTTCAACTCACAGAGTAAAACTTTTCTTTTGATAGAGCAGTTTTGAAACACTCTTTTTGTAGTATTTGCATGTGTATATTTAGAGCGCATTGAAGCCCACAGTAGAAAAGGAAATAACTTCACCTAAAACCTAGACAGAAGCAATCTCAGAAACTACTTTGTGATGTGTACATTCAACTCACAGAGTGGAACTTTTCTCTTTATAGAGCAGTGTTGAAACACTCTTTTTGTAGAAACTGCAAGTGGATATTTGGACCTCTTTGAGGCCTTCGTTGGAAACGGGATTTCTTCCTATAACCCTAGACAGAAGAATTTTCAGAAACCTCATTGTGATGTGTGCGTTCATCTCACAGAGTGGAGTCTTCCGTTTGATAGAGAAGTTTTGAAACCCTGTTCTTGTAGGATTTCCAAGTGGATATTTAGACCACTTTGAAGCCTATGATAGAAAAGGAAACATCTTCATGGAAAACATAGATAGAATCATTCTCAGAAACAACTTTGTGATGTGTGCGTTGAACTCACCGTCTTTAACCTTTCTTTTGGTAGAGAAGTTTTGAAACACTCTCTTTGTAAAGTCTACGAGTGGATATTTTGAGCCCTTGGAGGCATTCTTTGGAAAAGGGAATGTCTTCACATAAAAGGCAGACAGAAGTGTTCTCAGAAACTGCTTTGTGATGTCTGTGTTCAACTCACAGAGTTTAACATTTCCTTTGAGAGAGCGGTTTAGTAACACTCTCTTTGTAGAATTTGGAAGTGTATACTAAGAGCGCTTTGAGGCCTATGGTAGAAAAGGAAATATCTTTCCATAAAAGCTAGACAGAAGCAATCTCAGAAACTCCTTTGTGATGTCTGCATTCAACTCACCGAGTGGAACATTCCTCTTGATAGAGCAGTTTGGAAACACTCTTTCTGTAGAATCAGCTTGTTTGTATTTGGACCTCCTTGAGACCTTCGTTGGAAACGGGTTTTCATCTTATAAACCCAGACAGAAGAATTCTCAGAGTCTTCTTTGTGATGTGTGCTTTCAACTCACCGAGATAAAGATTTCTCTTGATAGAGCAATTTGGAAACACTCTTTTTGTAGAATTTGCAAGGGTACATTGAGAGAGCTTTCAGGCCTATGGTAGAAAAGGGAATATCTTTCCATAAAAGGTAGACAGAAGCAATCTCAGAAACTATTTAGTGATGTGTGCATTCAACTCACCGAGTGCAACATTCCTCTTGACCGAGCAGTTTGGAAACATTGTTTCTGTAGAATCTGCAAGTGGATATTTGGACCTCTTTGAGGCCTTCGTTGGAAACGGGATTTCTTCCTATAAACCCAGACAGAAGAATTCTCAGAGACTTCTTTGTGATGTGTGAATTCAACTCACAGTGTGGATCCTTCCTTTTGATAGAGCAGTTTTGAAACACTGTTTTTGTAGTATTTCCAAGCGGATATTTGGAACTCATTGAAGCATATGGTAGAAAAGGAAATATCTTCCCATAAAACCTAGACAGAACCAATCTCAGAAACGACTTTGTCATGTCTGCATTCAACTCACAGAGTTGAACATTTCTCTTGATAGAGCAGTTTTGAAACCCTCTTTCTGAAGGATCTGCAAGTGGATATTTGGAACTCCTTTGGGTCTTCTTTGGAAACCGGATTTCTTCGTATAAATCCAGACAGAAGAATTCTCCGAAACTTCTTTGGTTGTGTGCATTCAAGTCACAGAGTGGAACCTTCCTTTGGATAGAGCAGTTTGAAACGCTGTGGTTGTAGTATTTCCAAGCGGATATTAGAGCGCCTTGAGGCCTATGGTAGAAAAGGAAATATCTTCCCATAAAACCTAGACGGAAGCAATCTCAGAAACTACTGTGTGATGGCTGCATTCCACACACACGGTGGAACATTTCTCTTGATAGAGCAGTTTTGAAACACTCTTTCTGTAGAATCTGCAAGTGGATAATTGGACCGCCTTGAGGCCTTCGTTGGAAACGGGATTTCTTCATGTTACTCTAGACAGAAGAATTCTCAAACACTGCTATGTGATGTTTGCATTCAAGTCACAGAGTGCAACATTCCTCTTGATAGAGCAGTTGGGAAACACTCCTTTTGTAGAATTTGCAATGGGATATTTGGACTTCTTTGAGGCCTTCGTTGGAAACGGGATTTCTTCGTATGAATCTAGACAGAAGAATTCTCAGAAACTTCCTTGTGATGTGTGCATTCAACTCAGCGAGTGGCACCTTCCTTTGGATACAGCAGTTTTGAAACACTGTTTTTGTACTATTTCCAAGCGGATATTTAGAGCGCCTTGAAGCCTATGCTAGAAATGGAAATATCTCCCCATAAAACCAAGACAGAAGCAATCTCAGAAACTAATGTGTGATGGCTGCATTCCACACACACGGTGGACCATTTCTCTTGATAGAGCAGTTTTGAAACACTCTTTCTGTAGAATCTGCAAGTGGATAATTGGACCTCCTAGAGGCCTTCGTTGGAAACGGGATTTCTTCATCTAAACCTACAGAGAAGAATTCTCAGTAACTTCTTCGGATGTGTGCATTCGACTCACAGAATGGAACATTCCCTTTGATGGAGCAGGTTTGAGACACCGTTTTTGTAGAATTCCCAAGTGGATATTTAGAGCACTTTGAAGTCTCTGCTAGAAAAGGAAACATCTTCATGTAAAAAGTAGATAGAATCGTTCTCAGAAAGTGCTTAGTGACGTGTGCGTTCAACTCACAGAGTTTAACGTTTCTTTTGATAGAGCGTTTCTGAAACACCCTTCTTGTAGTAGCTGCAAGTGGATATTTGGACCTATTTGAGGCCTTCTTTGGAAACGGGATTTCTTCATGTAACTCTAGATTGAAGAATTTTCAGAAACTCCTTTGTGAAGTGTGCATTCAATTCAAAGAGTGAAACCTCCCTTTTCACAGAGCAGTTTTGAAACACTGTTTTTGTAGGATTTCCAAGGGGATATTTATAGCGCATTGAGCCTATGGCAGAAAAAGAAACATCTTCCTATAAAAACTAGACAGAATAATTCTCAGAATCTGCTTTGCGATGTGTGCGTTCAACTCACAGAGTAAAACTTTTCTTTTGATAGAGCAGTTTTGAAACACTCTTTTTGTAGTATTTGCATGTGTATATTTAGAGCGCATTGAAGCCCACAGTAGAAAAGGAAATAACTTCACCTAAAACCTAGACAGAAGCAATCTCAGAAACTACTTTGTGATGTGTACATTCAACTCACAGAGTGGAACTTTTCTCTTTATAGAGCAGTGTTGAAACACTCTTTTTGTAGAAACTGCAAGTGGATATTTGGACCTCTTTGAGGCCTTTGTTGGAAACGGGATTTCTTCCTATAACCCTAGACAGAAGAATTTTCAGAAACCTCATTGTGATGTGTGCGTTCATCTCACAGAGTGGAGTCTTCCGTTTGATAGAGAAGTTTTGAAACCCTGTTCTTGTAGGATTTCCAAGTGGATATTTAGACCACTTTGAAGCCTATGATAGAAAAGGAAACATCTTCATGGAAAACATAGATAGAATCATTCTCAGAAACAACTTTGTGATGTGTGCGTTGAACTCACCGTCTTTAACCTTTCTTTTGGTAGAGAAGTTTTGAAACACTCTCATTGTAAAGTCTACAAGTGGATATTTTGAGCCCTTGGAGGCATTCTTTGGAAAAGGGAATGTCTTCACATAAAAGGCAGACAGAAGTGTTCTCAGAAACTGCTTTGTGATGTCTGTGTTCAACTCACAGAGTTTAACATTTCCTTAGAGAGAGCGGTTTTGTAACACTCTCTTTGTAGAATTTGGAAGTGTATACTAAGAGCGCTTTGAGGCCTATGGTAGAAAAGGAAATATCTTTCCATAAAAGCTAGACAGAAGCAATCTCAGAAACTCCTTTGTGATGTCTGCATTCAACTCACCGAGTGGAACATTCCTCTTGATAGAGCAGTTTGGAAACACTCTTTCTGTAGAATCAGCTTGTTTGTATTTGGACCTCCTTGAGGCCTTCGTTGGAAACGGGTTTTCATCTTATAAACCCAGACAGAAGAATTCTCAGAGTCTTCTTTGTGATGTGTGCTTTCAACTCACCGAGATAAAGATTTCTCTTGATAGAGCAATTTGGAAACACTCTTTTTGTAGAATTTGCAAGGGTACATTGAGAGCGCTTTCAGGCCTATGGTAGAAAAGGGAATATCTTTCCATAAAAGGTAGACAGAAGCAATCTCAGAAACTACTTTGTGATGTGTGCATTCAACTCACCGAGTGCAACATTCCTCTTGATAGAGCAGTTTGGAAACATTGTTTCTGTAGAATCTGCAAGTGGATATATGGACCGCTTTGAGGCCTTCGTTGGAAACGGGATTTCTTCCTATAAACCCAGACAGAAGAATTCTCAGAGATTTATTTGTGATGTGTGAATTCAACACACAGTGTGGATCCTTCCTTTTGATAGAGCAGTTTTGAAACACTGTTTTGGTAGTATTTCCAAGCGGATATTTGGAACGCCTTGAAGCGTATGGTAGAAAAGGAAATATCTTCCCATAAAACCTAGACAGAACCAATCTCAGAAACGACTTTGTGATGTCTGCATTCAACTCACAGAGTTGAACATTTCTCTTGATAGAGCAGTTTTGAAACCCTCTTTCTGAAGGATCTGCAAGTGGATATTTGGAACTCCTTTGGGTCTTCGTTGGAAACGGGATTTCTTCGTATAAATCCAGACAGAAGAATTCTCCGAAACTTCTTTGGTTGTGTGCATTCAAGTCACAGAGTGGAACCTTCCTTTGGATAGAGCAGTTTGAAACGCTGTGGTTGTAGTATTTCCAAGCGGATATTAGAGCGCCTTGAGGCCTATGGTAGAAAAGGAAATATCTTCCCATAAAACCTAGACGGAAGCAATCTCAGAAACTACTGTGTGATGGCTGCATTCCACACACACGGTGGAACATTTCTCTTGATAGAGCAGTTTTGAAACACTCTTTCTGTAGAATCTGCAAGTGGATAATTGGACCGCCTTGAGGTCTTCGTTGGAAACGGGATTTCTTCATGTTACTCTAGACAGAAGAATTCTCAAACACTGCTATGTGATGTTTGCATTCAAGTCACAGAGTGCAACATTCCTCTTGATAGAGCAGTTGGGAAACACTCCTTTTGTAGAATTTGCAATGGGATATTTGGACTTCTTTGAGGCCTTCGTTGGAAACGGGATTTCTTCGTATGAATCTAGACAGAAGAATTCTCAGAAACTTCCTTGTGATGTGTGCATTCAACTCAGCGAGTGGCACCTTCCTTTGGATACAGCAGTTTTGAAACACTGTTTTTGTAGTATTTCCAAGCGGATATTTAGAGCGCCTTGAAGCCTATGCTAGAAATGGAAATATCTCCCCATAAAACCAAGACAGAAGCAATCTCAGAAACTAATGTGTGATGGCTGCATTCCACACACACGGTGGACCATTTCTCTTGATAGAGCAGTTTTGAAACACTCTTTCTGTAGAATCTGCAAGTGGATAATTGGACCTCCTAGAGGCCTTCGTTGGAAACGGGATTTCTTCATCTAAACCTACAGAGAAGAATTCTCAGTAACTTCTTCGGATGTGTGCATTCGACTCACAGAATGGAACATTCCCTTTGATAGAGCAGTTTTGAGACACCGTTTTTGTAGAATTCCCAAGTGGATATTTAGAGCACTTTGAAGTCTCTGCTAGAAAAGGAAACATCTTCATGTAAAAAGTAGATAGAATCGTTCTCAGAAAGTGCTTAGTGACGTGTGCGTTCAACTCACAGAGTTTAACGTTTCTTTTGATAGAGCGTTTCTGAAACACCCTTCTTGTAGTAGCTGCAAGTGGATATTTGGACCTATTTGAGGCCTTCTTTGGAAACGGGATTTCTTCATGTAACTCTAGATTGAAGAATTTTCAGAAACTCCTTTGTGATGTGTGCATTCAATTCAAAGAGTGAAACCTCCCTTTTCACAGAGCAGTTTTGAAACACTGTTTTTGTAGGATTTCCAAGGGGATATTTATAGTGCATTGAGCCTATGGCAGAAAAAGAAACATCTTCCTATAAAAACTAGACAGAATAATTCTCAGAATCTGCTTTGCGATGTGTGCGTTCAACTCACAGAGTAAAACGTTTCTTTTGATAGAGCAGTTTTGAAACACTCTTTTTGTAGTATTTGCATGTGTATATTTAGAGCGCATTGAAGCCCACAGTAGAAAAGGAAATAACTTCACCTAAAACCTAGACAGAAGCAATCTCAGAAACTACTTTGTGATGTGTACATTCAACTCACAGAGTGGAACTTTTCTCTTTATAGAGCAGTGTTGAAACACTCTTTTTGTAGAAACTGCAAGTGGATATTTGGACCTCTTTGAGGCCTTCGTTGGAAACGGGATTTCTTCCTATAACCCTAGACAGAAGAATTTTCAGAAACCTCATTGTGATGTGTGCGTTCATCTCACAGAGTGGAGTGTTCCGTTTGATAGAGAAGTTTTGAAACCCTGTTCTTGTAGGATTTCCAAGTGGATATTTAGACCACTTTGAAGCCTATGATAGAAAAGGAAACATCTTCATGGAAAACATAGATAGAATCATTCTCAGAAACAACTTTGTGATGTGTGCGTTGAACTCACCGTCTTTAACCTTTCTTTTGGTAGAGAAGTTTTGAAACACTCTCTTTGTAAAGTCTACAAGTGGATATTTTGAGCCCTTGGAGGCATTCTTTGGAAAAGGGAATGTCTTCACATAAAAGGCAGACAGAAGTGTTCTCAGAAACTGCTTTGTGATGTCTGTGTTCAACTCACAGAGTTTAACATTTCCTTTGAGAGAGCGGTTTAGTAACACTCTCTTTGTAGAATTTGGAAGTGTATACTAAGAGCGCTTTGAGGCCTATGGTAGAAAAGGAAATATCTTTCCATAAAAGCTAGACAGAAGCAATCTCAGAAACTCCTTTGTGATGTCTGCATTCAACTCACCGAGTGGAACATTCCTCTTGATAGAGCAGTTTGGAAACACTCTTTCTGTAGAATCAGCTTGTTTGTATTTGGACCTCCTTGAGGCCTTCGTTGGAAACGGGTTTTCATCTTATAAACCCAGACAGAAGAATTCTCAGAGTCTTCTTTGTGATGTGTGCTTTCAACTCACCGAGATAAAGATTTCTCTTGATACAGCAATTTGGAAACACTCTTTTTGTAGAATTTGCAAGGGTACATTGAGAGCGCTTTCAGGCCTATGGTAGAAAAGGGAATATCTTTCCATAAAAGGTAGACAGAAGCAATCTCAGAAACTACTTTGTGATGTGTGCATTCAACTCACCGAGTGCAACATTCCTCTTGATAGAGCAGTTTGGAAACATTGTTTCTGTAGAATCTGCAAGTGGATATATGGACCGCTTTGAGGCCTTCGTTGGAAACGGGATTTCTTCCTATAAACCCAGACAGAAGAATTCTCAGAGATTTCTTTGTGATGTGTGAATTCAACTCACAGTGTGGATCCTTCCTTTTGATAGAGCAGTTTTGAAACACTGTTTTTGTAGTATTTCCAAGCGGATATTTGGAACGCCTTGAAGCGTATGGTAGAAAAGGAAATATCTTCCCATAAAACCTAGACAGAACCCATCTCAGAAACGACTTTGTGATGTCTGCATTCAACTCACAGAGTTGAACATTTCTCTTGATAGAGCAGTTTTGAAACCCTCTTTCTGAAGGATCTGCAAGTGGATATTTGGAACTCCTTTGGGTCTTCGTTGGAAACGGGATTTCTTCGTATAAATCCAGACAGAAGAATTCTCCGAAACTTCTTTGGTTGTGTGCATTCAAGTCACAGAGTGGAACCTTCCTTTGGATAGAGCAGTTTGAAACGCTGTGGTTGTAGTATTTCCAAGCGGATATTAGATCGCCTTGAAGCCTATGGTAGAAAAGGAAATATCTTCCCATAAAACCTAGACGGAAGCAATCTCAGAAACTACTGTGTGATGGCTGCATTCCACACACACGGTGGAACATTTCTCTTGATAGAGCAGTTTTGAAACACTCTTTCTGTAGAATCTGCAAGTGGATAATTGGACCGCCTTGAGGCCTTCGTTGGAAACGGGATTTCTTCATGTTACTCTAGACAGAAGAATTCTCAAACACTGCTATGTGATGTTTGCATGCAAGTCACAGAGTGCAACATTCCTCTTGATAGAGCAGTTGGGAAACACTCCTTTTGTAGAATTTGCAATGGGATATTTGGACTTCTTTGAGGCCTTCGTTGGAAACGGGATTTCTTCGTATGAATCTAGACAGAAGAATTCTCAGAAACTTCCTTGTGATGTGTGCATTCAACTCAGCGAGTGGCACCTTCCTTTGGATACAGCAGTTTTGAAACACTGTTTTTGTAGTATTTCCAAGCGGATATTTAGAGCGCCTTGAAGCCTATGCTAGAAATGGAAATATCTCCCCATAAAACCAAGACAGAAGCAATCTCAGAAACTAATGTGTGATGGCTGCATTCCACACACACGGTGGACCATTTCTCTTGATAGAGCAGTTTTGAAACACTCTTTCTGTAGAATCTGCAAGTGGATAATTGGACCTCCTAGAGGCCTTCGTTGGAAACGGGATTTCTTCATCTAAACCTACAGAGAAGAATTCTCAGTAACTTCTTCGGATGTGTGCATTCGACTCACAGAGTGGAACATTCCCTTCGATAGAGCAGTTTTGAGACACCGTTTTGGTAGAATTCCCAAGTGGATATTTAGAGCACTTTGAAGTCTCTGCTAGAAAAGGAAACATCTTCATGTAAAAAGTAGATAGAATCGTTCTCAGAAAGTGCTTAGTGACGTGTGCGTTCAACTCACAGAGTGTAACGTTTCTTTTGATAGAGCGTTTCTGAAACACCCTTCTTGTAGTAGCTGCAAGTGGATATTTGGACCTATTGGAGGCCTTCTTTGGAAACGGGATTTCTTCCTGTAACTCTAGATTGAAGAATTCTCAGAAACTCCTTTGTGATGTGTGCATTCAATTCAAAGAGTGAAACCTCCCTTTTCACAGAGCAGTTTTGAAACACTGTTTTTGTAGGATTTCCAAGGGGATATTTATAGCGCATTGAGCCTACGGCAGAAAAAGAAACACCTTCCTATAAAAACTAGACAGAATAATTATCAGAATCTGCTTTGCGATGTGTGCGTTCAACTCACAGAGTAAAACTTTTCTTTTGATAGAGCAGTTTTGAAACACTCTTTTTGTAGTATTTGCATGTGTATATTTAGAGCGCATTGAAGCCCACAGTAGAAAAGGAAATAACTTCACCTAAAACCTAGACAGAAGCAATCTCAGAAACTACTTTGTGATGTGTACATTCAACTCACAGAGTGGAACTTTCCCCTTTACAGAGCAGTGTTGAAACACTCTTTTTGTAGAAACTGCTGGTGGATATTTGGACCTCTTTGAGGCCCTCGTTGGAAACGGGATTTCTTCCTATAACCCTAGACAGAAGAATTTTCAGAAACCTCATTGTGATGTGTGCGTTCATCTCACAGAGTGGAGTCTTCCGTTTGATAGAGAAGTTTTGAAACCCTGTTCTTGTAGGATCTCCAAGTGGATATTTAGAACACTTTGAAGCCTATGATAGAAAAGGAAACATCTTCATGGAAAACATAGATAGAATCATTCTCAGAAACAACTTTGTGATGTGTGCGTTGAACTCACAGTCTTTAACCTTTCTTTTGGTAGAGAAGTTTTGAAACACTCTCTTTGTAAAGTCCACAAGTGGATATTTTGAGCCCTTGGAGGTATTCTTTGGAAAAGGGAATGTCTTCACATAAAAGGCAGACAGAAGTGTTCTCAGAAACTGCTTTGTGATGTCTGTGTTCAACTCACAGAGTTTAACATTTCCTGTGATAGAGCGGTTTAGTAACCCTCTCTTTGTAGAATTTGGAAGTGTATACTAAGAGTGCTTTGAGGCCTATGGTAGAAAAGGAAATATCTTTCCATAAAAGCTAGACAGAAGCAATCTCAGAAACTCCTTTGTGATGTCTGCATTCAACTCACCGAGTGGAACATTCCTCTTGATAGAGCAGTTTGGAAACACTCTTTCTGTAGAATCAGCTTGTTTGTATTTGGACCTCCTTGAGGCCTTCGTTGGAAACGGGTTTTCATCTTATAAACCCAGACAGAAGAATTCTCAGAGTCTTCTTTGTGATGTGTGCTTTCAACTCACCGAGATAAAGATTTCTCTTGATAGAGCAATTTGGAAACACTCTTTTTGTAGAATTTGCAAGGGTACATTGAGAGCGCTTTCAGGCCTATGGTAGAAAAGGGAATATCTTTCCATAAAAGGTAGACAGAAGCAATCTCAGAAACTACTTTGTGATGTGTGCATTCAACTCACCGAGTGCAACATTCCTCTTGATAGAGCAGTTTGGAAACATTGTTTCTGTAGAATCTGCAAGTGGATATATGGACCGCTTTGAGGCCTTCGTTGGAAACGGGATTTCTTCCTATAAACCCAGACAGAAGAATTCTCAGAGACTTCTTTGTGATGTGTGAATTCAACTCACTGTGTGGATCCTTCCTTTTGATAGAGCAGTTTTGAAACACTGTTTTTGTAGTATTTCCAAGCGGATATTTGCGAACGCCTTGAAGCGTATGGTCAGAAAAGGAAATATCTTCCCATAAAACCTAGACAGAACCAATCTCAGAAACGACTTTGTGATGTCTGCATTCAACTCACAGAGTTGAACATTTCTCTTGATAGAGCAGCTTTGAAACCCTCTTTCTGAAGGATCTGCAAGTGGATATTTGGAACTCCTTTGGGTCTTCGTTGGAAACGGGATTTCTTCGTATAAATCCAGACAGAAGAATTCTCCGAAACTTCTTTGGTTGTGTGCATTCAAGTCACAGTGTGGAACCTTCCTTTGGATAGAGCAGTTTGAAACGCTGTGGTTGTAGTATTTCCAAGCGGATATTAGAGCGCCTTGAGGCCTATGGTAGAAAAGGAAATATCTTCCCATAAAACCTAGACGGAAGCAATCTCAGAAACTACTGTGTGATGACTGCATTCCACACACACGGTGGAACATTTCTCTTGATAGAGCAGTTTTGAAACACTCTTTCTGTAGAATCTGCAAGTGGATAATTGGACGGCCTTGAGGCCTTCGTTGGAAACGGGATTTCTTCATGTTACTCTAGACAGAAGAATTCTCAAACACTGCTATATGATGTTTGCATGCAAGTCAGAGAGTGCAACATTCCTCTTGATAGAGCAGTTGGGAAACACTCCTTTTGTAGAATTTGCAATGGGATATTTGGACTTCTTTGAGGCCTTCGTTGGAAACGGGATTTCTTCGTATGAATCTAGACAGAAGAATTCTCAGAAACTTCCTTGTGATGTGTGCATTCAACTCAGCGAATGGCACCTTTCTTTGGATACAGCAGTTTTGAAACACTGTTTTTGTAGTATTTCCAAGCGGATATTTAGAGCGCCTTGAAGCCTATGCTAGAAATGGAAATATCTCCCCATAAAACCAAGACAGAAGCAATCTCAGAAACTAATGTGTGATGGCTGCATTCCACACACACGGTGGACCATTTCTCTTGATAGAGCAGTTTTGAAACACTCTTTCTGTAGAATCTGCAAGTGGATAATTGGACCTCCTAGAGGCCTTCGTTGGAAACGGGATTTCTTCATCTAAACCTACAGAGAAGAATTCTCAGTAACTTCTTCGGATGTGTGCATTCGACTCACAGAATGGAACATTCCGTTTGATAGAGCAGTTTTGAGACACCGTTTTTGTAGAATTCCCAAGTGGATATTTAGAGCACTTTGAAGTCTCTGCTAGAAAAGGAAACATCTTCATGTAAAAAGTAGATAGAATCGTTCTCAGAAAGTGCTTAGTGACGTGTGTGTTCAACTCACAGAGTTTAACGTTTCTTTTGATAGAGCGTTTCTGAAACACCCTTCTTGTAGTAGCTGCAAGTGGATATTTGGACCTATTTGAGGCCTTCTTTGGAAACGGGATTTCTTCATGTAACTCTAGTTTGAAGAATTTTCAGCAAACTCCTTTGTGATGTGTGCATTCAATTCAAAGAGTGAAACCTCCCTTTTCACAGAGCAGTTTTGAAACACTGTTTTTGTAGGATTTCCAAGGGGATATTTATAGCGCATTGAGCCTACGGCAGAAAAAGAAACATCTTCCTATAAAAACTAGACAGAATGATTCTCAGAATCTGCTTTGCGATGTGTGCGTTCCACCCACAGAGTAAAACTTTTCTTTTGATAGAGCAGTTTTGAAACACTCTTTTTGTAGTATTTTCATGTTTATATTTAGAGCGCGTTGAAGCCCACAGTAGAAAAGGAGATAACTTCACCTAAAACCTAGACAGAAGCAATCTCAGAAACTACTTTTTGATGTGTACATTCAACTCACAGAGTGGAGCTTTCCCCTTTACAGAGCAGTGTTGAAACACTCTTTTTGTAGAAACTGCAGGTGGATATTTGGACCTCTTTGAGGCCTTCGTTGGAAACGGGATTTCTTCCTATAACCCTAGACAGAAGAATTTTCAGAAACCTCATTGTGATGTGTGCGTTCATCTCACAGAGTGGAGTCTTCCGTTTGATAGAGAAGTTTTGAAACCCTGTTCTTGTAGGATTTCCAAGTGGATATTTAGACCACTTTGAAGCCTATGATAGAAAAGGAAACATCTTCATGGAAAACATAGATAGAATCATTCTCAGAAACAACTTTGTGATGTGTGCGTTGAACTCATCGTCTTTAACCTTTCTTTTGGTAGAGAAGTTTTGAAACACTCTCTTTGTAAAGTCTACAAGTGGATATTTTGAGCCCTTGGAGGCATTCTTTGGAAAAGGGAATGTCTTCACATAAAAGGCAGACAGAAGTGTTCTCAGAAACTGCTTTGTGATGTCTGTGTTCAACTCACAGAGTTTAACATTTCCTTTGAGAGAGCGGTTTAGTAACACTCTCTTTGTAGAATTTGGAAGTGTATACTAAGAGCGCTTTGAGGCCTATGGTAGAAAAGGAAATATCTTTCCATAAAAGCTAGACAGAAGCAATCTCAGAAACTCCTTTGTGATGTCTGCATTCAACTCACCGAGTGGAACATTCCTCTTGATAGAGCAGTTTGGAAACACTCTTTCTGTAGAATCAGCTTGTTTGTATTTGGACCTCCTTGAGGCCTTCGTTGGAAACGGGTTTTCATCTTATAAACCCAGACAGAAGAATTCTCAGAGTCTTCTTTGTGATGTGTGCTTTCAACTCACCGAGATAAAGATTTCTCTTGATAGAGCAATTTGGAAACACTCTTTTTGTAGAATTTGCAAGGGTACATTGAGAGCGCTTTCAGGCCTATGGTAGAAAAGGTAGACAGAAGCAATCTCAGAAACTACTTTGTGATGTGTGCATTCAACTCACCGAGTGCAACATTCCTCTTGATAGAGCAGTTTGGAAACATTGTTTCTGTAGAATCTGCAAGTGGATATATGGACCGCTTTGAGGCCTTCGTTGGAAACGGGATTTCTTCCTATAAACCCAGACAGAAGAATTCTCAGAGATTTCTTTGTGATGTGTGAATTCAACTCACAGTGTGGATCCTTCCTTTTGATAGAGCAGTTTTGAAACACTGTTTTTGTAGTATTTCCAAGCGGATATTTGGAACGCCTTGAAGCGTATGGTAGAAAAGGAAATATCTTCCCATAAAACCTAGACAGAACCCATCTCAGAAACGACTTTGTGATGTCTGCATTCAACTCACAGAGTTGAACATTTCTCTTGATAGAGCAGTTTTGAAACCCTCTTTCTGAAGGATCTGCAAGTGGATATTTGGAACTCCTTTGGGTCTTCGTTGGAAACGGGATTTCTTCGTATAAATCCAGACAGAAGAATTCTCCGAAACTTCTCTGGTTGTGTGCATTCAAGTCACAGAGTGGAACCTTCCTTTGGATAGAGCAGTTTGAAACGCTGTGGTTGTAGTATTTCCAAGCGGATATTAGAGCGCCTTGAGGCCTATGGTAGAAAAGGAAATATCTTCCCATAAAACCTAGACGGAAGCAATCTCAGAAACTAATGTGTGATGGCTGCATTCCACACACACGGTGGAACATTTCTCTTGATAGAGCAGTTTTGAAACACTCTTTCTGTAGAATCTGCAAGTGGATAATTGGACCGTCTTGAAGCCTTCGTTGGAAACGGGATTTCTTCATGTTACTCTAGACAGAAGAATTCTCAAACACTGCTATGTGATGTTTGCATTCAAGTCACAGAGTGCAACATTCCTCTTGATAGAGCAGTTGGGAAACACTCCTTTTGTAGAATTTGCAATGGGATATTTGGACTTCTTTGAGGCCTTCGTTGGAAAAGGGATTTCTTCGTATGAATCTAGACAGAAGAATTCTCAGAAACTTCCTTGTGATGTGTGCATTCAACTCAGCGAGTGGCACCTTCCTTTGGATACAGCAGTTTTGAAACACTGTTTTTGTAGTATTTCCAAGCGGATATTTAGAGCGCCTTGAAGCCTATGCTAGAAATGGAAATATCTCCCCATAAAACCAAGACAGAAGCAATCTCAGAAACTAATGTGTGATGGCTGCATTCCACACACACGGTGGACCATTTCTCTTGATAGAGCAGTTTTGAAACACTCTTTCTGTAGAATCTGCAAGTGGATAATTGGACCTCCTAGAGGCCTTCGTTGGAAACGGGATTTCTTCATCTAAACCTACAGAGAAGAATTCTCAGTAACTTCTTCGGATGTGTGCATTCGACTCACAGAATGGAACATTCCCTTTGATAGAGCAGTTTTGAGACACCGTTTTTGTAGAATTCCCAAGTGGATATTTAGAGCACTTTGAAGTCTCTGCTAGAAAAGGAAACATCTTCATGTAAAAAGTAGATAGAATCGTTCTCAGAAAGTGCTTAGTGACGTGTGCGTTCAACTCACAGACTTTAACGTTTCTTTTGATAGAGCGTTTCTGAAACACCCTTCTTGTAGTAGCTGCAAGTGGATATTTGGACCTATTTGAGGCCTTCTTTGGAAACGGGATTTCTTCATGTAACTCTAGATTGAAGAATTTTCAGAAACTCCTTTGTGATGTGTGCATTCAATTCAAAGAGTGAAACCTCCCTTTTCACAGAGCAGTTTTGAAACACTGTTTTTGTAGGACTTCCAAGGGGATATTTATAGCGCATTGATCCTATAGCAGAAAAAGAAACATCTTCCTATAAAAACTAGACAGAATAATTCTCAGAATCTGCTTTGCGATGTGTGCGTTCAACCCACAGAGTAAAACTTTTCTTTTGATAGAGCAGTTTTGAAACACTCTTTTTGTAGTATTTGCATGTGTATATTTAGAGCGCATTGAAGCCCACAGTAGAAAAGGAAATAACTTCACCTAAAACCTAGACAGAAGCAATCTCAGAAACTACTTTGTGATGTGTACATTCAACTCACAGAGTGGAACTTTCCTCTTTATAGAGCAGTGTTGAAACACTCTTTTTGTAGAAACTGCAAGTGGATATTTGGACCTCTTTGAGGCCTTCGTTGGAAACGGGATTTCTTCCTATAACCCTAGACAGAAGAATTTTCAGAAACCTCATTGTGATGTGTGCGTTCATCTCACAGAGTGGAGTCTTCCGTTTGATAGAGAAGTTTTGAAACCCTGTTCTTGTAGGATTTCCAAGTGGATATTTAGACCACTTTGAAGCCTATGATAGAAAAGGAAACATCTTCATGGAAAACATAGATAGAATCATTCTCAGAAACAACTTTGTGATGTGTGCGTTGAACTCACCGTCTTTAACCTTTCTTTTGGTAGAGAAGTTTTGAAACACTCTCTTTGTAAAGTCTACAAGTGGATATTTTGAGCCCTTGGAGGCATTCTTTGGAAAAGGGAATGTCTTCACATAAAAGGCAGACAGAAGTGTTCTCAGAAACTGCTTTGTGATGTCTGTGTTCAACTCACAGAGTTTAACATTTCCTTTGAGAGAGCGGTTTAGTAACACTCTCTTTGTAGAATTTGGAAGTGTATACTAAGAGCGCTTTGAGGCCTATGGTAGAAAAGGAAATATCTTTCCATAAAAGCTAGACAGAAGCAATCCCAGAAACTCCTTTGTGATGTCTGCATTCAACTCACCGAGTGGAACATTCCTCTTGATAGAGCAGTTTGGAAACACTCTTTCTGTAGAATCAGCTTGTTTGTATTTGGACCTCCTTGAGGCCTTCGTTGGAAACGGGTTTTCATCTTATAAACCCAGACAGAAGAATTCTCAGAGTCTTCTTTGTGATGTGTGCTTTCAACTCACCGAGATAAAGATTTCTCTTGATAGAGCAATTTGGAAACACTCTTTTTGTAGAATTTGCAAGGGTACATTGAGAGCGCTTTCAGGCCTATGGTAGAAAAGGGAATATCTTTCCATAAAAGGTAGACAGAAGCAATCTCAGAAACTACTTTGTGATGTGTGCATTCAACTCACCGAGTGCAACATTCCTCTTGACCGAGCAGTTTGGAAACATTGTTTCTGTAGAATCTGCAAGTGGATATTTGGACCTCTTTGAGGCCTTCGTTGGAAACGGGATTTCTTCCTATAAACCCAGACAGAAGAATTCTCAGAGACTTCTTTGTGATGTGTGAATTCAACTCACAGTGTGGATCCTTCCTTTTGATAGAGCAGTTTTGAAACACTGTTTTTGTAGTATTTCCAAGCGGATATTTGGAACGCCTTGAAGCGTATGGTAGAAAAGGAAATATCTTCCCATAAAACCTAGACAGAACCAATCTCAGAAACGACTTTGTGATGTCTGCATTCAACTCACAGAGTTGAACATTTCTCTTGATAGAGCAGTTTTGAAACCCTCTTTCTGAAGGATCTGCAAGTGGATATTTGGAACTCCTTTGGGTCTTCGTTGGAAACGGGATTTCTTCGTATAAATCTAGACAGAAGAATTCTCCGAAACTTCTTTGGTTGTGTGCATTCAAGTCACAGAGTGGAACCTTCCTTTGGATAGAGCAGTTTGAAATGCTGTGGTTGTAGTATTTCCAAGCGGATATTAGAGCGCCTTGAGGCCTATGGTAGAAAAGGAAATATCTTCCCATAAAACCTAGACGGAAGCAATCTCAGAAACTACTGTGTGATGGCTGCATTCCACACACACGGTGGAACATTTCTCTTGATAGAGCAGTTTTGAAACACTCTTTCTGTAGAATCTGCAAGTGGATAATTGGACCGCCTTGAGGCCTTCGTTGGAAACGGGATTTCTTCATGTTACTCTAGACAGAAGAATTCTCAAACACTGCTATATGATGTTTGCATGCAAGTCACAGAGTGCAACATTCCTCTTGATAGAGCAGTTGGGAAACACTCCTTTTGTAGAATTTGCAATGGGATATTTGGACTTCTTTGAGGCCTTCGTTGGAAACGGGATTTCTTCGTATGAATCTAGACAGAAGAATTCTCAGAAACTTCCCTTGTGATGTGTGCATTCAACTCAGCGAGTGGCACCTTCCCTTTGGATACAGCAGTTTTGAAACACTGTTTTTGTAGTATTTCCAAGCGGATATTTAGAGCGCCTTGAAGCCTATGCTAGAAATGGAAATATCTCCCCATAAAACCAAGACAGAAGCAATCTCAGAAACTAATGTGTGATGGCTGCATTCCACACACACGGTGGACCATTTCTCTTGATAGAGCAGTTTTGAAACACTCTTTCTGTAGAATCTGCAAGTGGATAATTGGACCTCCTAGAGGCCTTCGTTGGAAACGGGATTTCTTCACCTAAACCTACAGAGAAGAATTCTCAGTAACTTCTTCGGATGTGTGCATTCGACTCACAGAATGGAACATTCCGTTTGATAGAGCAGTTTTGAGACACCGTTTTTGTAGAATTCCCAAGTGGATATTTAGAGCACTTTGAAGTCTCTGCTAGAAAAGGAAACATCTTCATGTAAAAAGTAGATAGAATCGTTCTCAGAAAGTGCTTAGTGACGTGTGTGTTCAACTCACAGAGTTTAACGTCTCTTTTGATAGAGCGTTTCTGAAACACCCTTCTTGTAGTAGCTGCAAGTGGATATTTGGACCTATTTGAGGCCTTCTTTGGAAACGGGATTTCTTCATGTAACTCTAGATTGAAGAATTTTCAGAAACTCCTTTGTGATGTGTGCATTCAATTCAAAGAGTGAAACCTCCCTTTTCACAGAGCAGTTTTGAAACACTGTTTTTGTAGGATTTCCAAGGGGATATTTATAGCGCATTGAGCCTACGGCAGAAAAAGAAACATCTTCCTATAAAAACTAGACAGAATAATTCTCAGAATCTGCTTTGCGATGTGTGCGTTCAACCCACAGAGTAAAACTTTTCTTTTGATAGAGCAGTTTTGAAACACTCTTTTTGTAGTATTTGCATGTGTATATTTAGAGCGCATTGAAGCCCACAGTAGAAAAGGAAATAACTTCACCTAAAACCTAGACAGAAGCAATCTCAGAAACTACTTTGTGATGTGTACATTCAACTCACAGAGTGGAACTTTCCTCTTTATAGAGCAGTGTTGAAACACTCTTTTTGTAGAAACTGCAAGTGGATATTTGGACCTCTTTGAGGCCTTCGTTGGAAACGGGATTTCTTCCTATAACCCTAGACAGAAGAATTTTCAGAAACCTCATTGTGATGTGTGCGTTCATCTCACAGAGTGGAGTGTTCCGTTTGATAGAGAAGTTTTGAAACCCTGTTCTTGTAGGATTTCCAAGTGGATATTTAGACCACTTTGAAGCCTATGATAGAAAAGGAAACATCTTCATGGAAAACATAGATAGAATCATTCTCAGAAACAACTTTGTGATGTGTGCGTTGAACTCACCGTCTTTAACCTTTCTTTTGGTAGAGAAGTTTTGAAACACTCTCTTTGTAAAGTCTACAAGTGGATATTTTGAGCCCTTGGAGGCATTCTTTGGAAAAGGGAATGTCTTCACATAAAAGGCAGACAGAAGTGTTCTCAGAAACTGCTTTGTGATGTCTGTGTTCAACTCACAGAGTTTAACATTTCCTTTGAGAGAGCGGTTTAGTAACACTCTCTTTGTAGAATTTGGAAGTGTATACTAAGAGCGCTTTGAGGCCTATGGTAGAAAAGGAAATATCTTTCCATAAAAGCTAGACAGAAGCAATCTCAGAAACTCCTTTGTGATGTCTGCATTCAACTCACCGAGTGGAACATTCCTCTTGATAGAGCAGTTTGGAAACACTCTTTCTGTAGAATCAGCTTGTTTGTATTTGGACCTCCTTGAGGCCTTCGTTGGAAACGGGTTTTCATCTTATAAACCCAGACAGAAGAATTCTCAGAGTCTTCTTTGTGATGTGTGCTTTCAACTCACCGAGATAAAGATTTCTCTTGATAGAGCAATTTGGAAACACTCTTTTTGTAGAATTTGCAAGGGTACATTGAGAGCGCTTTCAGGCCTATGGTAGAAAAGGGAATATCTTTCCATAAAAGGTAGACAGAAGCAATCTCAGAAACTACTTTGTGATGTGTGCATTCAACTCACCGAGTGCAACATTCCTCTTGATAGAGCAGTTTGGAAACATTGTTTCTGTAGAATCTGCAAGTGGATATATGGACCGCTTTGAGGCCTTCGTTGGAAACGGGATTTCTTCCTATAAACCCAGACAGAAGAATTCTCAGAGATTTCTTTGTGATGTGTGAATTCAACTCACAGTGTGGATCCTTCCTTTTGATAGAGCAGTTTTGAAACACCGTTTTTGTAGTATTTCCAAGCGGATATTTGGAACGCCTTGAAGCGTATGGTAGAAAAGGAAATATCTTCCCATAAAACCTAGACAGAACCCATCTCAGAAACGACTTTGTGATGTCTGCATTCAACTCACAGAGTTGAACATTTCTCTTGATAGAGCAGTTTTGAAACCCTCTTTCTGTAGGATCTGCAAGTGGATATTTGGAACTCCTTTGGGTCTTCGTTGGAAACGGGATTTCTTCGTATAAATCCAGACAGAAGAATTCTCCGAAACTTCTTTGGTTGTGTGCATTCAAGTCACAGAGTGGAACCTTCCTTTGGATAGAGCAGTTTGAAACACTGTGGTTGTAGTATTTCCAAGCGGATATTAGAGCGCCTTGAGGCCTATGGTAGAAAAGGAAATATCTTCCCATAAAACCTAGACGGAAGCAATCTCAGAAACTACTGTGTGATGGCTGCATTCCACACACACGGTGGAACATTTCTCTTGATAGAGCAGTTTTGAAACACTCTTTCTGTAGAATCTGCAAGTGGATAATTGGACCGCCTTGAGGCCTTCGTTGGAAACGGGATTTCTTCATGTTACTCTAGACAGAAGAATTCTCAAACACTGCTATGTGATGTTTGTATTCAAGTCACAGAGTGCAACATTCCTCTTGATAGAGCAGTTGGGAAACACTCCTTTTGTAGAATTTGCAATGGGATATTTGGACTTCTTTGAGGCCTTCGTTGGAAACGGGATTTCTTCGTATGAATCTAGACAGAAGTATTCTCAGAAACTTCCTTGTGATGTGTGCATTCAACTCAGCGAGTGGCACCTTCCTTTGGATACAGCAGTTTTGAAACACTGTTTTTGTAGTATTTCCAAGCGGATATTTAGAGCGCCTTGAAGCCTATGCTAGAAATGGAAATATCTCCCCATAAAACCAAGACAGAAGCAATCTCAGAAACTAATGTGTGATGGCTGCATTCCACACACACGGTGGACCATTTCTCTTGATAGAGCAGTTTTGAAACACTCTTTCTGTAGAATCTGCAAGTGGATAATTGGACCTCCTAGAGGCCTTCGTTGGAAACGGGATTTCTTCATCTAAACCTACAGAGAAGAATTCTCAGTAACTTCTTCGGATGTGTGCATTCGACTCACAGAATGGAACATTCCCTTTGATAGAGCAGTTTTGAGACACCGTTTTTGTAGAATTCCCAAGTGGATATTTAGAGCACTTTGAAGTCTCTGCTAGAAAAGGAAACATCTTCATGTAAAAAGTAGATAGAATCGTTCTCAGAAAGTGCTTAGTGACGTGTGTGTTCAACTCACAGAGTTTAACGTTTCTTTTGATAGAGCGTTTCTGAAACACCCTTCTTGTAGTAGCTGCAAGTGGATATTTGGACCTATTTGAGGCCTTCTTTGGAAACGGGATTTCTTCATGTAACTCTAGATTGAAGAATTTTCAGAAACTCCTTTGTGATGTGTGCATTCAATTCAAAGAGTGAAACCTCCCTTTTCACAGAGCAGTTTTGAAACACTGTTTTTGTAGGATTTCCAAGGGGATATTTATAGCGCATTGATCCTATGGCAGAAAAAGAAACATCTTCCTATAAAAACTAGACAGAATAATTCTCAGAATCTGCTTTGCGATGTGTGCGTTCAACTCACAGAGTAAAACTTTTCTTTTGATAGAGCAGTTTTGAAACACTCTTTTTGTAGTATTTGCATGTGTATATTTAGAGCGCATTGAAGCCCACAGTAGAAAAGGAAATAACTTCACCTAAAACCTAGACAGAAGCAATCTCAGAAACTACTTTGTGATGTGTACATTCAACTCACAGAGTGGAACTTTCCTCTTTATAGAGCAGTGTTGAAACACTCTTTTTGTAGAAACTGCAAGTGGATATTTGGACCTCTTTGAGGCCTTCGTTGGAAACGGGATTTCTTCCTATAACCCTAGACAGAAGAATTTTCAGAAACCTCATTGTGATGTGTGCGTTCATCTCACAGAGTGGAGTCTTCCGTTTGATAGAGAAGTTTTGAAACCCTGTTCTTGTAGGATTTCCAAGTGGATATTTAGACCACTTTGAAGCCTATGATAGAAAAGGAAACATCTTCATGGAAAACATAGATAGAATCATTCTCAGAAACAACTTTGTGATGTGTGCGTTGAACTCACCGTCTTTAACCTTTCTTTTGGTAGAGAAGTTTTGAAACACTCTCTTTGTAAAGTCTACAAGTGGATATTTTGAGCCCTTGGAGGCATTCTTTGGAAAAGGGAATGTCTTCACATAAAAGGCAGACAGAAGTGTTCTCAGAAACTGCTTTGTGATGTCTGTGTTCAACTCACAGAGTTTAACATTTCCTTTGAGAGAGCGGTTTAGTAACACTCTCTTTGTAGAATTTGGAAGTGTATACTAAGAGCGCTTTGAGGCCTATGGTAGAAAAGGAAATATCTTTCCATAAAAGCTAGACAGAAGCAATCTCAGAAACTCCTTTGTGATGTCTGCATTCAACTCACCGAGTGGAACATTCCTCTTGATAGAGCAGTTTGGAAACACTCTTTCTGTAGAATCAGCTTGTTTGTATTTGGACCTCCTTGAGGCCTTCGTTGGAAACGGGTTTTCATCTTATAAACCCAGACAGAAGAATTCTCAGAGTCTTCTTTGTGATGTGTGCTTTCAACTCACCGAGATAAAGATTTCTCTTGATAGAGCAATTTGGAAACACTCTTTTTGTAGAATTTGCAAGGGTACATTGAGAGCGCTTTCAGGCCTATGGTAGAAAAGGGAATATCTTTCCATAAAAGGTAGACAGAAGCAATCTCAGAAACTACTTTGTGATGTGTGCATTCAACTCACCGAGTGCAACATTCCTCTTGACCGAGCAGTTTGGAAACATTGTTTCTGTAGAATCTGCAAGTGGATATTTGGACCTCTTTGAGGCCTTCGTTGGAAACGGGATTTCTTCCTATAAACCCAGACAGAAGAATTCTCAGAGACTTCTTTGTGATGTGTGAATTCAACTCACAGTGTGGATCCTTCCTTTTGATAGAGCAGTTTTGAAACACTGTTTTTGTAGTATTTCCAAGCGGATATTTGGAACGCCTTGAAGCGTATGGTAGAAAAGGAAATATCTTCCCATAAAACCTAGACAGAACCAATCTCAGAAACGACTTTGTGATGTCTGCATTCAACTCACAGAGTTGAACATTTCTCTTGATAGAGCAGTTTTGAAACCCTCTTTCTGAAGGATCTGCAAGTGGATATTTGGAACTCCTTTGGGTCTTCGTTGGAAACGGGATTTCTTCGTATAAATCTAGACAGAAGAATTCTCCGAAACTTCTTTGGTTGTGTGCATTCAAGTCACAGAGTGGAACCTTCCTTTGGATAGAGCAGTTTGAAACGCTGTGGTTGTAGTATTTCCAAGCGGATATTAGAGCGCCTTGAGGCCTATGGTAGAAAAGGAAATATCTTCCCATAAAACCTAGACGGAAGCAATCTCAGAAACTACTGTGTGATGGCTGCATTCCACACACACGGTGGAACATTTCTCTTGATAGAGCAGTTTTGAAACACTCTTTCTGTAGAATCTGCAAGTGGATAATTGGACCGCCTTGAGGCCTTCGTTGGAAACGGGATTTCTTCATGTTACTCTAGACAGAAGAATTCTCAAACACTGCTATGTGATGTTTGCATTCAAGTCACAGAGTGCAACATTCCTCTTGATAGAGCAGTTGGGAAACACTCCTTTTGTAGAATTTGCAATGGGATATTTGGACTTCTTTGAGGCCTTCGTTGGAAACGGGATTTCTTCGTATGAATCTAGACAGAAGAATTCTCAGAAACTTCCTTGTGATGTGTGCATTCAACTCAGCGAGTGGCACCTTCCTTTGGATACAGCAGTTTTGAAACACTGTTTTTGTAGTATTTCCAAGCGGATATTTAGAGCGCCTTGAAGCCTATGCTAGAAATGGAAATATCTCCCCATAAAACCAAGACAGAAGCAATCTCAGAAACTAATGTGTGATGGCTGCATTCCACACACACGGTGGACCATTTCTCTTGATAGAGCAGTTTTGAAACACTCTTTCTGTAGAATCTGCAAGTGGATAATTGGACCTCCTAGAGGCCTTCGTTGGAAACGGGATTTCTTCATATAAACCTACAGAGAAGAATTCTCAGTAACTTCTTCGGGATGTGTGCATTCGACTCACAGAATGGAACATTCCGTTTGATAGAGCAGTTTTGAGACACCGTTTTTGTAGAATTCCCAAGTGGATATTTAGAGCACTTTGAAGTCTCTGCTAGAAAAGGAAACATCTTCATGTAAAAAGTAGATAGAATCGTTCTCAGAAAGTGCTTAGTGACGTGTGCGTTCAACTCACAGAGTTTAACGTTTCTTTTGATAGAGCGTTTCTGAAACACCCTTCTTGTAGTAGCTGCAAGTGGATATTTGGACCTATTTGAGGCCTTCTTTGGAAACGGGATTTCTTCATGTAACTCTAGTTTGAAGAATTTTCAGAAACTCCTTTGTGATGTGTGCATTCAATTCAAAGAGTGAAACCTCCCTTTTCACAGAGCAGTTTTGAAACACTGTTTTTGTAGGATTTCCAAGGGGATATTTATAGCGCATTGAGCCTATGGCAGAAAAAGAAACATCTTCCTATAAAAACCAGACAGAATAATTCTCAGAATCTGCTTTGCGATGTGTGCGTTCAACCCACAGAGTAAAACTTTTCTTTTGATAGAGCAGTTTTGAAACACTCTTTTTGTAGTATTTGCATGTGTATATTTAGAGCGCATTGAAGCCCACAGTAGAAAAGGAAATAACTTCACCTAAAACCTAGACAGAAGCAATCTCAGAAACTACTTTGTGATGTGTACATTCAACTCACAGAGTGGAACTTTCCTCTTTATAGAGCAGTGTTGAAACACTCTTTTTGTAGAAACTGCAAGTGGATATTTGGACCTCTTTGAGGCCTTCGTTGGAAACGGGATTTCTTCCTATAACCCTAGACAGAAGAATTTTCAGAAACCTCATTGTGATGTGTGCGTTCATCTCACAGAGTGGAGTCTTCCGTTTGATAGAGAAGTTTTGAAACCCTGTTCTTGTAGGATTTCCAAGTGGATATTTAGACCACTTTGAAGCCTATGATAGAAAAGGAAACATCTTCATGGAAAACATAGATAGAATCATTCTCAGAAACAACTTTGTGATGTGTGCGTTGAACTCACCGTCTTTAACCTTTCTTTTGGTAGAGAAGTTTTGAAACACTCTCTTTGTAAAGTCTACAAGTGGATATTTTGAGCCCTTGGAGGCATTCTTTGGAAAAGGGAATGTCTTCACATAAAAGGCAGACAGAAGTGTTCTCAGAAACTGCTTTGTGATGTCTGTGTTCAACTCACAGAGTTTAACATTTCCTTTGAGAGAGCGGTTTAGTAACACTCTCTTTGTAGAATTTGGAAGTGTATACTAAGAGCGCTTTGAGGCCTATGGTAGAAAAGGAAATATCTTTCCATAAAAGCTAGACAGAAGCAATCTCAGAAACTCCTTTGTGATGTCTGCATTCAACTCACCGAGTGGAACATTCCTCTTGATAGAGCAGTTTGGAAACACTCTTTCTGTAGAATCAGCTTGTTTGTATTTGGACCTCCTTGAGGCCTTCGTTGGAAACGGGTTTTCATCTTATAAACCCAGACAGAAGAATTCTCAGAGTCTTCTTTGTGATGTGTGCTTTCAACTCACCGAGATAAAGATTTCTCTTGATAGAGCAATTTGGAAACACTCTTTTTGTAGAATTTGCAAGGGTACATTGAGAGCGCTTTCAGGCCTATGGTAGAAAAGGGAATATCTTTCCATAAAAGGTAGACAGAAGCAATCTCAGAAACTACTTTGTGATGTGTGCATTCAACTCACCGAGTGCAACATTCCTCTTGACCGAGCAGTTTGGAAACATTGTTTCTGTAGAATCTGCAAGTGGATATATGGACCGCTTTGAGGCCTTCGTTGGGAACGGGATTTCTTCCTATAAACCCAGACAGAAGAATTCTCAGAGATTTCTTTGTGATGTGTGAATTCAACTCACAGTGTGGATCCTTCCTTTTGATAGAGCAGTTTTGAAACACTGTTTTTGTAGTATTTCCAAGCGGATATTTGGAACGCCTTGAAGCGTATGGTAGAAAAGGAAATATCTTCCCATAAAACCTAGACAGAACCCATCTCAGAAACGACTTTGTGATGTCTGCATTCAACTCACAGAGTTGAACATTTCTCTTGATAGAGCAGTTTTGAAACCCTCTTTCTGAAGGATCTGCAAGTGGATATTTGGAACTCCTTTGGGTCTTCGTTGGAAACGGGATTTCTTCGTATAAATCCAGACAGAAGAATTCTCCGAAACTTCTTTGGTTGTGTGCATTCAAGTCACAGAGTGGAACCTTCCTTTGGATAGAGCAGTTTGAAACGCTGTGGTTGTAGTATTTTCAAGCGGATATTAGAGCGCCTTGAAGCCTATGGTAGAAAAGGAAATATCTTCCCATAAAACCTAGACGGAAGCAATCTCAGAAACTACTGTGTGATGGCTGCATTCCACACACACGGTGGAACATTTCTCTTGATAGAGCAGTTTTGAAACACTCTTTCTGTAGAATCTGCAAGTGGATAATTGGACCGCCTTGAGGCCTTCGTTGGAAACGGGATTTCTTCATGTTACTCTAGACAGAAGAATTCTCAAACACTGCTATGTGATGTTTGCATTCAAGTCACAGAGTGCAACATTCCTCTTGATAGAGCAGTTGGGAAACACTCCTTTTGTAGAATTTGCAATGGGATATTTGGACTTCTTTGAGGCCTTCGTTGGAAACGGGATTTCTTCGTATGAATCTAGACAGAAGAATTCTCAGAAACTTCCTTGTGATGTGTGCATTCAACTCAGCGAGTGGCACCTTCCTTTGGATACAGCAGTTTTGAAACACTGTTTTTGTAGTATTTCCAAGCGGATATTTAGAGCGCCTTGAAGCCTATGCTAGAAATGGAAATATCTCCCCATAAAACCAAGACAGAAGCAATCTCAGGAAACTAATGTGTGATGGCTGCATTCCACACACACGGTGGACCATTTCTCTTGATAGAGCAGTTTTGAAACACTCTTTCTGTAGAATCTGCAAGTGGATAATTGGACCTCCTAGAGGCCTTCGTTGGAAACGGGATTTCTTCATCTAAACCTACAGAGAAGAATTCTCAGTAACTTCTTCGGATGTGTGCATTCGACTCACAGAATGGAACATTCCCTTTGATAGAGCAGTTTTGAGACACCGTTTTTGTAGAATTCCCAAGTGGATATTTAGAGCACTTTGAAGTCTCTGCTAGAAAAGGAAACATCTTCATGTAAAAAGTAGATAGAATCGTTCTCAGAAAGTGCTTAGTGACGTGTGTGTTCAACTCACAGAGTTTAACGTTTCTTTTGATAGAGCGTTTCTGAAACACCCTTCTTGTAGTAGCTGCAAGTGGATATTTGGACCTATTTGAGGCCTTCTTTGGAAACGGGATTTCTTCATGTAACTCTAGTTTGAAGAATTTTCAGAAACTCCTTTGTGAAGTGTGCATTCAATTCAAAGAGTGAAACGTCCCTTTTCACAGAGCAGTTTTGAAACACTGTTTTTGTAGGATTTCCAAGGGGATATTTATAGCGCATTGAGCCTATGGCAGAAAAAGAAACATCTTCCTATAAAAACTAGACAGAATAATTCTCAGAATCTGCTTTGCGATGTGTGCGTTCAACTCACAGAGTAAAACTTTTCTTTTGATAGAGCAGTTTTGAAACACTCTTTTTGTAGTATTTGCATGTGTATATTTAGAGCGCATTGAAGCCCACAGTAGAAAAGGAAATAACTTCACCTAAAACCTAGACAGAAGCAATCTCAGAAACTATTTTGTGATGTGTACATTCAACTCACAGAGTGGAACTTTCCTCTTTATAGAGCAGTGTTGAAACACTCTTTTTGTAGAAACTGCAAGTGGATATTTGGACCTTCTTTGAGGCCTTCGTTGGAAACGGGATTTCTTCCTATAACCCTAGACAGAAGAATTTTCAGAAACCTCATTGTGATGTGTGCGTTCATCTCACAGAGTGGAGTCTTCCGTTTGATAGAGAAGTTTTGAAACCCTGTTCTTGTAGGATTTCCAAGTGGATATTTAGACCACTTTGAAGCCTATGATAGAAAAGGAAACATCTTCATGGAAAACATAGATAGAATCATTCTCAGAAACAACTTTGTGATGTGTGCGTTGAACTCACCGTCTTTAACCTTTCTTTTGGTAGAGAAGTTTTGAAACACTCTCTTTGTAAAGTCTACAAGTGGATATTTTGAGCCCTTGGAGGCATTCTTTGGAAAAGGGAATGTCTTCACATAAAAGGCAGACAGAAGTGTTCTCAGAAACTGCTTTGTGATGTCTGTGTTCAACTCACAGAGTTTAACATTTCCTTTGAGAGAGCGGTTTAGTAACACTCTCTTTGTAGAATTTGGAAGTGTATACTAAGAGCGCTTTGAGGCCTATGGTAGAAAAGGAAATATCTTTCCATAAAAGCTAGACAGAAGCAATCTCAGAAACTCCTTTGTGATGTCTGCATTCAACTCACCGAGTGGAACATTCCTCTTGATAGAGCAGTTTGGAAACACTCTTTCTGTAGAATCAGCTTGTTTGTATTTGGACCTCCTTGAGGCCTTCGTTGGAAACGGGTTTTCATCTTATAAACCCAGACAGAAGAATTCTCAGAGTCTTCTTTGTGATGTGTGCTTTCAACTCACCGAGATAAAGATTTCTCTTGATAGAGCAATTTGGAAACACTCTTTTTGTAGAATTTGCAAGGGTACATTGAGAGCGCTTTCAGGCCTATGGTAGAAAAGGGAATATCTTTCCATAAAAGGTAGACAGAAGCAATCTCAGAAACTACTTTGTGATGTGTGCATTCAACTCACCGAGTGCAACATTCCTCTTGATAGAGCAGTTTGGAAACATTGTTTCTGTAGAATCTGCAAGTGGATATATGGACCGCTTTGAGGCCTTCGTTGGAAACGGGATTTCTTCCTATAAACCAAACAGAAGAATTCTCAGAGATTTCTTTGTGATGTGTGAATTCAACTCACAGTGTGGATCCTTCCTTTTGATAGAGCAGTTTTGAAACACCGTTTTTGTAGTATTTCCAAGCGGATATTTGGAACGCCTTGAAGCGTATGGTAGAAAAGGAAATATCTTCCCATAAAACCTAGACAGAACCCATCTCAGAAACGACTTTGTGATGTCTGCATTCAACTCACAGAGTTGAACATTTCTCTTGATAGAGCAGTTTTGAAACCCTCTTTCTGAAGGATCTGCAAGTGGATATTTGGAACTCCTTTGGGTCTTCGTTGGAAACGGGATTTCTTCGTATAAATCCAGACAGAAGAATTCTCCGAAACTTCTTTGGTTGTGTGCATTCAAGTCACAGAGTGGAACCTTCCTTTGGATAGAGCAGTTTGAAACGCTGTGGTTGTAGTATTTCCAAGCGGATATTAGAGCGCCTTGAGGCCTATGGTAGAAAAGGAAATATCTTCCCATAAAACCTAGACGGAAGCAATCTCAGAAACTACTGTGTGATGGCTGCATTCCACACACACGGTGGAACATTTCTCTTGATAGAGCAGTTTTGAAACACTCTTTCTGTAGAATCTGCAAGTGGATAATTGGACCTCCTAGAGGCCTTCGTTGGAAACGGGATTTCTTCATCTAAACCTACAGAGAAGAATTCTCAGTAACTTCTTCGGATGTGTGCATTCGACTCACAGAATGGAACATTCCGTTTGATAGAGCAGTTTTGAGACACCGTTTTTGTAGAATTCCCAAGTGGATATTTAGAGCACTTTGAAGTCTCTGCTAGAAAAGGAAACATCTTCATGTAAAAAGTAGATAGAATCGTTCTCAGAAAGTGCTTAGTGACGTGTGTGTTCAACTCACAGAGTTTAACGTTTCTTTTGATAGAGCGTTTCTGAAACACCCTTCTTGTAGTAGCTGCAAGTGGATATTTGGACCTATTTGAGGCCTTCTTTGGAAACGGGATTTCTTCATGTAACTCTAGTTTGAAGAATTTTCAGAAACTCCTTTGTGATGTGTGCATTCAATTCAAAGAGTGAAACCTCCCTTTTCACAGAGCAGTTTTGAAACACTGTTTTTGTGGGATTTCCAAGGGGATATTTATAGCACATTGAGCCTACGGCAGAAAAAGAAACATCTTCCTATGAAAACTAGACAGAATAATTCTCAGAATCTGCTTTGCGATGTGTGCGTTCAACCCACAGAGTAAAACTTTTGTTTTGATAGAGCAGCTTTGAAACACTCTTTTTGTAGTATTTGCATGTGTATATTTAGAGCGCATTGAAGCCCACAGTAGAAAAGGTAATAACTTCACCTAAAACCTAGACAGAAAGCAATCTCAGCAAACTACTTTGTGATGTGTACATTCAACTCACAGAGTGGAACTTTCCTCTTTATAGAGCAGTGTTGAAACACTCTTTTTGTAGAAACTGCAAGTGGATATTTGGACCTCTTTGAGGCCTTCGTTGGAAACGGGATTTCTTCCTATAACCCTAGACAGAAGAATTTTCAGAAACCTCATTGTGATGTGTGCGTTCATCTCACAGAGTGGAGTCTTCCGTTTGATAGAGAAGTTTTGAAACCCTGTTCTTGTAGGATTTCCAAGTGGATATTTAGACCACTTTGAAGCCTATGATAGAAAAGGAAACATCTTCATGGAAAACATAGATAGAATCATTCTCAGAAACAACTTTGTGATGTGTGCGTTGAACTCACCGTCTTTAACCTTTCTTTTGGTAGAGAAGTTTTGAAACACTCTCTTTGTAAAGTCTACAAGTGGATATTTTGAGCCCTTGGAGGCATTCTTTGGAAAAGGGAATGTCTTCACATAAAAGGCAGACAGAAGTGTTCTCAGAAACTGCTTTGTGATGTCTGTGTTCAACTCACAGAGTTTAACATTTCCTTTGAGAGAGCGGTTTAGTAACACTCTCTTTGTAGAATTTGGAAGTGTATACTAAGAGCGCTTTGAGGCCTATGGTAGAAAAGGAAATATCTTTCCATAAAAGCTAGACAGAAGCAATCTCAGAAACTCCTTTGTGATGTCTGCATTCAACTCACCGAGTGGAACATTCCTCTTGATAGAGCAGTTTGGAAACACTCTTTCTGTAGAATCAGCTTGTTTGTATTTGGACCTCCTTGAGGCCTTCGTTGGAAACGGGTTTTCATCTTATAAACCCAGACAGAAGAATTCTCAGAGTCTTCTTTGTGATGTGTGCTTTCAACTCACCGAGATAAAGATTTCTCTTGATAGAGCAATTTGGAAACACTCTTTTTGTAGAATTTGCAAGGGTACATTGAGAGCGCTTTCAGGCCTATGGTAGAAAAGGGAATATCTTTCCATAAAAGGTAGACAGAAGCAATCTCAGAAACTACTTTGTGATGTGTGCATTCAACTCACCGAGTGCAACATTCCTCTTGATAGAGCAGTTTGGAAACATTGTTTCTGTAGAATCTGCAAGTGGATATATGGACCGCTTTGAGGCCTTCGTTGGAAACGGGATTTCTTCCTATAAACCCAGACAGAAGAATTCTCAGAGATTTCTTTGTGATGTGTGAATTCAACTCACAGTGTGGATCCCTTCCTTTTGATAGAGCAGTTTTGAAACACTGTTTTTGTAGTATTTCCAAGCGGATATTTGGAACGCCTTGAAGCGTATGGTAGAAAAGGAAATATCTTCCCATAAAACCTAGACAGAACCAATCTCAGAAACGACTTTGTGATGTCTGCATTCAACTCACAGAGTTGAACATTTCTCTTGATAGAGCAGTTTTGAAACCCTCTTTCTGAAGGATCTGCAAGTGGATATTTGGAACTCCTTTGGGTCTTCGTTGGAAACGGGATTTCTTCGTATAAATCTAGACAGAAGAATTCTCCGAAACTTCTTTGGTTGTGTGCATTCAAGTCACAGAGTGGAACCTTCCTTTGGATAGAGCAGTTTGAAACGCTGTGGTTGTAGTATTTCCAAGCGGATATTAGAGCGCCTTGAGGCCTATGGTAGAAAAGGAAATATCTTCCCATAAAACCTAGACGGAAGCAATCTCAGAAACTACTGTGTGATGGCTGCATTCCACACACACGGTGGAACATTTCTCTTGATAGAGCAGTTTTGAAACACTCTTTCTGTAGAATCTGCAAGTGGATAATTGGACCGCCTTGAGGCCTTCGTTGGAAACGGGATTTCTTCATGTTACTCTAGACAGAAGAATTCTCAAACACTGCTGTGTGATGTTTGCATGCAAGTCACAGAGTGCAACATTCCTCTTGATAGAGCAGTTGGGAAACACTCCTTTTGTAGAATTTGCAATGGGATATTTGGACTTCTTTGAGGCCTTCGTTGGAAACGGGATTTCTTCGTATGAATCTAGACAGAAGAATTCTCAGAAACTTCCTTGTGATGTGTGCATTCAACTCAGCGAGTGGCACCTTCCTTTGGATACAGCAGTTTTGAAACACTGTTTTTGTAGTATTTCCAAGCGGATATTTAGAGCGCCTTGAAGCCTATGCTAGAAATGGAAATATCTCCCCATAAAACCAAGACAGAAGCAATCTCAGAAACTAATGTGTGATGGCTGCATTCCACACACACGGTGGACCATTTCTCTTGATAGAGCAGTTTTGAAACACTCTTTCTGTAGAATCTGCAAGTGGATAATTGGACCTCCTAGAGGCCTTCGTTGGAAACGGGATTTCTTCATCTAAACCTACAGAGAAGAATTCTCAGTAACTTCTTCGGATGTGTGCATTCGACTCACAGAATGGAACATTCCCTTTGATAGAGCAGTTTTGAGACACCGTTTTTGTAGAATTCCCAAGTGGATATTTAGAGCACTTTGAAGTCTCTGCTAGAAAAGGAAACATCTTCATGTAAAAAGTAGATAGAATCGTTCTCAGAAAGTGCTTAGTGACGTGTGCGTTCAACTCACAGAGTTTAACGTTTCTTTTGATAGAGCGTTTCTGAAACACCCTTCTTGTAGTAGCTGCAAGTGGATATTTGGACCTATTTGAGGCCTTCTTTGGAAACGGGATTTCTTCATGTAACTCTAGATTGAAGAATTTTCAGAAACTCCTTTGTGAAGTGTGCATTCAATTCAAAGAGTGAAACCTCCCTTTTCACAGAGCAGTTTTGAAACACTGTTTTTGTAGGATTTCCAAGGGGATATTTATAGCGCATTGATCCTATGGCAGAAAAAGAAACATCTTCCTATAAAAACTAGACAGAATAATTCTCAGAGTCTGCTTTGCAATGTGTGCATTCATCTCACAGAGTAAAACTTTTCTTTTGATAGAGCAGTTTTGAAACACTCTTTTTGTAGTATTTGCATGTGTATATTTAGAGCGCATTGAAGCACACAGTAGAAAAGGAAATAACTTCACCTAAAACCTAGACAGAAGCAATCTCAGAAACTATTTTGTGATGTGTACATTCAACTCACAGAGTGGAACTTTCCTCTTTATAGAGCAGTGTTGAAACACTCTTTTTGTAGAAACTGCAAGTGGATATTTGGACCTCTTTGAGGCCTTCGTTGGAAACGGGATTTCTTCCTATAACCCTAGACAGAAGAATTTTCAGAAACCTCATTGTGATGTGTGCGTTCATCTCACAGAGTGGAGTCTTCCGTTTGATAGAGAAGTTTTGAAACCCTGTTCTTGTAGGATTTCCAAGTGGATATTTAGACCACTTTGAAGCCTATGATAGAAAAGGAAACATCTTCATGGAAAACATAGATAGAATCATTCTCAGATACAACTTTGTGATGTGTGCGTTGAACTCACCGTCTTTAACCTTTCTTTTGGTAGAGAAGTTTTGAAACACTCTCTTTGTAAAGTCTACAAGTGGATATTTTGAGCCCTTGGAGGCATTCTTTGGAAAAGGGAATGTCTTCACATAAAAGGCAGACAGAAGTGTTCTCAGAAACTGCTTTGTGATGTCTGTGTTCAACTCACAGAGTTTAACATTTCCTTTGAGAGAGCGGTTTAGTAACACTCTCTTTGTAGAATTTGGAAGTGTATACTAAGAGCGCTTTGAGGCCTATGGTAGAAAAGGAAATATCTTTCCATAAAAGCTAGACAGAAGCAATCTCAGAAACTCCTTTGTGATGTCTGCATTCAACTCACCGAGTGGAACATTCCTCTTGATAGAGCAGTTTGGAAACACTCTTTCTGTAGAATCAGCTTGTTTGTATTTGGACCTCCTTGAGGCCTTCGTTGGAAACGGGTTTTCATCTTATAAACCCAGACAGAAGAATTCTCAGAGTCTTCTTTGTGATGTGTGCTTTCAACTCACCGAGATAAAGATTTCTCTTGATAGAGCAATTTGGAAACACTCTTTTTGTAGAATTTGCAAGGGTACATTGAGAGCGCTTTCAGGCCTATGGTAGAAAAGGGAATATCTTTCCATAAAAGGTAGACAGAAGCAATCTCAGAAACTACTTTGTGATGTGTGCATTCAACTCACCGAGTGCAACATTCCTCTTGATAGAGCAGTTTGGAAACATTGTTTCTGTAGAATCTGCAAGTGGATATATGGACCGCTTTGAGGCCTTCGTTGGAAACGGGATTTCTTCCTATAAACCCAGACAGAAGAATTCTCAGAGACTTCTTTGTGATGTGTGAATTCAACTCACAGTGTGGATCCTTCCTTTTGATAGAGCAGTTTTGAAACACCGTTTTTGTAGTATTTCCAAGCGGATATTTGGAACGCCTTGAAGCGTATGGTAGAAAAGGAAATATCTTCCCATAAAACCTAGACAGAACCAATCTCAGAAACGACTTTGTGATGTCTGCATTCAACTCACAGAGTTGAACATTTCTCTTGATAGAGCAGTTTTGAAACCCTCTTTCTGAAGGATCTGCAAGTGGATATTTGGAACTCCTTTGGGTCTTCGTTGGAAACGGGATTTCTTCGTATAAATCCAGACAGAAGAATTCTCTGAAACTTCTTTGGTTGTGTGCATTCAAGTCACAGAGTGGAACCTTCCTTTGGATAGAGCAGTTTGAAACGCTGTGGTTGTAGTATTTCCAAGCGGATATTAGAGCGCCTTGAGGCCTATGGTAGAAAAGGAAATATCTTCCCATAAAACCTAGACGGAAGCAATCTCAGAAACTACTGTGTGATGGCTGCATTCCACACACACGGTGGAACATTTCTCTTGATAGAGCAGTTTTGAAACACTCTTTCTGTAGAATCTGCAAGTGGATAATTGGACCGCCTTGAGGCCTTCGTTGGAAACGGGATTTCTTCATGTTACTCTAGACAGAAGAATTCTCAAACACTGCTATGTGATGTTTGCATTCAAGTCACAGAGTGCAACATTCCTCTTGATAGAGTAGTTGGGAAACACTCCTATTGTAGAATTTGCAATGGGATATTTGGACTTCTTTGAGGCCTTCGTTGGAAACGGGATTTCTTCGTATAAAACTAGACAGAAGAATTCTCAGAAACTTCCTTGTGATGTGTGCATTCAACTCAGCGAATGGCACCTTCCTTTGGATACAGCAGTTTTGAAACACTGTTTTTGTAGTATTTCCAAGCGGATATTTAGAGCGCCTTGAAGCCTACGCTAGAAATGGAAATATCTCCCCATAAAACCAAGACAGAAACAATCTCAGAAACTAATGTGTGATGGCTGCATTCCACACACACGGTGGACCATTTCTCTTGATAGAGCAGTTTTGAAACACTCTTTCTGTAGAATCTGCAAGTGGATAATTGGACCTCCTAGAGGCCCTTCGTTGGAAACGGGATTTCTTCATCTAAACCTACAGAGAAGAATTCTCAGTAACTTCTTCGGATGTGTGCATTCGACTCACAGAATGGAACATTCCCTTTGATAGAGCAGTTTTGAGACACCGTTTTTGTAGAATTCCCAAGTGGATATTTACAGCACTTTGAAGTCTCTGCTAGAAAAGGAAACATCTTCATGTAAAAAGTAGATAGAATCGTTCTCAGAAAGTGCTTAGTGACATGTGTGTTCAACTCACAGAGTTTAACGTTTCTTTTGATAGAGCGTTTCTGAAACACCCTGCTTGTAGTAGCTGCAAGTGGATATTTGGACCTATTTGAGGCCTTCTTTGGAAACGGGATTTCTTCATGTAACTCTAGATTGAAGAATTTTCAGAACCTCCTTTGTGATGTGTGCATTCAATTCAAAGAGTGAAACCTCCCTTTTCACAGAGCAGTTTTGAAACACTGTTTTTGTAGGATTTCCAAGGGGATATTTATAGCGCTTTTATCCTATGGCAGAAAAAGAAACATCTTCCTATAAAAACTAGACAGAATAATTCTCAGAATCTGCTTTGCGATGTGTGCGTTCAACCCACAGAGTAAAACTTTTCTTTTGATAGAGCAGTTTTGAAACACTCTTTTTGTAGTATTTGCATGTGTATATTTAGAGCGCATTGAAGCCCACAGTAGAAAAGGAAATAACTTCACCTAAAACCTAGACAGAAGCAATCTCAGAAACTACTTTGTGATGTGTACATTCAACTCACAGAGTGGAACTTTCCTCTTTATAGAGCAGTGTTGAAACACTCTTTTTGTGGAAACTGCAAGTGGATATTTGGACCTCTTTGAGGCCTTCGTTGGAAACGGGATTTCTTCCTATAACCCTAGACAGAAGAATTTTCAGAAACCTCATTGTGATGTGTGCGTTCATCTCACAGAGTGGAGTCTTCCGTTTGATAGAGAAGTTTTGAAACCCTGTTCTTGTAGGATTTCCAAGTGGATATTTAGACCACTTTGAAGCCTATGATAGAAAAGGAAACATCTTCATGGAAAACATAGATAGAATCATTCTCAGAAACAACTTTGTGATGTGTGCGTTGAACTCACCGTCTTTAACCTTTCTTTTGGTAGAGAAGTTTTGAAACACTCTCTTTGTAAAGTCTACAAGTGGATATTTTGAGCCCTTGGAGGCATTCTTTGGAAAAGGGAATGTCTTCACATAAAAGGCAGACAGAAGTGTTCTCAGAAACTGCTTTGTGATGTCTGTGTTCAACTCACAGAGTTTAACATTTCCTTTGAGAGAGCGGTTTAGTAACACTCTCTTTGTAGAATTTGGAAGTGTATACTAAGAGCGCTTTGAGGCCTATGGTAGAAAAGGAAATATCTTTCCATAAAAGCTAGACAGAAGCAATCTCAGAAACTCCTTTGTGATGTCTGCATTCAACTCACCGAGTGGAACATTCCTCTTGATAGAGCAGTTTGGAAACACTCTTTCTGTAGAATCAGCTTGTTTGTATTTGGACCTCCTTGAGGCCTTCGTTGGAAACGGGTTTTCATCTTATAAACCCAGACAGAAGAATTCTCAGAGTCTTCTTTGTGATGTGTGCTTTCAACTCACCGAGATAAAGATTTCTCTTGATAGAGCAATTTGGAAACACTCTTTTCGTAGAATTTGCAAGGGTACATTGAGAGCGCTTTCAGGCCTATGGTAGAAAAGGGAATATCTTTCCATCAAAGGTAGACAGAAGCAATCTCAGAAACTACTTTGTGATGTGTGCATTCAACTCACCGAGTGCAACATTCCTCTTGACCGAGCAGTTTGGAAACATTGTTTCTGTAGAATCTGCAAGTGGATATATGGACCGCTTTGAGGCCTTCGTTGGAAACGGGATTTCTTCCTATAAACCCAGACAGAAGAATTCTCAGAGATTTCTTTGTGATGTGTGAATTCAACTCACAGTGTGGATCCTTCCTTTTGATAGAGCAGTTTTGAAACACTGTTTTTGTACTATTTCCAAGCGGATATTTGGAAAGCCTTGAAGCGTATGGTAGAAAAGGAAATATCTTCCCATAAAACCTAGACAGAACCCATTCTCAGAAACGACTTTGTGATGTCTGCATTCAACTCACAGAGTTGAACATTTCTCTTGATAGAGCAGTTTTGAAACCCTCTTTCTGAAGGATCTGCAAGTGGATATTTGGAACTCCTTTGGGTCTTCGTTGGAAACGGGATTTCTTCGTATAAATCCAGACAGAAGAATTCTCCGAAACTTCTTTGGTTGTGTGCATTCAAGTCACAGAGTGGAACCTTCCTTTGGATAGAGCAGTTTGAAACGCTGTGGTTGTAGTATTTCCAAGCGGATATTAGAGCGCCTTGAGGCCTATGGTAGAAAAGGAAATATCTTCCCATAAAACCTAGACGGAAGCAATCTCAGAAACTACTGTGTGATGGCTGCATTCCACACACACGGTGGAACATTTCTCTTGATAGAGCAGTTTTGAAACACTCTTTCTGTAGAATCTGCAAGTGGATAATTGGACCGCCTTGAGGCCTTCGTTGGAAACGGGATTTCTTCATGTTACTCTAGACAGAAGAATTCTCAAACACTGCTGTGTGATGTTTGCATTCAAGTCACAGAGTGCAACATTCCTCTTGATAGAGCAGTTGGGAAACACTCCTTTTGTAGAATTTGCAATGGGATATTTGGACTTCTTTGAGGCCTTCGTTGGAAACGGGATTTCTTCGTATGAATCTAGACAGAAGAATTCTCAGAAACTTCCTTGTGATGTGTGCATTCAACTCAGCGAGTGGCACCTTCCTTTGGATACAGCAGTTTTGAAACACTGTTTTTGTAGTATTTCCAAGCGGATATTTAGAGCGCCTTGAAGCCTATGCTAGAAATGGAAATATCTCCCCATAAAACCAAGACAGAAGCAATCTCAGAAACTAATGTGTGATGGCTGCATTCCACACACACGGTGGACCATTTCTCTTGATAGAGCAGTTTTGAAACACTCTTTCTGTAGAATCTGCAAGTGGATAATTGGACCTCCTAGAGGCCTTCGTTGGAAACGGGATTTCTTCATCTAAACCTACAGAGAAGAATTCTCAGTAACTTCTTCGGATGTGTGCATTCGACTCACAGAATGGAACATTCCGTTTGATAGAGCAGTTTTGAGACACCGTTTTTGTAGAATTCCCAAGTGGATATTTAGAGCACTTTGAAGTCTCTGCTAGAAAAGGAAACATCTTCATGTAAAAAGTAGATAGAATCGTTCTCAGAAAGTGCTTAGTGACGTGTGTGTTCAACTCACAGAGTTTAACGTTTCTTTTGATAGAGCGTTTCTGAAACACCCTGCTTGTAGTAGCTGCAAGTGGATATTTGGACCTATTTGAGGCCTTCTTTGGAAACGGGATTTCTTCATGTAACTCTAGTTTGAAGAATTTTCAGAAACTCCTTTGTGATGTGTGCATTCAATTCAAAGAGTGAAACCTCCCTTTTCACAGAGCAGTTTTGAAACACTGTTTTTGTAGGATTTCCAAGGGGATATTTATAGCGCATTGAGCCTACGGCAGAAAAAGAAACATCTTCCTATAAAAACTAGACAGAATAATTCTCAGAATCTGCTTTGCGATGTGTGCGTTCAACCCACAGAGTAAAACTTTTCTTTTGATAGAGCAGTTTTGAAACACTCTTTTTGTAGTATTTGCATGTGTATATTTAGAGCGCATTGAAGCCCACAGTAGAAAAGGAAATAACTTCACCTAAAACCTAGACAGAAGCAATCTCAGAAACTACTTTGTGATGTGTACATTCAACTCACAGAGTGGAACTTTCCTCTTTATAGAGCAGTGTTGAAACACTCTTTTTGTAGAAACTGCAAGTGGATATTTGGACCTCTTTGAGGCCTTCGTTGGAAACGGGATTTCTTCCTATAACCCTAGACAGAAGAATTTTCAGAAACCTCATTGTGATGTGTGCGTTCATCTCACAGAGTGGAGTCTTCCGTTTGATAGAGAAGTTTTGAAACCCTGTTCTTGTAGGATTTCCAAGTGGATATTTAGACCACTTTGAAGCCTATGATAGAAAAGGAAACATCTTCATGGAAAACATAGATAGAATCATTCTCAGAAACAACTTTGTGATGTGTGCGTTGAACTCACCGTCTTTAACCTTTCTTTTGGTAGAGAAGTTTTGAAACACTCTCTTTGTAAAGTCTACAAGTGGATATTTTGAGCCCTTGGAGGCATTCTTTGGAAAAGGGAATGTCTTCACATAAAAGGCAGACAGAAGTGTTCTCAGAAACTGCTTTGTGATGTCTGTGTTCAACTCACAGAGTTTAACATTTCCTTTGAGAGAGCGGTTTAGTAACACTCTCTTTGTAGAATTTGGAAGTGTATACTAAGAGCGCTTTGAGGCCTATGGTAGAAAAGGAAATATCTTTCCATAAAAGCTAGACAGAAGCAATCTCAGAAACTCCTTTGTGATGTCTGCATTCAACTCACCGAGTGGAACATTCCTCTTGATAGAGCAGTTTGGAAACACTCTTTCTGTAGAATCAGCTTGTTTGTATTTGGACCTCCTTGAGGCCTTCGTTGGAAACGGGTTTTCATCTTATAAACCCAGACAGAAGAATTCTCAGAGTCTTCTTTGTGATGTGTGCTTTCAACTCACCGAGATAAAGATTTCTCTTGATAGAGCAATTTGGAAACACTCTTTTTGTAGAATTTGCAAGGGTACATTGAGAGCGCTTTCAGGCCTATGGTAGAAAAGGGAATATCTTTCCATAAAAGGTAGACAGAAGAAATCTCAGAAACTACTTTGTGATGTGTGCATTCAACTCACCGAGTGCAACATTCCTCTTGACCGAGCAGTTTGGAAACATTGTTTCTGTAGAATCTGCAAGTGGATATTTGGACCTCTTTGAGGCCTTCGTTGGAAACGGGATTTCTTCCTATAAACCCAGACAGAAGAATTCTCAGAGACTTCTTTGTGATGTGTGAATTCATCTCACAGTGTGGATCCTTCCTTTTGATAGAGCAGTTTTGAAACACCGTTTTTGTAGTATTTCCAAGCGGATATTTGGAACGCCTTGAAGCGTATGGTAGAAAAGGAAATATCTTCCCATAAAACCTAGACAGAACCAATCTCAGAAACGACTTTGTGATGTCTGCATTCAACTCACAGAGTTGAACATTTCTCTTGATAGAGCAGTTTTGAAACCCTCTTTCTGAAGGATCTGCAAGTGGATATTTGGAACTCCTTTGGGTCTTCGTTGGAAACGGGATTTCTTCGTATAAATCTAGACAGAAGAATTCTCCGAAACTTCTTTGGTTGTGTGCATTCAAGTCACAGAGTGGAACCTTCCTTTGGATAGAGCAGTTTGAAACGCTGTGGTTGTAGTATTTCCAAGCGGATATTAGAGCGCCTTGAGGCCTATGGTAGAAAAGGAAATATCTTCCCATAAAACCTAGACGGAAGCAATCTCAGAAACTACTGTGTGATGGCTGCATTCCACACACACGGTGGAACATTTCTCTTGATAGAGCAGTTTTGAAACACTCTTTCTGTAGAATCTGCAAGTGGATAATTGGACCGCCTTGAGGCCTTCGTTGGAAACGGGATTTCTTCATGTTACTCTAGACAGAAGAATTCTCAAACACTGCTGTGTGATGTTTGCATGCAAGTCACAGAGTGCAACATTCCTCTTGATAGAGCAGTTGGGAAACACTCCTTTTGTAGAATTTGCAATGGGATATTTGGACTTCTTTGAGGCCTTCGTTGGAAACGGGATTTCTTCGTATGAATCTAGACAGAAGAATTCTCAGAAACTTCCTTGTGATGTGTGCATTCAACTCAGCGAGTGGCACCTTCCTTTGGATACAGCAGTTTTGAAACACTGTTTTTGTAGTATTTCCAAGCGGATATTTAGAGCGCCTTGAAGCCTATGCTAGAAATGGAAATATCTCCCCATAAAACCAAGACAGAAGCAATCTCAGAAACTAATGTGTGATGGCTGCATTCCACACACACGGTGGACCATTTCTCTTGATAGAGCAGTTTTGAAACACTCTTTGTGTAGAATCTGCAAGTGGATAATTGGACCTCCTAGAGGCCTTCGTTGGAAATGGGATTTCTTCATCTAAACCTACAGAGAAGAATTCTCAGTAACTTCTTCGGATGTGTGCATTCGACTCACAGAATGGAACATTCCGTTTGATAGAGCAGTTTTGAGACACCGTTTTTGTAGAATTCCCAAGTGGATATTTAGAGCACTTTGAAGTCTCTGCTAGAAAAGGAAACATCTTCATGTAAAAAGTAGATAGAATCGTTCTCAGAAAGTGCTTAGTGACGTGTGTGTTCAACTCACAGAGTTTAACGTTTCTTTTGATAGAGCGTTTCTGAAACACCCTGCTTGTAGTAGCTGCAAGTGGATATTTGGACCTATTTGAGGCCTTCTTTGGAAACGGGATTTCTTCATGTAACTCTAGATTGAAGAATTTTCAGAAACTCCTTTGTGATGTGTGCATTCAATTCAAAGAGTGAAACCTCCCTTTTCACAGAGCAGTTTTGAAACACTGTTTTTGTAGGACTTCCAAGGGGATATTTATAGCGCATTGATCCTATGGCAGAAAAAGAAACATCTTCCTATAAAAACTAGACAGAATAATTCTCAGAATCTGCTTTGCGATGTGTGCGTTCAACCCACAGAGTAAAACTTTTCTTTTGATAGAGCAGTTTTGAAACACTCTTTTTGTAGTATTTGCATGTGTATATTTAGAGCGCATTGAAGCCCACAGTAGAAAAGGAAATAACTTCACCTAAAACCTAGACAGAAGCAATCTCAGAAACTACTTTGTGATGTGTACATTCAACTCACAGAGTGGAACTTTCCTCTTTATAGAGCAGTGTTGAAACACTCTTTTTGTAGAAACTGCAAGTGGATATTTGGACCTCTTTGAGGCCTTCGTTGGAAACGGGATTTCTTCCTATAACCCTAGACAGAAGAATTTTCAGAAACCTCATTGTGATGTGTGCGTTCATCTCACAGAGTGGAGTCTTCCGTTTGATAGAGAAGTTTTGAAACCCTGTTCTTGTAGGATTTCCAAGTGGATATTTAGACCACTTTGAAGCCTATGATAGAAAAGGAAACATCTTCATGGAAAACATAGATAGAATCATTCTCAGAAACAACTTTGTGATGTGTGTGTTGAACTCACCGTCTTTAACCTTTCTTTTGGTAGAGAAGTTTTGAAACACTCTCTTTGTAAAGTCTACAAGTGGATATTTTGAGCCCTTGGAGGCATTCTTTGGAAAAGGGAATGTCTTCACATAAAAGGCAGACAGAAGTGTTCTCAGAAACTGCTTTGTGATGTCTGTGTTCAACTCACAGAGTTTAACATTTCCTTTGAGAGAGCGGTTTAGTAACACTCTCTTTGTAGAATTTGGAAGTGTATACTAAGAGCGCTTTGAGGCCTATGGTAGAAAAGGAAATATCTTTCCATAAAAGCTAGACAGAAGCAATCTCAGAAACTCCTTTGTGATGTCTGCATTCAACTCACCGAGTGGAACATTCCTCTTGATAGAGCAGTTTGGAAACACTCTTTCTGTAGAATCAGCTTGTTTGTATTTGGACCTCCTTGAGGCCTTCGTTGGAAACGGGTTTTCATCTTATAAACCCAGGCAGAAGAATTCTCAGAGTCTTCTTTGTGATGTGTGCTTTCAACTCACCGAGATAAAGATTTCTCTTGATAGAGCAATTTGGAAACACTCTTTTTGTAGAATTTGCAAGGGTACATTGAGAGCGCTTTCAGGCCTATGGTAGAAAAGGTAGACAGAAGCAATCTCAGAAACTACTTTGTGATGTGTGCATTCAACTCACCGAGTGCAACATTCCTCTTGATAGAGCAGTTTGGAAACATTGTTTCTGTAGAATCTGCAAGTGGATATATGGACCGCTTTGAGGCCTTCGTTGGAAACGGGATTTCTTCCTATAAACCCAGACAGAAGAATTCTCAGAGACTTCTTTGTGATGTGTGAATTCAACTCACAGTGTGGATCCTTCCTTTTGATAGAGCAGTTTTGAAACACTGTTTTTGTAGTATTTCCAAGCGGATATTTGGAAAGCCTTGAAGCGTATGGTAGAAAAGGAAATATCTTCCCATAAAACCTAGACAGAACCCATCTCAGAAACGACTTTGTGATGTCTGCATTCAACTCACAGAGTTGAACATTTCTCTTGATAGAGCAGTTTTGAAACCCTCTTTCTGAAGGATCTGCAAGTGGATATTTGGAACTCCTTTGGGTCTTCGTTGGAAACGGGATTTCTTCGTATAAATCCAGACAGAAGAATTCTCCGAAACTTCTTTGGTTGTGTGCATTCAAGTCACAGAGTGGAACCTTCCTTTGGATAGAGCAGTTTGAAACGCTGTGGTTGTAGTATTTCCAAGCGGATATTAGAGCGCCTTGAAGCCTATGGTAGAAAAGGAAATATCTTCCCATAAAACCTAGACGGAAGCAATCTCAGAAACTACTGTGTGATGGCTGCATTCCACACACACGGTGGAACATTTCTCTTGATAGAGCAGTTTTGAAACACTCTTTCTGTAGAATCTGCAAGTGGATAATTGGACCGCCTTGAGGCCTTCGTTGGAAACGGGATTTCTTCATGTTACTCTAGACAGAAGAATTCTCAAACACTGCTATGTGATGTTTGCATTCAAGTCACAGAGTGCAACATTCCTCTTGATAGAGCAGTTGGGAAACACTCCTTTTGTAGAATTTGCAATGGGATATTTGGACTTCTTTGAGGCCTTCGTTGGAAACGGGATTTCTTCGTATGAATCTAGACAGAAGAATTCTCAGAAACTTCCTTGTGATGTGTGCATTCAACTCAGCGAGTGGCACCTTCCTTTGGATACAGCAGTTTTGAAACACTGTTTTTGTAGTATTTCCAAGCGGATATTTAGAGCGCCTTGAAGCCTATGCTAGAAATGGAAATATCTCCCCATAAAACCAAGACAGAAGCAATCTCAGAAACTAATGTGTGATGGCTGCATTCCACACACACGGTGGACCATTTCTCTTGATAGAGCAGTTTTGAAACACTCTTTCTGTAGAATCTGCAAGTGGATAATTGGACCTCCTAGAGGCCTTCGTTGGAAACGGGATTTCTTCATCTAAACCTACAGAGAAGAATTCTCAGTAACTTCTTCGGATGTGTGCATTCGACTCACAGAATGGAAAATTCCGTTTGATAGAGCAGTTTTGAGACACCGTTTTTGTAGAATTCCCAAGTGGATATTTAGAGCACTTTGAAGTCTCTGCTAGAAAAGGAAACATCTTCATGTAAACAGTAGATAGAATCGTTCTCAGAAAGTGCTTAGTGACGTGTGCGTTCAACTCACAGAGTTTAACGTTTCTTTTGATAGAGCGTTTCTGAAACACCCTTCTTGTAGTAGCTGCAAGTGGATATTTGGACCTATTTGAGGCCTTCTTTGGAAACGGGATTTCTTCATGTAACTCTAGTTTGAAGAATTTTCAGAAACTCCTTTGTGATGTGTGCATTCAATTCAAAGAGTGAAACCTCCCTTTTCACAGAGCAGTTTTGAAACACTGTTTTTGTAGGATTTCCAAGGGGATATTTATAGCGCATTGAGCCTACGGCAGAAAAAGAAACATCTTCCTATAAAAACTAGACAGAATAATTCTCAGAATCTGCTTTGCGATGTGTGCGTTCAACCCACAGAGTAAAACTTTTCTTTTGATAGAGCAGTTTTGAAACACTCTTTTTGTAGTATTTGCATGTGTATATTTAGAGCGCATTGAAGCCCAAAGTAGAAAAGGAAATAACTTCACCTAAAACCTAGACAGAAGCAATCTCAGAAACTACTTTGTGATGTGTACATTCAACTCACAGAGTGGAACTTTCCTCTTTATAGAGCAGTGTTGAAACACTCTTTTTGTAGAAACTGCAAGTGGATATTTGGACCTCTTTGAGGCCTTCGTTGGAAACGGGATTTCTTCCTATAACCCTAGACAGAAGAATTTTCAGAAACCTCATTGTGATGTGTGCGTTCATCTCACAGAGTGGAGTGTTCCGTTTGATAGAGAAGTTTTGAAACCCTGTTCTTGTAGGATTTCCAAGTGGATATTTAGACCACTTTGAAGCCTATGATAGAAAAGGAAACATCTTCATGGAAAACATAGATAGAATCATTCTCAGAAACAACTTTGTGATGTGTGCGTTGAACTCACCGTCTTTAACCTTTCTTTTGGTAGAGAAGTTTTGAAACACTCTCTTTGTAAAGTCTACAAGTGGATATTTTGAGCCCTTGGAGGCATTCTTTGGAAAAGGGAATGTCTTCACATAAAAGGCAGACAGAAGTGTTCTCAGAAACTGCTTTGTGATGTCTGTGTTCAACTCACAGAGTTTAACATTTCCTTTGAGAGAGCGGTTTAGTAACACTCTCTTTGTAGAATTTGGAAGTGTATACTAAGAGCGCTTTGAGGCCTATGGTAGAAAAGGAAATATCTTTCCATAAAAGCTAGACAGAAGCAATCTCAGAAACTCCTTTGTGATGTCTGCATTCAACTCACCGAGTGGAACATTCCTCTTGATAGAGCAGTTTGGAAACACTCTTTCTGTAGAATCAGCTTGTTTGTATTTGGACCTCCTTGAGGCCTTCGTTGGAAACGGGTTTTCATCTTATAAACCCAGACAGAAGAATTCTCAGAGTCTTCTTTGTGATGTGTGCTTTCAACTCACCGAGATAAAGATTTCTCTTGATAGAGCAATTTGGAAACACTCTTTTTGTAGAATTTGCAAGGGTACATTGAGAGCGCTTTCAGGCCTATGGTAGAAAAGGGAATATCTTTCCATAAAAGGTAGACAGAAGCAATCTCAGAAACTACTTTGTGATGTGTGCATTCAACTCACCGAGTGCAACATTCCTCTTGACCGAGCAGTTTGGAAACATTGTTTCTGTAGAATCTGCAAGTGGATATTTGGACCTCTTTGAGGCCTTCGTTGGAAACGGGATTTCTTCCTATAAACCCAGACAGAAGAATTCTCAGAGACTTCTTTGTGATGTGTGAATTCAACTCACAGTGTGGATCCTTCCTTTTGATAGAGCAGTTTTGAAACACTGTTTTTGTAGTATTTCCAAGCGGATATTTGGAACGCCTTGAAGCGTATGGTAGAAAAGGAAATATCTTCCCATAAAACCTAGACAGAACCAATCTCAGAAACGACTTTGTGATGTCTGCATTCAACTCACAGAGTTGAACATTTCTCTTGATAGAGCAGTTTTGAAACCCTCTTTCTGAAGGATCTGCAAGTGGATATTTGGAACTCCTTTGGGTCTTCGTTGGAAACGGGATTTCTTCGTATAAATCCAGACAGAAGAATTCTCCGAAACTTCTTTGGTTGTGTGCATTCAAGTCACAGAGTGGAACCTTCCTTTGGATAGAGCAGTTTGAAACGCTCTGGTTGTAGTATTTCCAAGCGGATATTAGAGAGCCTTGAAGCCTATGGTAGAAAAGGAAATATCTTCCCATAAAACCTAGACGGAAGCAATCTCAGAAACTACTGTGTGATGGCTGCATTCCACACACACGGTGGAACATTTCTCTTGATAGAGCAGTTTTGAAACACTCTTTCTGTAGAATCTGCAAGTGGATAATTGGACCGCCTTGAGGCCTTCGTTGGAAACGGGATTTCTTCATGTTACTCTAGACAGAAGAATTCTCAAACACTGCTATGTGATGTTTGCATTCAAGTCACAGAGTGCAACATTCCTCTTGATAGAGCAGTTGGGAAACACTCCTTTTGTAGAATTTGCAATGGGATATTTGGACTTCTTTGAGGCCTTCGTTGGAAACGGGATTTCTTCATATGAATCTAGACAGAAGAATTCTCAGAAACTTCCTTGTGATGTGTGCATTCAACTCAGCGAGTGGCACCTTCCTTTGGATACAGCAGTTTTGAAACACTGTTTTTGTACTATTTCCAAGCGAATATTTAGAGCGCCTGGAAGCCTATGCTAGAAATGGAAATATCTCCCCATAAAACCAAGACAGAAGCAATCTCAGAAACTAATGTGTGATGGCTGCATTCCACACACACGGTGGACCATTTCTCTTGATAGAGCAGTTTTGAAACACTCTTTCTGTAGAATCTGCAAGTGGATAATTGGACCTCCTAGAGGCCTTCGTTGGAAACGGGATTTCTTCATCTAAACCTACAGAGAAGAATTCTCAGTAACTTCTTCGGATGTGTGCATTCGACTCACAGAATGGAACATTCCCTTTGATAGAGCAGTTTTGAGACACCGTTTTTGTAGAATTCCCAAGTGGATATTTAGAGCACTTTGAAGTCTCTGCTAGAAAAGGAAACATCTTCATGTAAAAAGTAGATAGAATCGTTCTCAGAAAGTGCTTAGTGACGTGTGCGTTCAACTCACAGAGTTTAACGTTTCTTTTGATAGAGCGTTTCTGAAACACCCTTCTTGTAGTAGCTGCAAGTGGATATTTGGACCTATTTGAGGCCTTCTTTGGAAACGGGATTTCTTCATGTAACTCTAGTTTGAAGAATTTTCAGAAACTCCTTTGTGATGTGTGCATTCAATTCAAAGAGTGAAACCTCCCTTTTCACAGAGCAGTTTTGAAACACTGTTTTTGTAGGATTTCCAAGGGGATATTTATAGCGCATTGAGCCTACGGCAGAAAAAGAAACATCTTCCTATAAAAACTAGACAGAATAATTCTCAGAATCTGCTTTGCGATGTGTGCGTTCAACCCACAGAGTAAAACTTTTCTTTTGATAGAGCAGTTTTGAAACACTCTTTTTGTAGTATTTGCATGTGTATATTTAGAGCGCATTGAAGCCCACAGTAGAAAAGGAAATAACTTCACCTAAAACCTAGACAGAAGCAATCTCAGAAACTACTTTGTGATGTGTACATTCAACTCACAGAGTGGAACTTTCCTCTTTATAGAGCAGTGTTGAAACACTCTTTTTGTAGAAACTGCAAGTGGATATTTGGACCTCTTTGAGGCCTTCGTTGGAAACGGGATTTCTTCCTATAACCCTAGACAGGAAGAATTTTCAGAAACCTCATTGTGATGTGTGCGTTCATCTCACAGAGTGGAGTCTTCCGTTTGATAGAGAAGTTTTGAAACCCTGTTCTTGTAGGATTTCCAAGTGGATATTTAGACCACTTTGAAGCCTATGATAGAAAAGGAAACATCTTCATGGAAAACATAGATAGAATCATTCTCAGAAACAACTTTGTGATGTGTGCGTTGAACTCACCGTCTTTAACCTTTCTTTTGGTAGAGAAGTTTTGAAACACTCTCTTTGTAAAGTCTACAAGTGGATATTTTGAGCCCTTGGAGGCATTCTTTGGAAAAGGGGATGTCTTCACATAAAAGGCAGACAGAAGTGTTCTCAGAAACTGCTTTGTGATGTCTGTGTTCAACTCACAGAGTTTAACATTTCCTTTGAGAGAGCGGTTTAGTAACACTCTCTTTGTAGAATTTGGAAGTGTATACTAAGAGCGCTTTGAGGCCTATGGTAGAAAAGGAAATATCTTTCCATAAAAGCTAGACAGAAGCAATCTCAGAAACTCCTTTGTGATGTCTGCATTCAACTCACCGAGTGGAACATTCCTCTTGATAGAGCAGTTTGGAAACACTCTTTCTGTAGAATCAGCTTGTTTGTATTTGGACCTCCTTGAGGCCTTCGTTGGAAACGGGTTTTCATCTTATAAACCCAGACAGAAGAATTCTCAGAGTCTTCTTTGTGATGTGTGCTTTCAACTCACCGAGATAAAGATTTCTCTTGATAGAGCAATTTGGAAACACTCTTTTTGTAGAATTTGCAAGGGTACATTGAGAGCGCTTTCAGGCCTATGGTAGAAAAGGGAATATCTTTCCATAAAAGGTAGACAGAAGCAATCTCAGAAACTACTTTGTGATGTGTGCATTCAACTCACCGAGTGCAACATTCCTCTTGATAGAGCAGTTTGGAAACATTGTTTCTGTAGAATCTGCAAGTGGATATATGGACCGCTTTGAGGCCTTCGTTGGAAACGGGATTTCTTCCTATAAACCCAGACAGAAGAATTCTCAGAGATTTCTTTGTGATGTGTGAATTCAACTCACAGTGTGGATCCTTCCTTTTGATAGAGCAGTTTTGAAACACTGTTTTTGTAGTATTTCCAAGCGGATATTTGGAACGCCTTGAAGCGTATGGTAGAAAAGGAAATATCTTCCCATAAAACCTAGACAGAACCCATCTCAGAAACGACTTTGTGATGTCTGCATTCAACTCACAGAGTTGAACATTTCTCTTGATAGAGCAGTTTTGAAACCCTCTTTCTGAAGGATCTGCAAGTGGATATTTGGAACTCCTTTGGGTCTTCGTTGGAAACGGGATTTCTTCGTATAAATCCAGACAGAAGAATTCTCCGAAACTTCTTTGGTTGTGTGCATTCAAGTCACAGAGTGGAACCTTCCTTTGGATAGAGCAGTTTGAAACGCTGTGGTTGTAGTATTTCCAAGCGGATATTAGAGCGCCTTGAAGCCTATGGTAGAAAAGGAAATATCTTCCCATAAAACCAGACGGAAGCAATCTCAGAAACTACTGTGTGATGGCTGCATTCCACACACACGGTGGAACATTTCTCTTGATAGAGCAGTTTTGAAACACTCTTTCTGTAGAATCTGCAAGTGGATAATTGGACTGCCTTGAGGCCTTCGTTGGAAACGGGATTTCTTCATGTTACTCTAGACAGAAGAATTCTCAAACACTGCTGTGTGATGTTTGCATGCAAGTCACAGAGTGCAACATTCCTCTTGATAGAGCAGTTGGGAAACACTCCTTTTGTAGAATTTGCAATGGGATATTTGGACTTCTTTGAGGCCTTCGTTGGAAACGGGATTTCTTCGTATGAATCTAGACAGAAGAATTCTCAGAAACTTCCTTGTGATGTGTGCATTCAACTCAGCGAGTGGCACCTTCCTTTGGATACAGCAGTTTTGAAACACTGTTTTTGTAGTATTTCCAAGCGGATATTTAGAGCGCCTTGAAGCCTATGCTAGAAATGGAAATATCTCCCCATAAAACCAAGACAGAAGCAATCTCAGAAACTAATGTGTGATGGCTGCATTCCACACACACGGTGGACCATTTCTCTTGATAGAGCAGTTTTGAAACACTCTTTCTGTAGAATCTGCAAGTGGATAATTGGACCTCCTAGAGGCCTTCGTTGGAAACGGGATTTCTTCATCTAAACCTACAGAGAAGAATTCTCAGTAACTTCTTCGGATGTGTGCATTCGACTCACAGAATGGAACATTCCGTTTGATAGAGCAGTTTTGAGACACCGTTTTTGTAGAATTCCCAAGTGGATATTTAGAGCACTTTGAAGTCTCTGCTAGAAAAGGAAACATCTTCATGTAAAAAGTAGATAGAATCGTTCTCAGAAAGTGCTTAGTGACGTGTGCGTTCAACTCACAGAGTTTAACGTTTCTTTTGATAGAGCGTTTCTGAAACACCCTTCTTGTAGTAGCTGCAAGTGGATATTTGGACCTATATGAGGCCTTCTTTGGAAACGGGATTTCTTCATGTAACTCTAGTTTGAAGAATTTTCAGAAACTCCTTTGTGATGTGTGCATTCAATTCAAAGAGTGAAACCTCCCTTTTCACAGAGCAGTTTTGAAACACTGTTTTTGTAGGACTTCCAAGGGGATATTTATAGCGCATTGATCCTATGGCAGAAAAAGAAACATCTTCCTATAAAAACTAGACAGAATAATTCTCAGAATCTGCTTTGCGATGTGTGCGTTCAACCCACAGAGTAAAACTTTTCTTTTGATAGAGCAGTTTTGAAACACTCTTTTTGTAGTATTTGCATGTGTATATTTAGAGCGCATTGAAGCCCACAGTAGAAAAGGAAATAACTTCACCTAAAACCTAGACAGAAGCAATCTCAGAAACTACTTTGTGATGTGTACATTCAACTCACAGAGTGGAACTTTTCTCTTTATAGAGCAGTGTTGAAACACTCTTTTTGTAGAAACTGCAAGTGGATATTTGGACCTCTTTGAGGCCTTCGTTGGAAACGGGATTTCTTCCTATAACCCTAGACAGAAGAATTTTCAGAAACCTCATTGTGATGTGTGCGTTCATCTCACAGAGTGGAGTCTTCCGTTTGATAGAGAAGTTTTGAAACCCTGTTCTTGTAGGATTTCCAAGTGGATATTTAGACCACTTTGAAGCCTATGATAGAAAAGGAAACATCTTCATGGAAAACATAGATAGAATCATTCTCAGAAACAACTTTGTGATGTGTGCGTTGAACTCACCGTCTTTAACCTTTCTTTTGGTAGAGAAGTTTTGAAACACTCTCTTTGTAAAGTCTACAAGTGGATATTTTGAGCCCTTGGAGGCATTCTTTGGAAAAGGGAATGTCTTCACATAAAAGGCAGACAGAAGTGTTCTCAGAAACTGCTTTGTGATGTCTGTGTTCAACTCACAGAGTTTAACATTTCCTTTGAGAGAGCGGTTTAGTAACACTCTCTTTGTAGAATTTGGAAGTGTATACTAAGAGCGCTTTGAGGCCTATGGTAGAAAAGGAAATATCTTTCCATAAAAGCTAGACAGAAGCAATCTCAGAAACTCCTTTGTGATGTCTGCATTCAACTCACCGAGTGGAACATTCCTCTTGATAGAGCAGTTTGGAAACACTCTTTCTGTAGAATCAGCTTGTTTGTATTTGGACCTCCTTGAGGCCTTCGTTGGAAACGGGTTTTCATCTTATAAACCCAGACAGAAGAATTCTCAGAGTCTTCTTTGTGATGTGTGCTTTCAACTCACCGAGATAAAGATTTCTCTTGATAGAGCAATTTGGAAACACTCTTTTTGTAGAATTTGCAAGGGTACATTGAGAGCGCTTTCAGGCCTATGGTAGAAAAGGGAATATCTTTCCATAAAAGGTAGACAGAAGCAATCTCAGAAACTACTTTGTGATGTGTGCATTCAACTCACCGAGTGCAACATTCCTCTTGACCGAGCAGTTTGGAAACATTGTTTCTGTAGAATCTGCAAGTGGATATTTGGACCTCTTTGAGGCCTTCGTTGGAAACGGGATTTCTTCCTATAAACCCAGACAGAAGAATTCTCAGAGACTTCTTTGTGATGTGTGAATTCAACTCACAGTGTGGATCCTTCCTTTTGATAGAGCAGTTTTGAAACACTGTTTTTGTAGTATTTCCAAGCGGATATTTGGAACGCCTTGAAGCGTATGGTAGAAAAGGAAATATCTTCCCATAAAACCTAGACAGAACCAATCTCAGAAACGACTTTGTGATGTCTGCATTCAACTCACAGAGTTGAACATTTCTCTTGATAGAGCAGTTTTGAAACCCTCTTTCTGAAGGATCTGCAAGTGGATATTTGGAACTCCTTTGGGTCTTCGTTGGAAACGGGATTTCTTCGTATAAATCTAGACAGAAGAATTCTCCGAAACTTCTTTGGTTGTGTGCATTCAAGTCACAGAGTGGAACCTTCCTTTGGATAGAGCAGTTTGAAACGCTGTGGTTGTAGTATTTCCAAGCGGATATTAGAGCGCCTTGAGGCCTATGGTAGAAAAGGAAATATCTTCCCATAAAACCTAGACGGAAGCAATCTCAGAAACTACTGTGTGATGGCTGCATTCCACACACACGGTGGAACATTTCTCTTGATAGAGCAGTTTTGAAACACTCTTTCTGTAGAATCTGCAAGTGGATAATTGGACCGCCTTGAGGCCTTCGTTGGAAACGGGATTTCTTCATGTTACTCTAGACAGAAGAATTCTCAAACACTGCTGTGTGATGTTTGCATGCAAGTCACAGAGTGCAACATTCCTCTTGATAGAGCAGTTGGGAAACACTCCTTTTGTAGAATTTGCAATGGGATATTTGGACTTCTTTGAGGCCTTCGTTGGAAACGGGATTTCTTCGTATGAATCTAGACAGAAGAATTCTCAGAAACTTCCTTGTGATGTGTGCATTCAACTCAGCGAGTGGCACCTTCCTTTGGATACAGCAGTTTTGAAACACTGTTTTTGTAGTATTTCCAAGCGGATATTTAGAGCGCCTTGAAGCCTATGCTAGAAATGGAAATATCTCCCCATAAAACCAAGACAGAAGCAATCTCAGAAACTAATGTGTGATGGCTGCATTCCACACACACGGTGGACCATTTCTCTTGATAGAGCAGTTTTGAAACACTCTTTCTGTAGAATCTGCAAGTGGATAATTGGACCTCCTAGAGGCCTTCGTTGGAAACGGGATTTCTTCATCTAAACCTACAGAGAAGAATTCTCAGTAACTTCTTCGGATGTGTGCATTTGACTCACAGAATGGAACATTCCCTTTGATAGAGCAGTTTTGAGACACCGTTTTTGTAGAATTCCCAAGTGGATATTTAGAGCACTTTGAAGTCTCTGCTAGAAAAGGAAACATCTTCATGTAAAAAGTAGATAGAATCGTTCTCAGAAAGTGCTTAGTGACGTGTGCGTTCAACTCACAGAGTTTAACGTTTCTTTTGATAGAGCGTTTCTGAAACACCCTTCTTGTAGTAGCTGCAAGTGGATATTTGGACCTATTTGAGGCCTTCTTTGGAAACGGGATTTCTTCATGTAACTCTAGATTGAAGAATTTTCAGAAACTCCTTTGTGATGTGTGCATTCAATTCAAAGAGTGAAACCTCCCTTTTCACAGAGCAGTTTTGAAACATTGTTTTTGTAGGATTTCCAAGGGGATATTTATAGCGCATTGAGCCTATGGCAGAAAAAGAAACATCTTCCTATAAAAACTAGACAGAATAATTCTCAGAATCTGCTTTGCGATGTGTGCGTTCAACTCACAGAGTAAAACTTTTCTTTTGATAGAGCAGTTTTGAAACACTCTTTTTGTAGTATTTGCATGTGTATATTTAGAGCGCATTGAAGCCCACAGTAGAAAAGGAAATAACTTCACCTAAAACCTAGACAGAAGCAATCTCAGAAACTACTTTGTGATGTGTACATTCAACTCACAGAGTGGAACTTTCCTCTTTATAGAGCAGTGTTGAAACACTCTTTTTGTAGAAACTGCAAGTGGATATTTGGACCTCTTTGAGGCCTTCGTTGGAAACGGGATTTCTTCCTATAACCCTAGACAGAAGAATTTTCAGAAACCTCATTGTGATGTGTGCGTTCATCTCACAGAGTGGAGTCTTCCGTTTGATAGAGAAGTTTTGAAACCCTGTTCTTGTAGGATTTCCAAGTGGATATTTAGACCACTTTGAAGCCTATGATAGAAAAGGAAACATCTTCATGGAAAACATAGGTAGAATCATTCTCAGAAACAACTTTGTGATGTGTGCGTTGAACTCACAGTCTTTAACCTTTCTTTTGGTAGAGAAGTTTTGAAACACTCTCTTTGTAAAGTCTACAAGTGGATATCTTGAGCCCTTGGAGGCATTCTTTGGAAAAGGGAATGTCTTCACATAAAAGGCAGACAGAAGTGTTCTCAGAAACTGCTTTGTGATGTCTGTGTTCAACTCACAGAGTTTAACATTTCCTTTGAGAGAGCGGTTTAGTAACACTCTCTTTGTAGAATTTGGAAGTGTATACTAAGAGCGCTTTGAGGCCTATGGTAGAAAAGGAAATATCTTTCCATAAAAGCTAGACAGAAGCAATCTCAGAAACTCCTTTGTGATGTCTGCATTCAACTCACCGAGTGGAACATTCCTCTTGATAGAGCAGTTTGGAAACACTCTTTCTGTAGAATCAGCTTGTTTGTATTTGGACCTCCTTGAGGCCTTCGTTGGAAACGGGTTTTCATCTTATAAACCCAGACAGAAGAATTCTCAGAGTCTTCTTTGTGATGTGTGCTTTCAACTCACCGAGATAAAGATTTCTCTTGATAGAGCAATTTGGAAACACTCTTTTTGTAGAATTTGCAAGGGTACATTGAGAGCGCTTTCAGGCCTATGGTAGAAAAGGGAATATCTTTCCATCAAAGGTAGACAGAAGCAATCTCAGAAACTACTTTGTGATGTGTGCATTCAACTCACCGAGTGCAACATTCCTCTTGACCGAGCAGTTTGGAAACATTGTTTCTGTAGAATCTGCAAGTGGATATTTGGACCTCTTTGAGGCCTTCGTTGGAAACGGGATTTCTTCCTATAAACCCAGACAGAAGAATTCTCAGAGACTTCTTTGTGATGTGTGAATTCAACTCACAGTGTGGATCCTTCCTTTTGATAGAGCAGTTTTGAAACACTGTTTTTGTAGTATTTCCAAGCGGATATTTGGAACGCCTTGAAGCGTATGGTAGAAAAGGAAATATCTTCCCATAAAACCTAGACAGAACCAATCTCAGAAACGACTTTGTGATGTCTGCATTCAACTCACAGAGTTGAACATTTCTCTTGATAGAGCAGTTTTGAAACCCTCTTTCTGAAGGATCTGCAAGTGGATATTTGGAACTCCTTTGGGTCTTCGTTGGAAACGGGATTTCTTCGTATAAATCCAGACAGAAGAATTCTCCGAAACTTCTTTGGTTGTGTGCATTCAAGTCACAGAGTGGAACCTTCCTTTGGATAGAGCAGTTTGAAACGCTGTGGTTGTAGTATTTCCAAGCGGATATTAGAGCGCCTTGAAGCCTATGGTAGAAAAGGAAATATCTTCCCATAAAACCTAGACGGAAGCAATCTCAGAAACTACTGTGTGATGGCTGCATTCCACACACACGGTGGAACATTTCTCTTGATAGAGCAGTTTTGAAACACTCTTTCTGTAGAATCTGCAAGTGGATAATTGGACCGCCTTGAGGCCTTCGTTGGAAACGGGATTTCTTCATGTTACTCTAGACAGAAAAATTCTCAAAAACTGCTATGTGATGTTTGCATTCAAGTCACAGAGTGCAACATTCCTCTTGATAGAGCAGTTGGGAAACACTCCTTTTGTAGAATTTGCAATGGGATATTTGGACTTCTTTGAGGCCTTCGTTGGAAACGGGATTTCTTCGTATGAATCTAGACAGAAGAATTCTCAGAAACTTTCCTTGTGATGTGTGCATTCAACTCAGCGAGTGGCACCTTCCTTTGGATACAGCAGTTTTGAAACACTGTTTTTGTAGTATTTCCAAGCGGATATTTAGAGCGCCTTGAAGCCTATGCTAGAAATGGAAATATCTCCCCATAAAACCAAGACAGAAGCAATCTCAGAAACTAATGTGTGATGGCTGCATTCCACACACACGGTGGACCATTTCTCTTGATAGAGCAGTTTTGAAACACTCTTTCTGTAGAATCTGCAAGTGGATAATTGGACCTCCTAGAGGCCTTCGTTGGAAACGGGATTTCTTCATCTAAACCTACAGAGAAGAATTCTCAGTAACTTCTTCGGATGTGTGCATTCGACTCACAGAATGGAACATTCCGTTTGATAGAGCAGTTTTGCGACACCGTTTTTGTAGAATTCCCAAGTGGATATTTAGAGCACTTTGAACTCTCTGCTAGAAAAGGAAACATCTTCATGTAAAAAGTAGATAGAATCGTTCTCAGAAAGTGCTTAGTGACGTGTGCGTTCAACTCACAGAGTTTAACGTTTCTTTTGATAGAGCGTTTCTGAAACACCCTGCTTGTAGTAGCTGCAAGTGGATATTTGGACCTATTTGAGGCCTTCTTTGGAAACGGGATTTCTTCATGTAACTCTAGATTGAAGAATTTTCAGAAACTCCTTTGTGATGTGTGCATTCAATTCAAAGAGTGAAACCTCCCTTTTCACAGAGCAGTTTTGAAACACTGTTTTTGTAGGATTTCCAAGGGGATATTTATAGCGCATTGAGCCTATGGCAGAAAAAGAAACATCTTCGTATAAAAACTAGACAGAATAATTCTCAGAATCTGCTTTGCGATGTGTGCGTTCAACTCACAGAGTAAAACTTTTCTTTTGATAGAGCAGTTTTGAAACACTCTTTTTGTAGTATTTGCATGTGTATATTTAGAGCGCATTGAAGCCCACAGTAGAAAAGGAAATAACTTCACCTAAAACCTAGACAGAAGCAATCTCAGAAACTACTTTGTGATGTGTACATTCAACTCACAGAGTGGAACTTTCCTCTTTATAGAGCAGTGTTGAAACACTCTTTTTGTAGAAACTGCAAGTGGATATTTGGACCTCTTTGAGGTCCTCGTTGGAAACGGGATTTCTTCCTATAACCCTAGACAGAAGAATTTTCAGAAACCTCATTGTGATGTGTGCGTTCATCTCACAGAGTGGAGTCTTCCGTTTGATAGAGAAGTTTTGAAACCCTGTTCTTGTAGGATTTCCAAGTGGATATTTAGACCACTTTGAAGCCTATGACAGAAAAGGGAACATCTTCATGGAAAACATAGATAGAATCATTCTCAGAAACAACTTTGTGATGTGTGCGTTGAACTCACCATCTTTAACCTTTCTTTTGGTAGAGAAGTTTTGAAACACTCTCTTTGTAAAGTCTACAAGTGGATATTTTGAGCCCTTGGAGGCATTCTTTGGAAAAGGGAATGTCTTCACATAAAAGGCAGACAGAAGTGTTCTCAGAAACTGCTTTGTGATGTCTGTGTTCAACTAACAGAGTGTAACATTTCCTTTGAGAGAGCGGTTTAGTAACACTCTCTTTGTAGAATTTGGAAGTGTATACTAAGAGCGCTTTGAGGCCTATGGTAGAAAAGGAAATATCTTTCCATAAAAGCTAGACAGAAGCAATCTCAGAAACTCCTTTGTGATGTCTGCATTCAACTCACCGAGTGGAACATTCCTCTTGATAGAGCAGTTTGGAAACACTCTTTCTGTAGAATCAGCTTGTTTGTATTTGGACCTCCTTGAGGCCTTCGTTGGAAACGGGTTTTCATCTTATAAACCCAGACAGAAGAATTCTCAGAGTCTTCTTTGTGATGTGTGCTTTCAACTCACCGAGATAAAGATTTCTCTTGATAGAGCAATTTGGAAACACTCTTTTTGTAGAATTTGCAAGGGTACATTGAGAGCGCTTTCAGGCCTATGGTAGAAAAGGGAATATCTTTCCATAAAAGGTAGACAGAAGCAATCTCAGAAACTACTTTGTGATGTGTGCATTCAACTCACCGAGTGCAACATTCCTCTTGATAGAGCAGTTTGGAAACATTGTTTCTGTAGAATCTGCAAGTGGATATTTGGACCGCTTTGAGGCCTTCGTTGGAAACGGGATTTCTTCCTATAAACCCAGACAGAAGAATTCTCAGAGATTTCTTTGTGATGTGTGAATTCAACTCACAGTGTGGATCCTTCCTTTTGATAGAGCAGTTTTGAAACACCGTTTTTGTAGTATTTCCAAGCGGATATTTGGAACGCCTTGAAGCGTATGGTAGAAAAGGAAATATCTTCCCATAAAACCTAGACAGAACCAATCTCAGAAACGACTTTGTGATGTCTGCATTCAACTCACAGAGTTGAACATTTCTCTTGATAGAGCAGTTTTGAAACCCTCTTTCTGAAGGATCTGCAAGTGGATATTTGGAACTCCTTTGGGTCTTCGTTGGAAACGGGATTTCTTCGTATAAATCCAGACAGAAGAATTCTCCGAAACTTCTTTGGTTGTGTGCATTCAAGTCACAGAGTGGAACCTTCCTTTGGATAGAGCAGTTTGAAACGATCTGGTTGTAGTATTTCCAAGCGGATATTAGAGCGCCTTGAGGCCTATGGTAGAAAAGGAAATATCTTCCCATAAAACCTAGACGGAAGCAATCTCAGAAACTACTGTGTGATGGCTGCATTCCACACACACGGTGGAACATTTCTCTTGATAGAGCAGTTTTGAAACACTCTTTCTGTAGAATCTGCAAGTGGATAATTGGACCGCCTTGAGGCCTTCGTTGGAAACGAGATTTCTTCATGTTACTCTAGACAGAAGAATTCTCAAACACTGCTATGTGATGTTTGCATTCAAGTCACAGAGTGCAACATTCCTCTTGATAGAGCAGTTGGGAAACACTCCTTTTGTAGAATTTGCAATGGGATATTTGGACTTCTTTGAGGCCTTCGTTGGAAACGGGATTTCTTCGTATGAATCTAGACAGAAGAATTCTCAGAAACTTCCCTTGTGATGTGTGCATTCAACTCAGCGAGTGGCACCTTCCCTTTGGATACAGCAGTTTTGAAACACTGTTTTTGTAGTATTTCCAAGCGGATATTTAGAGCGCCTTGAAGCCTATGCTAGAAATGGAAATATCTCCCCATAAAACCAAGACAGAAGCAATCTCAGAAACTAATGTGTGATGGCTGCATTCCACACACACGGTGGACCATTTCTCTTGATAGAGCAGTTTTGAAACACTCTTTCTGTAGAATCTGCAAGTGGATAATTGGACCTCCTAGAGGCCTTCGTTGGAAACGGGATTTCTTCATCTAAACCTACAGAGAAGAATTCTCAGTAACTTCTTCGGATGTGTGCATTCGACTCACAGAATGGAACATTCCCTTTGATAGAGCAGTTTTGAGACACCGTTTTTGTAGAATTCCCAAGTGGATATTTAGAGCACTTTGAAGTCTCTGCTAGAAAAGGAAACATCTTCATGTAAAAAGTAGATAGAATCGTTCTCAGAAAGTGCTTAGTGACGTGTGCGTTCAACTCACAGAGTTTAACGTTTCTTTTGATAGAGCGTTTCTGAAACACCCTTCTTGTAGTAGCTGCAAGTGGATATTTGGACCTATTTGAGGCCTTCTTTGGAAACGGGATTTCTTCATGTAACTCTAGATTGAAGAATTTTCAGAAACTCCTTTGTGATGTGTGCATTCAATTCAAAGAGTGAAACCTCCCTTTTCACAGAGCAGTTTTGAAACACTGTTTTTGTAGGATTTCCAAGGGGATATTTATAGCGCATTGAGCCTATGGCAGAAAAAGAAACATCTTCCTATAAAAACTAGACAGAATAATTCTCAGAATCTGCTTTGCGATGTGTGCGTTCAACTCACAGAGTAAAACTTTTCTTTTGATAGAGCAGTTTTGAAACACTCTTTTTGTAGTATTTGCATGTGTATATTGAGAGCGCATTGAAGCCCACAGTAGAAAAGGAAATAACTTCACCTAAAACCTAGACAGAAGCAATCTCAGAAACTACTTTGTGATGTGTACATTCAACTCACAGAGTGGAACTTTTCTCTTTATAGAGCAGTGTTGAAACACTCTTTTTGTAGAAACTGCAAGTGGATATTTGGACCTCTTTGAGGCCTTCGTTGGAAACGGGATTTCTTCCTATAACCCTAGACAGAAGAATTTTCAGAAACCTCATTGTGATGTGTGCGTTCATCTCACAGAGTGGAGTCTTCCGTTTGATAGAGAAGTTTTGAAACCCTGTTCTTGTAGGATTTCCAAGTGGATATTTAGACCACTTTGAAGCCTATGATAGAAAAGGAAACATCTTCATGGAAAACATAGATAGAATCATTCTCAGAAACAACTTTGTGATGTGTGCGTTGAACTCACCGTCTTTAACCTTTCTTTTGGTAGAGAAGTTTTGAAACACTCTCTTTGTAAAGTCTACAAGTGGATATTTTGAGCCCTTGGAGGCATTCTTTGGAAAAGGGAATGTCTTCACATAAAAGGCAGACAGAAGTGTTCTCAGAAACTGCTTTGTGATGTCTGTGTTCAACTCACAGAGTTTAACATTTCCTTTGAGAGAGCGGTTTAGTAACACTCTCTTTGTAGAATTTGGAAGTGTATACTAAGAGCGCTTTGAGGCCTATGGTAGAAAAGGAAATATCTTTCCATAAAAGCTAGACAGAAGCAATCTCAGAAACTCCTTTGTGATGTCTGCATTCAACTCACCGAGTGGAACATTCCTCTTGATAGAGCAGTTTGGAAACACTCTTTCTGTAGAATCAGCTTGTTTGTATTTGGACCTCCTTGAGGCCTTCGTTGGAAACGGGTTTTCATCTTATAAACCCAGACAGAAGAATTCTCAGAGTCTTCTTTGTGATGTGTGCTTTCAACTCACCGAGATAAAGATTTCTCTTGATAGAGCAATTTGGAAACACTCTTTTTGTAGAATTTGCAAGGGTACATTGAGAGCGCTTTCAGGCCTATGGTAGAAAAGGGAATATCTTTCCATAAAAGGTAGACAGAAGCAATCTCAGAAACTACTTTGTGATGTGTGCATTCAACTCACCGAGTGCAACATTCCTCTTGACCGAGCAGTTTGGAAACATTGTTTCTGTAGAATCTGCAAGTGGATATATGGACCGCTTTGAGGCCTTCGTTGGAAACGGGATTTCTTCCTATAAACCCAGACAGAAGAATTCTCAGAGATTTCTTTGTGATGTGTGAATTCAACTCACAGTGTGGATCCTTCCTTTTGATAGAGCAGTTTTGAAACACTGTTTTTGTAGTATTTCCAAGCGGATATTTGGAACGCCTTGAAGCGTATGGTAGAAAAGGAAATATCTTCCCATAAAACCTAGACAGAACCCATCTCAGAAACGACTTTGTGATGTCTGCATTCAACTCACAGAGTTGAACATTTCTCTTGATAGAGCAGTTTTGAAACCCTCTTTCTGAAGGATCTGCAAGTGGATATTTGGAACTCCTTTGGGTCTTCCTTGGAAACGGGATTTCTTCGTATAAATCCAGACAGAAGAATTCTCCGAAACTTCTTTGGTTGTGTGCATTCAAGTCACAGAGTGGAACCTTCCTTTGGATAGAGCAGTTTGAAACGCTGTGGTTGTAGTATTTCCAAGCGGATATTAGAGCGCCTTGAAGCCTATGGTAGAAAAGGAAATATCTTCCCATAAAACCTAGACGGAAGCAATCTCAGAAACTACTGTGTGATGGCTGCATTCCACACACACGGTGGAACATTTCTCTTGATAGAGCAGTTTTGAAACACTCTTTCTGTAGAATCTGCAAGTGGATAATTGGACCGCCTTGAGGCCTTCGTTGGAAACGGGATTTCTTCATGTTACTCTAGACAGAAGAATTCTCAAACACTGCTATGTGATGTTTGCATTCAAGTCACAGAGTGCAACATTTCCTCTTGATAGAGCAGTTGGGAAACACTCCTTTTGTAGAATTTGCAATGGGATATTTGGACTTCTTTGAGGCCTTCGTTGGAAACGGGATTTCTTCGTATGAATCTAGACAGAAGAATTCTCAGAAACTTCCTTGTGATGTGTGCATTCAACTCAGCGAGTGGCACCTTCCTTTGGATACAGCAGTTTTGAAACACTGTTTTTGTACTATTTCCAAGCGGATATTTAGAGCGCCTTGAAGCCTATGCTAGAAATGGAAATATCTCCCCATAAAACCAAGACAGAAGCAATCTCAGAAACTAATATGTGATGGCTGCATTCCACACACACGGTGGACCATTTCTCTTGATAGAGCAGTTTTGAAACACTCTTTCTGTAGAATCTGCAAGTGGATAATTGGACCTCCTAGAGGCCTTCGTTGGAAACGGGATTTCTTCATCTAAACCTACAGAGAAGAATTCTCAGTAACTTCTTCGGATGTGTGCATTCGACTCACAGAATGGAACATTCCCTTTGATAGAGCAGTTTTGAGACACCGTTTTTGTAGAATTCCCAAGTGGATATTTAGAGCACTTTGAAGTCTCTGCTAGAAAAGGAAACATCTTCATGTAAAAAGTGGATAGAATAGTTCTCAGAAAGTGCTTAGTGACGTGTGTGTTCAACTCACAGAGTTTAACGTTTCTTTTGATAGAGCGTTTCTGAAACACCCTTCTTGTAGTAGCTGCAAGTGGATATTTGGACCTATTTGAGGCCTTCTTTGGAAACGGGATTTCTTCATGTAACTCTAGTTTGAAGAATTTTCAGAAACTCCTTTGTGATGTGTGCATTCAATTCAAAGAGTGAAACGTCCCTTTTCACAGAGCAGTTTTGAAACACTGTTTTTGTAGGATTTCCAAGGGGATATTTATAGCGCATTGAGCCTATGGCAGAAAAAGAAACATCTTCCTATAAAAACTAGACAGAATAATTCTCAGAATCTGCTTTGCGATGTGTGCGTTCATCTCACAGAGTAAAACTTTTCTTTTGATAGAGCAGTTTTGAAACACTCTTTTTGTAGTATTTGCATGTGTATATTTAGAGCGCATTGAAGCCCACAGTAGAAAAGGAAATAACTTCACCTAAAACCTAGACAGAAGCAATCTCAGAAACTACTTTGTGATGTGTACATTCAACTCACAGAGTGGAACTTTCCTCTTTATAGAGCAGTGTTGAAACACTCTTTTTGTAGAAACTGCAAGTGGATATTTGGACCTCTTTGAGGCCTTCGTTGGAAACGGGATTTCTTCCTATAACCCTAGACAGAAGAATTTTCAGAAACCTCATTGTGATGTGTGCGTTCATCTCACAGAGTGGAGTCTTCCGTTTGATAGAGAAGTTTTGAAACCCTGTTCTTGTAGGATTTCCAAGTGGATATTTAGACCACTTTGAAGCCTATGATAGAAAAGGAAACATCTTCATGGAAAACATAGATAGAATCATTCTCAGAAACAACTTTGTGATGTGTGCGTTGAACTCACCGTCTTTAACCTTTCTTTTGGTAGAGAAGTTTTGAAACACTCTCTTTGTAAAGTCTACAAGTGGATATTTTGAGCCCTTGGAGGCATTCTTTGGAAAAGGGAATGTCTTCACATAAAAGGCAGACAGAAGTGTTCTCAGAAACTGCTTTGTGATGTCTGTGTTCAACTCACAGAGTTTAACATTTCCTTTGAGAGAGCGGTTTAGTAACACTCTCTTTGTAGAATTTGGAAGTGTATACTAAGAGCGCTTTGAGGCCTATGGTAGAAAAGGAAATATCTTTCCATAAAAGCTAGACAGAAGCAATCTCAGAAACTCCTTTGTGATGTCTGCATTCAACTCACCGAGTGGAACATTCCTCTTGATAGAGCAGTTTGGAAACACTCTTTCTGTAGAATCAGCTTGTTTGTATTTGGACCTCCTTGAGGCCTTCGTTGGAAACGGGTTTTCATCTTATAAACCCAGACAGAAGAATTCTCAGAGTCTTCTTTGTGATGTGTGCTTTCAACTCACCGAGATAAAGATTTCTCTTGATAGAGCAATTTGGAAACACTCTTTTTGTAGAATTTGCAAGGGTACATTGAGAGCGCTTTCAGGCCTATGGTAGAAAAGGGAATATCTTTCCATAAAAGGTAGACAGAAGCAATCTCAGAAACTACTTTGTGATGTGTGCATTCAACTCACCGAGTGCAACATTCCTCTTGATAGAGCAGTTTGGAAACATTGTTTCTGTAGAATCTGCAAGTGGATATATGGACCGTTTTGAGGCCTTCGTTGGAAACGGGATTTCTTCCTATAAACCCAGACAGAAGAATTCTCAGAGATTTCTTTGTGATGTGTGAATTCAACTCACAGTGTGGATCCTTCCTTTTGATAGAGCAGTTTTGAAACACTGTTTTTGTAGTATTTCCAAGCGGATATTTGGAACGCCTTGAAGCGTACGGTAGAAAAGGAAATATCTTCCCATAAAACCTAGACAGAACCCATCTCAGAAACGACTTTGTGATGTCTGCATTCAACTCACAGAGTTGAACATTTCTCTTGATAGAGCAGTTTTGAAACCCTCTTTCTGAAGGATCTGCAAGTGGATATTTGGAACTCCTTTGGGTCTTCGTTGGAAACGGGATTTCTTCGTATAAATCCAGACAGAAGAATTCTCCGAAACTTCTTTGGTTGTGTGCATTCAAGTCACAGAGTGGAACCTTCCTTTGGATAGAGCAGTTTGAAACGATCTGGTTGTAGTATTTCCAAGCGGATATTAGAGAGCCTTGAAGCCTATGGTAGAAAAGGAAATATCTTCCCATAAAACCTAGACGGAAGCAATCTCAGAAACTACTGTGTGATGGCTGCATTCCACACACACGGTGGAACATTTCTCTTGATAGAGCAGTTTTGAAACACTCTTTCTGTAGAATCTGCAAGTGGATAATTGGACCGCCTTGAGGCCTTCGTTGGAAACGGGATTTCTTCATGTTACTCTAGACAGAAGAATTCTCAAACACTGCTATGTGATGTTTGCATTCAAGTCACAGAGTGCAACATTCCTCTTGATAGAGCAGTTGGGAAACACTCCTTTTGTAGAATTTGCAATGGGATATTTGGACTTCTTTGAGGCCTTCGTTGGAAACGGGATTTCTTCGTATGAATCTAGACAGAAGAATTCTCAGAAACTTCCTTGTGATGTGTGCATTCAACTCAGCGAGTGGCACCTTCCTTTGGATACAGCAGTTTTGAAACACTGTTTTTGTAGTATTTCCAAGCGGATATTTAGAGCGCCTTGAAGCCTATGCTAGAAATGGAAATATCTCCCCATAAAACCAAGACAGAAGCAATCTCAGAAACTAATGTGTGATGGCTGCATTCCACACACACGGTGGACCATTTCTCTTGATAGAGCAGTTTTGAAACACTCTTTCTGTAGAATCTGCAAGTGGATAATTGGACCTCCTAGAGGCCTTCGTTGGAAACGGGATTTCTTCATCTAAACCTACAGAGAAGAATTCTCAGTAACTTCTTCGGATGTGTGCATTCGACTCACAGAATGGAACATTCCGTTTGATAGAGCAGTTTTGAGACACCGTTTTTGTAGAATTCCCAAGTGGATATTTAGAGCACTTTGAAGTCTCTGCTAGAAAAGGAAACATCTTCATGTAAAAAGTAGATAGAATCGTTCTCAGAAAGTGCTTAGTGACGTGTGCGTTCAACTCACAGAGTTTAACGTTTCTTTTGATAGACCGTTTCTGAAACACCCTTCTTGTAGTAGCTGCAAGTGGATATTTGGACCTATATGAGGCCTTCTTTGGAAACGGGATTTCTTCATGTAACTCTAGTTTGAAGAATTTTCAGAAACTCCTTTGTGATGTGTGCATTCAATTCAAAGAGTGAAACCTCCCTTTTCACAGAGCAGTTTTGAAACACTGTTTTTGTAGGATTTCCAAGGGGATATTTATAGCGCATTGAGCCTACGGCAGAAAAAGAAACATCTTCCTATAAAAACTAGACAGAATAATTCTCAGAATCTGCTTTGCGATGTGTGCGTTCAACCCACAGAGTAAAACTTTTCTTTTGATAGAGCAGTTTTGAAACACTCTTTTTGTAGTATTTGCATGTGTATATTTAGAGCGCATTGAAGCCCACAGTAGAAAAGGAAATAACTTCACCTAAAACCTAGACAGAAGCAATCTCAGAAACTACTTTGTGATGTGTACATTCAACTCACAGAGTGGAACTTTCCTCTTTATAGAGCAGTGTTGAAACACTCTTTTTGTAGAAACTGCAAGTGGATATTTGGACCTCTTTGAGGCCTTCGTTGGAAACGGGATTTCTTCCTATAACCCTAGACAGAAGAATTTTCAGAAACCTCATTGTGATGTGTGCGTTCATCTCACAGAGTGGAGTCTTCCGTTTGATAGAGAAGTTTTGAAACCCTGTTCTTGTAGGATTTCCAAGTGGATATTTAGACCACTTTGAAGCCTATGATAGAAAAGGAAACATCTTCATGGAAAACATAGATAGAATCATTCTCAGAAACAACTTTGTGATGTGTGCGTTGAACTCACAGTCTTTAACCTTTCTTTTGGTAGAGAAGTTTTGAAACACTCTCTTTGTAAAGTCTACAAGTGGATATTTTGGGCCCTTGGAGGCATTCTTTGGAAAAGGGAATGTCTTCACATAAAAGGCAGACAGAAGTGTTCTCAGAAACTGCTTTGTGATGTCTGTGTTCAACTCACAGAGTTTAACATTTCCTTTGATAGAGCGGTTTAGTAACACTCTCTTTGTAGAATTTGGAAGTGTATACTAAGAGCGCTTTGAGGCCTATGGTAGAAAAGGAAATATCTTTCCATAAAAGCTAGACAGAAGCAATCTCAGAAACTCCTTTGTGATGTCTGCATTCAACTCACCGAGTGGAACATTCCTCTTGATAGAGCAGTTTGGAAACACTCTTTCTGTAGAATCAGCTTGTTTGTATTTGGACCTCCTTGAGGCCTTCGTTGGAAACGGGTTTTCATCTTATAAACCCAGACAGAAGAATTCTCAGAGTCTTCTTTGTGATGTGTGCTTTCAACTCACCGAGATAAAGATTTCTCTTGATAGAGCAATTTGGAAACACTCTTTTTGTAGAATTTGCAAGGGTACATTGAGAGCGCTTTCAGGCCTATGGTAGAAAAGGGAATATCTTTCCATAAAAGGTAGACAGAAGCAATCTCAGAATCTACTTTGTGATGTGTGCATTCAACTCACCGAGTGCAACATTCCTCTTGATAGAGCAGTTTGGAAACATTGTTTCTGTAGAATCTGCAAGTGGATATATGGACCGCTTTGAGGCCTTCGTTGGAAACGGGATTTCTTCCTATAAACCCAGACAGAAGAATTCTCAGAGATTTCTTTGTGATGTGTGAATTCAACTCACAGTGTGGATCCTTCCTTTTGATAGAGCAGTTTTGAAACACTGTTTTTGTAGTATTTCCAAGCGGATATTTGGAACGCCTTGAAGCGTTTGGTAGAAAAGGAAATATCTTCCCATAAAACCTAGACAGAACCCATCTCAGAAACGACTTTGTGATGTCTGCATTCAACTCACAGAGTTGAACATTTCTCTTGATAGAGCAGTTTTGAAACCCTCTTTCTGAAGGATCTGCAAGTGGATATTTGGAACTCCTTTGGGTCTTCGTTGGAAACGGGATTTCTTCGTATAAATCCAGACAGAAGAATTCTCCGAAACTTCTTTGGTTGTGTGCATTCAAGTCACAGAGTGGAACCTTCCTTTGGATAGAGCAGTTTGAAACGCTCTGGTTGTAGTATTTCCAAGCGGATATTAGAGCGCCTTGAAGCCTATGGTAGAAAAGGAAATATCTTCCCATAAAACCTAGACGGAAGCAATCTCAGAAACTACTTTGTGATGGCTGCATTCCACACACACTGTGGAACATTTCTCTTGATAGAGCAGTTTTGAAACACTCTTTCTGTAGAATCTGCAAGTGGATAATTGGACCGCCTTGAGGCCTTCGTTGGAAACGGGATTTCTTCATGTTACTCTAGACAGAAGAATTCTCAAACACTGCTATGTGATGTTTGCATGCAAGTCACAGAGTGCAACATTCCTCTTGATAGAGCAGTTGGGAAACACTCCTTTTGTAGAATTTGCAATGGGATATTTGGACTTCTTTGAGGCCTTCGTTGGAAACGGGATTTCTTCGTATGAATCTAGACAGAAGAATTCTCAGAAACTTCCTTGTGATGTGTGCATTCAACTCAGCGAGTGGCACCTTCCTTTGGATACAGCAGTTTTGAAACACTGTTTTTGTACTATTTCCAAGCGGATATTTAGAGCGCCTTGAAGCCTATGCTAGAAATGGAAATATCTCCCCATAAAACCAAGACAGAAGCAATCTCAGAAACTAATGTGTGATGGCTGCATTTCACACACACGGTGGACCATTTCTCTTGATACAGCAGTTTTGAAACACTCTTTCTGTAGAATCTGCAAGTGGATAATTGGACCTCCTAGAGGCCTTCGTTGGAAACGGGATTTCTTCATCTAAACCTACAGAGAAGAATTCTCAGTAACTTCTTCGGATGTGTGCATTCGACTCACAGAATGGAACATTCCCTTTGATAGAGCAGTTTTGAGACACCGTTTTTGTAGAATTCCCAAGTGGATATTTAGAGCACTTTGAAGTCTCTGCTAGAAAAGGAAACATCTTCATGTAAAAAGTAGATAGAATCGTTCTCAGAAAGTGCTTAGTGACGTGTGTGTTCAACTCACAGAGTTTAACATTTCTTTTGATAGAGCGTTTCTGAAACACCCTTCTTGTAGTAGCTGCAAGTGGATATTTGGACCTATTTGAGGCCTTCTTTGGAAACGGGATTTCTTCATGTAACTCTAGTTTGAAGAATTTTCAGAAACTCCTTTGTGATGTGTGCATTCAATTCAAAGAGTGAAACCTCCCTTTTCACAGAGCAGTTTTGAAACACTGTTTTTGTAGGATTTCCAAGGGGATATTTATAGCGCATTGAGCCTATGGCAGAAAAAGAAACATCTTCCTATAAAAACTAGACAGAATAATTCTCAGAATCTGCTTTGCGATGTGTGCGTTCAACTCACAGAGTAAAACTTTTCTTTTGATAGAGCAGTTTTGAAACACTCTTTTTGTAGTATTTGCATGTGTATATTTAGAGCGCATTGAAGCCCACAGTAGAAAAGGAAATAACTTCACCTAAAACCTAGACAGAAGCAATCTCAGAAACTACTTTGTGATGTGTACATTCAACTCACAGAGTGGAACTTTTCTCTTTATAGAGCAGTGTTGAAACACTCTTTTTGTAGAAACTGCAAGTGGATATTTGGACCTCTTTGAGGCCTTCGTTGGAAACGGGATTTCTTCCTATAACCCTAGACAGAAGAATTTTCAGAAACCTCATTGTGATGTGTGCGTTCATCTCACAGAGTGGAGTCTTCCGTTTGATAGAGAAGTTTTGAAACCCTGTTCTTGTAGGATTTCCAAGTGGATATTTAGACCACTTTGAAGCCTATGATAGAAAAGGAAACATCTTCATGGAAAACATAGATAGAATCATTCTCAGAAACAACTTTGTGATGTGTACGTTGAACTCACCGTCTTTAACCTTTCTTTTGGTAGAGAAGTTTTGAAACACTCTCTTTGTAAAGTCTACAAGTGGATATTTTGAGCCCTTGGAGGCATTCTTTGGAAAAGGGAATGTCTTCACATAAAAGGCAGACAGAAGTGTTCTCAGAAACTGCTTTGTGATGTCTGTGTTCAACTCACAGAGTTTAACATTTCCTTTGAGAGAGCGGTTTAGTAACACTCTCTTTGTAGAATTTGGAAGTGTATACTAAGAGCGCTTTGAGGCCTATGGTAGAAAAGGAAATATCTTTCCATAAAAGCTAGACAGAAGCAATCTCAGAAACTCCTTTGTGATGTCTGCATTCAACTCACCGAGTGGAACATTCCTCTTGATAGAGCAGTTTGGAAACACTCTTTCTGTAGAATCAGCTTGTTTGTATTTGGACCTCCTTGAGGCCTTCGTTGGAAACGGGTTTTCATCTTATAAACCCAGACAGAAGAATTCTCAGAGTCTTCTTTGTGATGTGTGCTTTCAACTCACCGAGATAAAGATTTCTCTTGATACAGCAATTTGGAAACACTCTTTTTGTACAATTTGCAAGGGTACATTGAGAGCGCTTTCAGGCCTATGGTAGAAAAGGGAATATCTTTCCATAAAAGGTAGACAGAAGCAATCTCAGAAACTACTTTGTGATGTGTGCATTCAACTCACCGAGTGCAACATTCCTCTTGATAGAGCAGTTTGGAAACATTGTTTCTGTAGAATCTGCAAGTGGATATTTGGACCTCTTTGAGGCCTTCGTTGGAAACGGGATTTCTTCCTATAAACCCAGACAGAAGAATTCTCAGAGACTTCTTTGTGATGTGTGAATTCAACTCACAGTGTGGATCCTTCCTTTTGATAGAGCAGTTTTGAAACACTGTTTTTGTAGTATTTCCAAGCGGATATTTGGAACGCCTTGAAGCGTATGGTAGAAAAGGAAATATCTTCCCATAAAACCTAGACAGAACCCATCTCAGAAACGACTTTGTGATGTCTGCATTCAACTCACAGAGTTGAACATTTCTCTTGATAGAGCAGTTTTGAAACCCTCTTTCTGAAGGATCTGCAAGTGGATATTTGGAACTCCTTTGGGTCTTCGTTGGAAACGGGATTTCTTCGTATAAATCCAGACAGAAGAATTCTCCGAAACTTCTTTGGTTGTGTGCATTCAAGTCACAGAGTGGAACCTTCCTTTGGATAGAGCAGTTTGAAACGCTGTGGTTGTAGTATTTCCAAGCGGATATTAGAGTGCCTTGAAGCCTATGGTAGAAAAGGAAATATCTTCCCATAAAACCTAGACGGAAGCAATCTCAGAAACTACTGTGTGATGGCTGCATTCCACACACACGGTGGAACATTTCTCTTGATAGAGCAGTTTTGAAACACTCTTTCTGTAGAATCTGCAAGTGGATAATTGGACCGCCTTGAGGCCTTCGTTGGAAACGGGATTTCTTCATGTTACTCTAGACAGAAGAATTCTCAAACACTGCTATGTGATGTTTGCATGCAAGTCACAGAGTGCAACATTCCTCTTGATAGAGCAGTTGGGAAACACTCCTTTTGTAGAATTTGCAATGGGATATTTGGACTTCTTTGAGGCCTTCGTTGGAAACGGGATTTCTTCGTATGAATCTAGACAGAAGAATTCTCAGAAACTTCCTTGTGATGTGTGCATTCAACTCAGCGAGTGGCACCTTCCTTTGGATACAGCAGTTTTGAAACACTGTTTTTGTAGTATTTCCAAGCGGATATTTAGAGCGCCTTGAAGCCTATGCTAGAAATGGAAATATCTCCCCATAAAACCAAGACAGAAGCAATCTCAGAAACTAATGTGTGATGGCTGCATTCCACACACACGGTGGACCATTTCTCTTGATAGAGCAGTTTTGAAACACTCTTTCTGTAGAATCTGCAAGTGGATAATTGGACCTCCTAGAGGCCTTCGTTGGAAACGGGATTTCTTCATCTAAACCTACAGAGAAGAATTCTCAGTAACTTCTTCGGATGTGTGCATTCGACTCACAGAATGGAACATTCCCTTTGGTAGAGCAGTTTTGAGACACCGTTTTTGTAGAATTCCCAAGTGGATATTTAGAGCACTTTGAAGTCTCTGCTAGAAAAGGAAACATCTTCATGTAAAAAGTAGATAGAATCGTTCTCAGAAAGTGCTTAGTGACGTGTGCGTTCAACTCACAGAGTTTAACGTTTCTTTTGATAGAGCGTTTCTGAAACACCCTTCTTGTAGTAGCTGCAAGTGGATATTTGGACCTATTTGAGGCCTTCTTTGGAAACGGGATTTCTTCATGTAACTCTAGATTGAAGAATTTTCAGAAACTCCTTTGTGATGTGTGCATTCAATTCAAAGAGTGAAACCTCCCTTTTCACAGAGCAGTTTTGAAACACTGTTTTTGTAGGATTTCCAAGGGGATATTTATAGCGCATTGAGCCTATGGCAGAAAAAGAAACATCTTCCTATAAAAACTAGACAGAATAATTCTCAGAATCTGCTTTGCGATGTGTGCGTTCAACCCCACAGAGTAAAACTTTTCTTTTGATAGAGCAGTTTTGAAACACTCTTTTTGTCGTATTTGCATGTGTATATTTAGAGCGCATTGAAGCCCACAGTAGAAAAGGAAATAACTTCACCTAAAACCTAGACAGAAGCAATCTCAGAAACTAATTTGGGATGTGTGCATTCAACTCACAGAAGTGGAACTTTCCTCTTTATAGAGCAGTGTTGAAACACTCTTTTTGTAGAAACTGCCAGTGGATATTTGGACCTCTTTGAGGCCTTCGTTGGAAATGGGATTTCTTCACATATCCCCAGACAGAAGAATTTTCTGAAACCTCATTGTGATGTGTGCGTTCATCTCACAGAGTGGAGACTTCCTTTTATTAGAGAACTTTTGAATCCCTATTCTTGTAGGATTTACAAGTGGAAATTTAGACCACTTTGAAGCCTATGATAGAAAAGGAAACATCTTCATGGAAAACATAGATAGAATCATTCTCAGAAACAACTTTGTGATGTGTGCGTTGAACTCACAGACTTTATCCTTTCTTTTGGTAGAGAAGTTTTGAAACACTCTCTTTGTAAACTCTAGAAGTGGATATTTTGAGCCCTTGGAGGCATTCTTTGGAAAAGGGAATGTCTTCACATAAAAGGCAGACAGAAGTGTTCTGAGAAACTGCTTTGTGATGTCTGCGTTCAACTCACAGAGTTTAACATTTCCTTTGATATAACAGTTTAAAAACACTCTTTGTAGAATTTGGAAGTGTATATTAAGAGCGCTTTGAGACCTATGGTAGAAAAGTAAATATCTTTCCATAGAAGCTGGAGAGAAGCAATCTCAGAAACTCCTTTGTGATGTCTGCATTCAACACACCAAGTGGAACATTCCTCTTGATAGAGCAGTTTGGAAACAATCTTTCTGTAGAATATGCTAGTGGATATTTGGACCTCCTTGAGGCCTTCCTTGGAAAGGGGATTTTTTTCATATAAACCCATACAGAAGAATTCTCAGAGTCTTCTTTGTGATGTGTGCTTTCAACTCACCGAGATAAAGATTTCTCTTGTTAGAGCAATTTGGAAACACTCTTTTTGTAGAATTTGCAAGGGTATATTGAGAGCGCTTTCAGGCCTATGGTAGAAAAGGGAATATCTTTCCATAAAAGGTAGACAGAAGCAATCTCAGAAACTACTTTGTGATGTGTGCATTCAACTCACCGAGTGCAACATTCCTCTTGACCGAGCAGTTTGGAAACATTGTTTCTGTAGAATCTGCAAGTGGATATTTGGACCTACTTTGAGGCCTTCGTTGGAAACGGGATTTCTTCCTATAAACCCAGACAGAAGAATTCTCAGAGTATTTCTTTGTGATGTGTGAATTCAACTCACAGTGTGGATCCTTCCTTTTGATAGAGCAGTTTTGAAACACTGTTTTTGAAGTATTTCCAAGCGGATATTTGGAACGCCTTGAAGCGTATGGTAGAAAAGGAAATATCTTCCCATAAAACCTAGACAGAACCAATCTCAGAAACGACTTTGTGATGTCTGCATTCAACTCACAGAGTTGAACATTTCTCTTGATAGAGCAGTTTTGAAACCCTCTTTCTGAAGGATCTGCAAGTGGATATTTGGAACTCCTTTGGGTCTTCGTTGGAAACGGGATTTCTTCGTATAAATCTAGACAGAAGAATTCTCCGAAACTTCTTTGGTTGTGTGCATTCAAGTCACAGAGTGGAACCTTCCTTTGGATAGAGCAGTTTGAAACGCTGTGGTTGTAGTATTTCCAAGCGGATATTAGAGCGCCTTGAGGCCTATGGTAGAAAAGGAAATATCTTCCCATAAAACCTAGACGGAAGCAATCTCAGAAACTACTGTGTGATGGCTGCATTCCACACACACGGTGGAACATTTCTCTTGATAGAGCAGTTTTGAAACACTCTTTCTGTAGAATCTGCAAGTGGATAATTGGACCGCCTTGAGGCCTTCGTTGGAAACGGGATTTCTTCATGTTACTCTAGACAGAAGAATTCTCAAACACTGCTATGTGATGTTTGCATGCAAGTCACAGAGTGCAACATTCCTCTTGATAGAGCAGTTGGGAAACACTCCTTTTGTAGAATTTGCAATGGGATATTTGGACTTCTTTGAGGCCTTCGTTGGAAACGGGATTTCTTCATATGAATCTAGACAGAAGAATTCTCAGAAACTTCCTTGTGATGTGTGCATTCAACTCAGCGAGTGGCACCTTCCTTTGGATACAGCAGTTTTGAAACACTGTTTTTGTAGTATTTCCAAGCGGATATTTAGAGCGCCTTGAAGCCTATGCTAGAAATGGAAATATCTCCCCATAAAACCAAGACAGAAGCAATCTCAGAAACTAATGTGTGATGGCTGCATTCCACACACACGGTGGACCATTTCTCTTGATAGAGCAGTTTTGAAACACTCTTTCTGTAGAATCTGCAAGTGGATAATTGGACCTCCTAGAGGCCTTCGTTGGAAACGGGATTTCTTCATCTAAACCTACAGAGAAGAATTCTCAGTAACTTCTTCGGATGTGTGCATTCGACTCACAGAATGGAACATTCCCTTTGATAGAGCAGTTTTGAGACACCGTTTTTGTAGAATTCCCAAGTGGATATTTAGAGCACTTTGAAGTCTCTGCTAGAAAAGGAAACATCTTCATGTAAAAAGTAGATAGAATCGTTCTCAGAAAGTGCTTAGTGACGTGTGCGTTCAACTCACAGAGTTTAACGTTTCTTTTGATAGAGCGTTTCTGAAACACCCTTCTTGTAGTAGCTGCAAGTGGATATTTGGACCTATTTGAGGCCTTCTTTGGAAACGGGATTTCTTCATGTAACTCTAGATTGAAGAATTTTCAGAAACTCCTTTGTGATGTGTGCATTCAATTCAAAGAGTGAAACCTCCCTTTTCACAGAGCAGTTTTGAAACACTGTTTTTGTAGGACTTCCAAGGGGATATTTATAGCGCATTGAGCCTATGGCAGAAAAAGAAACATCTTCCTATAAAAACTAGACAGAATAATTCTCAGAATCTGCTTTGCGATGTGTGCGTTCAACCCACAGAGTAAAACTTTTCTTTTGATAGAGCAGTTTTGAAACACTCTTTTTGTAGTATTTGCATGTGTATATTTAGAGCGCATTGAAGCCCACAGTAGAAAAGGAAATAACTTCACCTAAAACCTAGACAGAAGCAATCTCAGAAACTACTTTGTGATGTGTACATTCAACTCACAGAGTGGAACTTTTCTCTTTATAGAGCAGTGTTGAAACACTCTTTTTGTAGAAACTGCAAGTGGATATTTGGACCAGCTTTGAGGCCTTCGTTGGAAACGGGATTTCTTCCTATAACCCTAGACAGAAGAATTTTCAGAAACCTCATTGTGATGTGTGCGTTCATCTCACAGAGTGGAGTCTTCCGTTTGATAGAGAAGTTTTGAAACCCTGTTCTTGTAGGATTTCCAAGTGGATATTTAGACCACTTTGAAGCCTATGATAGAAAAGGAAACATCTTCATGGAAAACATAGATAGAATCATTCTCAGAAACAACTTTGTGATGTGTGCGTTGAACTCACCGTCTTTAACCTTTCTTTTGGTAGAGAAGTTTTGAAACACTCTCTTTGTAAAGTCTACAAGTGGATATTTTGAGCCCTTGGAGGCATTCTTTGGAAAAGGGAATGTCTTCACATAAAAGGCAGACAGAAGTGTTCTCAGAAACTGCTTTGTGATGTCTGTGTTCAACTCACAGAGTTTAACATTTCCTTTGAGAGAGCGGTTTAGTAACACTCTCTTTGTAGAATTTGGAAGTGTATACTAAGAGCGCTTTGAGGCCTATGGTAGAAAAGGAAATATCTTTCCATAAAAGCTAGACAGAAGCAATCTCAGAAACTCCTTTGTGATGTCTGCATTCAACTCACCGAGTGGAACATTCCTCTTGATAGAACAGTTTGGAAACACTCTTTCTGTAGAATCAGCTTGTTTGTATTTGGACCTCCTTGAGGCCTTCGTTGGAAACGGGTTTTCATCTTATAAACCCAGACAGAAGAATTCTCAGAGTCTTCTTTGTGATGTGTGCTTTCAACTCACCGAGATAAAGATTTCTCTTGATAGAGCAATTTGGAAACACTCTTTTTGTAGAATTTGCAAGGGTACATTGAGAGCGCTTTCAGGCCTATGGTAGAAAAGGGAATATCTTTCCATAAAAGGTAGACAGAAGCAATCTCAGAAACTACTTTGTGATGTGTGCATTCAACTCACCGAGTGCAACATTCCTCTTGACCGAGCAGTTTGGAAACATTGTTTCTGTAGAATCTGCAAGTGGATATTTGGACCTCTTTGAGGCCTTCGTTGGAAACGGGATCTCTTCCTATAAACCCAGACAGAAGAATTCTCAGAGACTTCTTTGTGATGTGTGAATTCAACTCACAGTGTGGATCCTTCCTTTTGATAGAGCAGTTTTGAAACACTGTTTTTGTAGTATTTCCAAGCGGATATTTGGAACGCCTTGAAGCGTATGGTAGAAAAGGAAATATCTTCCCATAAAACCTAGACAGAACCAATCTCAGAAACGACTTTGTGATGTCTGCATTCAACTCACAGAGTTGAACATTTCTCTTGATAGAGCAGTTTTGAAACCCTCTTTCTGAAGGATCTGCAAGTGGATATTTGGAACTCCTTTGGGTCTTCGTTGGAAACGGGATTTCTTCGTATAAATCTAGACAGAAGAATTCTCCGAAACTTCTTTGGTTGTGTGCATTCAAGTCACAGAGTGGAACCTTCCTTTGGATAGAGCAGTTTGAAACGCTGTGGTTGTAGTATTTCCAAGCGGATATTAGAGCGCCTTGAGGCCTATGGTAGAAAAGGAAATATCTTCCCATAAAACCTAGACGGAAGCAATCTCAGAAACTACTGTGTGATGGCTGCATTCCACACACACGGTGGAACATTTCTCTTGATAGAGCAGTTTTGAAACACTCTTTCTGTAGAATCTGCAAGTGGATAATTGGACCGCCTTGAGGCCTTCGTTCGAAACGGGATTTCTTCATGTTACTCTAGACAGAAGAATTCTCAAACACTGCTGTGTGATGTTTGCATGCAAGTCACAGAGTGCAACATTCCTCTTGATAGAGCAGTTGGGAAACACTCCTTTTGTAGAATTTGCAATGGGATATTTGGACTTCTTTGAGGCCTTCGTTGGAAACGGGATTTCTTCGTATGAATCTAGACAGAAGAATTCTCAGAAACTTCCTTGTGATGTGTGCATTCAACTCAGCGAGTGGCACCTTCCTTTGGATACAGCAGTTTTGAAACACTGTTTTTGTAGTATTTCCAAGCGGATATTTAGAGCGCCTTGAAGCCTATGCTAGAAATGGAAATATCTCCCCATAAAACCAAGACAGAAGCAATCTCAGAAACTAATGTGTGATGGCTGCATTCCACACACACGGTGGACCATTTCTCTTGATAGAGCAGTTTTGAAACACTCTTTCTGTAGAATCTGCAAGTGGATAATTGGACCTCCTAGAGGTCTTCGTTGGAAACGGGATTTCTTCATCTAAACCTACAGAGAAGAATTCTCAGTAACTTCTTCGGATGTGTGCATTCGACTCACAGAATGGAACATTCCCTTTGATAGAGCAGTTTTGAGACACCGTTTTTGTAGAATTCCCAAGTGGATATTTAGAGCACTTTGAAGTCTCTGCTAGAAAAGGAAACATCTTCATGTAAAAAGTAGATAGAATCGTTCTCAGAAAGTGCTTAGTGACGTGTGCGTTCAACTCACAGAGTTTAACGTTTCTTTTCATAGAGCGTTTCTGAAACACCCTTCTTGTAGTAGCTGCAAGTGGATATTTGGACCTATTTGAGGCCTTCTTTGGAAACGGGATTTCTTCATGTAACTCTAGATTAAAGAATTTTCAGAAACTCCTTTGTGATGTGTGCATTCAATTCAAAGAGTGAAACCTCCCTTTTCACAGAGCAGTTTTGAAACACTGTTTTTGTAGGATTTCCAAGGGGATATTTATAGCGCATTGAGCCTATGGCAGAAAAAGAAACATCTTCCTATAAAAACTAGACAGAATAATTCTCAGAATCTGCTTTGCGATGTGTGCGTTCAACTCACAGAGTAAAACTTTTCTTTTGATAGAGCAGTTTTGAAACACTCTTTTTGTAGTATTTGCATGTGTATATTTAGAGCGCATTGAAGCCCACAGTAGAAAAGGAAATAACTTCACCTAAAACCTAGACAGAAGCAATCTCAGAAACTACTTTGTGATGTGTACATTCAACTCACAGAGTGGAACTTTTCTCTTTATAGAGCAGTGTTGAAACACTCTTTTTGTAGAAACTGCAAGTGGATATTTGGACCTCTTTGAGGCCTTCGTTGGAAACGGGATTTCTTCCTATAACCCTAGACAGAAGAATTTTCAGAAACCTCATTGTGATGTGTGCGTTCATCTCACAGAGTGGAGTCTTCCGTTTGATAGAGAAGTTTTGAAACCCTGTTCTTGTAGGATTTCCAAGTGGATATTTAGACCACTTTGAAGCCTATGATAGAAAAGGAAACATCTTCATGGAAAACATAGATAGAATCATTCTCAGAAACAACTTTGTGATGTGTGCGTTGAACTCACCGTCTTTAACCTTTCTTTTGGTAGAGAAGTTTTGAAACACTCTCTTTGTAAAGTCTACAAGTGGATATTTTGAGCCCTTGGAGGCATTCTTTGGAAAAGGGAATGTCTTCACATAAAAGGCAGACAGAAGTGTTCTCAGAAACTGCTTTGTGATGTCTGTGTTCAACTAACAGAGTGTAACATTTCCTTTGAGAGAGCGGTTTAGTAACACTCTCTTTGTAGAATTTGGAAGTGTATACTAAGAGCGCTTTGAGGCCTATGGTAGAAAAGGAAATATCTTTCCATAAAAGCTAGACAGAAGCAATCTCAGAAACTCCTTTGTGATGTCTGCATTCAACTCACCGAGTGGAACATTCCTCTTGATAGAGCAGTTTGGAAACACTCTTTCTGTAGAATCAGCTTGTTTGTATTTGGACCTCCTTGAGGCCTTCGTTGGAAACGGGTTTTCATCTTATAAACCCAGGCAGAAGAATTCTCAGAGTCTTCTTTGTGATGTGTGCTTTCAACTCACCGAGATAAAGATTTCTCTTGATAGAGCAATTTGGAAACACTCTTTTTGTAGAATTTGCAAGGGTACATTGAGAGCGCTTTCAGGCCTATGGTAGAAAAGGTAGACAGAAGCAATCTCAGAAACTACTTTGTGATGTGTGCATTCAACTCACCGAGTGCAACATTCCTCTTGATAGAGCAGTTTGGAAACATTGTTTCTGTAGAATCTGCAAGTGGATATATGGACCGCTTTGAGGCCTTCGTTGGAAACGGGATTTCTTCCTATAAACCCAGACAGAAGAATTCTCAGAGATTTCTTTGTGATGTGTGAATTCAACTCACAGTGTGGATCCTTCCTTTTGATAGAGCAGTTTTGAAACACTGTTTTTGTAGTATTTCCAAGCGGATATTTGGAACGCCTTGAAGCGTATGGTAGAAAAGGAAATATCTTCCCATAAAACCTAGACAGAACCCATCTCAGAAACGACTTTGTGATGTCTGCATTCAACTCACAGAGTTGAACATTTCTCTTGATAGAGCAGTTTTGAAACCCTCTTTCGGAAGGATCTGCAAGTGGATATTTGGAACTCCTTTGGGTCTTCGTTGGAAACGGGATTTCTTCATATAAATCCAGACAGAAGAATTCTCCGAAACTTCTTTGGTTGTGTGCATTCAAGTCACAGAGTGGAACCTTCCTTTGGATAGAGCAGTTTGAAACGCTGTGGTTGTAGTATTTCCAAGCGGATATTAGAGCGCCTTGAAGCCTATGGTAGAAAAGGAAATATCTTCCCATAAAACCTAGACGGAAGCAATCTCAGAAACTACTGTGTGATGGCTGCATTCCACACACACGGTGGAACATTTCTCTTGATAGAGCAGTTTTGAAACACTCTTTCTGTAGAATCTGCAAGTGGATAATTGGACCGCCTTGAGGCCTTCGTTGGAAACGGGATTTCTTCATGTTACTCTAGACAGAAGAATTCTCAAACACTGCTATGTGATGTTTGCATGCAAGTCACAGAGTGCAACATTCCTCTTGATAGAGCAGTTGGGAAACCCTCCTTTTGTAGAATTTGCAATGGGATATTTGGACTTCTTTGAGGCCTTCGTTGGAAACGGGATTTCTTCGTATGAATCTAGACAGAAGAATTCTCAGAAACTTCCTTGTGATGTGTGCATTCAACTCAGCGAGTGGCACCTTCCTTTGGATACAGCAGTTTTGAAACACTGTTTTTGTAGTATTTCCAAGCGGATATTTAGAGCGCCTTGAAGCCTATGCTAGAAATGGAAATATCTCCCCATAAAACCAAGACAGAAGCAATCTCAGAAACTAATGTGTGATGGCTGCATTCCACACACACGGTGGACCATTTCTCTTGATAGAGCAGTTTTGAAACACTCTTTCTGTAGAATCTGCAAGTGGATAATTGGACCTCCTAGAGGCCTTCGTTGGAAACGGGATTTCTTCATCTAAACCTACAGAGAAGAATTCTCAGTAACTTCTTCGGATGTGTGCATTCGACTCACAGAATGGAACATTCCCTTTGGTAGAGCAGTTTTGAGACACCGTTTTTGTAGAATTCCCAAGTGGATATTTAGAGCACTTTGAAGTCTCTGCTAGAAAAGGAAACATCTTCATGTAAAAAGTAGATAGAATCGTTCTCAGAAAGTGCTTAGTGACGTGTGCGTTCAACTCACAGAGTTTAACGTTTCTTTTGATAGAGCGTTTCTGAAACACCCTTCTTGTAGTAGCTGCAAGTGGATATTTGGACCTATTTGAGGCCTTCTTTGGAAACGGGATTTCTTCATGTAACTCTAGATTGAAGAATTTTCAGAAACTCCTTTGTGATGTGTGCATTCAATTCAAAGAGTGAAACCTCCCTTTTCACAGAGCAGTTTTGAAACACTGTTTTTGTAGGATTTCCAAGGGGATATTTATAGCGCATTGAGCCTATGGCAGAAAAAGAAACATCTTCCTATAAAAACTAGACAGAATAATTCTCAGAATCTGCTTTGCGATGTGTGCGTTCAACTCACAGAGTAAAACTTTTCTTTTGATAGAGCAGTTTTGAAACACTCTTTTTGTAGTATTTGCATGTGTATATTTAGAGCGCATTGAAGCCCACAGTAGAAAAGGAAATAACTTCACCTAAAACCTAGACAGAAGCAATCTCAGAAACTACTTTGTGATGTGTACATTCAACTCACAGAGTGGAACTTTCCTCTTTATAGAGCAGTGTTGAAACACTCTTTTTGTAGAAACTGCAAGTGGATATTTGGACCTCTTTGAGGCCTTCGTTGGAAACGGGATTTCTTCCTATAACCCTAGACAGAAGAATTTTCAGAAACCTCATTGTGATGTGTGCGTTCATCTCACAGAGTGGAGTCTTCCGTTTGATAGAGAAGTTTTGAAACCCTGTTCTTGTAGGATTTCCAAGTGGATATTTAGACCACTTTGAAGCCTATGATAGAAAAGGAAACATCTTCATGGAAAACATAGATAGAATCATTCTCAGAAACAACTTTGTGATGTGTGCGTTGAACTCACCGTCTTTAACCTTTCTTTTGGTAGAGAAGTTTTGAAACACTCTCTTTGTAAAGTCTACGAGTGGATATTTTGAGCCCTTGGAGGCATTCTTTGGAAAAGGGAATGTCTTCACATAAAAGGCAGACAGAAGTGTTCTCAGAAACTGCTTTGTGATGTCTGTGTTCAACTCACAGAGTTTAACATTTCCTTTGAGAGAGCGGTTTAGTAACACTCTCTTTGTAGAATTTGGAAGTGTATACTAAGAGCGCTTTGAGGCCTATGGTAGAAAAGGAAATATCTTTCCATAAAAGCTAGACAGAAGCAATCTCAGAAACTCCTTTGTGATGTCTGCATTCAACTCACCGAGTGGAACATTCCTCTTGATAGAGCAGTTTGGAAACACTCTTTCTGTAGAATCAGCTTGTTTGTATTTGGACCTCCTTGAGGCCTTCGTTGGAAACGGGTTTTCATCTTATAAACCCAGACAGAAGAATTCTCAGAGTCTTCTTTGTGATGTGTGCTTTCAACTCACCGAGATAAAGATTTCTCTTGATAGAGCAATTTGGAAACACTCTTTTTGTAGAATTTGCAAGGGTACATTGAGAGCGCTTTCAGGCCTATGGTAGAAAAGGGAATATCTTTCCATCAAAGGTAGACAGAAGCAATCTCAGAAACTACTTTGTGTTGTGTGCATTCAACTCACCGAGTGCAACATTCCTCTTGATAGAGCAGTTTGGAAACATTGTTTCTGTAGAATCTGCAAGTGGATATATGGACCGCTTTGAGGCCTTCGTTGGAAACGGGATTTCTTCCTATAAACCCAGACAGAAGAATTCTCAGAGATTTCTTTGTGATGTGTGAATTCAACTCACAGTGTGGATCCTTCCTTTTGATAGAGCAGTTTTGAAACACCGTTTTTGTAGTATTTCCAAGCGGATATTTGGAACGCCTTGAAGCGTATGGTAGAAAAGGAAATATCTTCCCATAAAACCTAGACAGAACCAATCTCAGAAACGACTTTGTGATGTCTGCATTCAACTCACAGAGTTGAACATTTCTCTTGATAGAGCAGTTTTGAAACCCTCTTTCTGAAGGATCTGCAAGTGGATATTTGGAACTCCTTTGGGTCTTCGTTGGAAACGGGATTTCTTCGTATAAATCCAGACAGAAGAATTCTCCGAAACTTCTTTGGTTGTGTGCATTCAAGTCACAGAGTGGAACCTTCCTTTGGATAGAGCAGTTTGAAACGCTGTGGTTGTAGTATTTCCAAGCGGATATTAGAGCGCCTTGAGGCCTATGGTAGAAAAGGAAATATCTTCCCATAAAACCTAGACGGAAGCAATCTCAGAAACTACTGTGTGATGGCTGCATTCCACACACACGGTGGAACATTTCTCTTGACAGAGCAGTTTTGAAACACTCTTTCTGTAGAATCTGCAAGTGGATAATTGGACCGCCTTGAGGCCTTCGTTGGAAACGGGATTTCTTCATGTTACTCTAGACAGAAGAATTCTCAAACACTGCTATGTGATGTTTGCATGCAAGTCACAGAGTGCAACATTCCTCTTGATAGAGCAGTTGGGAAACACTCCTTTTGTAGAATTTGCAATGGGATATTTGGACTTCTTTGAGGCCTTCGTTGGAAACGGGATTTCTTCGTATGAATCTAGACAGAAGAATTCTCAGAAACTTCCTTGTGATGTGTGCATTCAACTCAGCGAGTGGCACCTTCCTTTGGATACAGCAGTTTTGAAACACTGTTTTTGTAGTATTTCCAAGCGGATATTTAGAGCGCCTTGAAGCCTATGCTAGAAATGGAAATATCTCCCCATAAAACCAAGACAGAAGCAATCTCAGAAACTAATGTGTGATGGCTGCATTCCACACACACGGTGGACCATTTCTCTTGATAGAGCAGTTTTGAAACACTCTTTCTGTAGAATCTGCAAGTGGATAATTGGACCTCCTAGAGGCCTTCGTTGGAAACGGGATTTCTTCATCTAAACCTACAGAGAAGAATTCTCAGTAACTTCTTCGGATGTGTGCATTCGACTCACAGAATGGAACATTCCCTTTGGTAGAGCAGTTTTGAGACACCGTTTTTGTAGAATTCCCAAGTGGATATTTAGAGCACTTTGAAGTCTCTGCTAGAAAAGGAAACATCTTCATGTAAAAAGTAGATAGAATCGTTCTCAGAAAGTGCTTAGTGACGTGTGCGTTCAACTCACAGAGTTTAACGTTTCTTTTGATAGAGCGTTTCTGAAACACCCTTCTTGTAGTAGCTGCAAGTGGATATTTGGACCTATTTGAGGCCTTCTTTGGAAACGGGATTTCTTCATGTAACTCTAGATTGAAGAATTTTCAGAAACTCCTTTGTGATGTGTGCATTCAATTCAAAGAGTGAAACCTCCCTTTTCACAGAGCAGTTTTGAAACACTGTTTTTGTAGGATTTCCAAGGGGATATTTATAGCGCATTGAGCCTATGGCAGAAAAAGAAACATCTTCCTATAAAAACTAGACAGAATAATTCTCAGAATCTGCTTTGCGATGTGTGCGTTCAACTCACAGAGTAAAACTTTTCTTTTGATAGAGCAGTTTTGAAACACTCTTTTTGTAGTATTTGCATGTGTATATTTAGAGCGCATTGAAGCCCACAGTAGAAAAGGAAATAACTTCACCTAAAACCTAGACAGAAGCAATCTCAGAAACTACTTTGTGATGTGTACATTCAACTCACAGAGTGGAACTTTTCTCTTTATAGAGCAGTGTTGAAACACTCTTTTTGTAGAAACTGCAAGTGGATATTTGGACCTCTTTGAGGCCTTCGTTGGAAACGGGATTTCTTCCTATAACCCTAGACAGAAGAATTTTCAGAAACCTCATTGTGATGTGTGCGTTCATCTCACAGAGTGGAGTCTTCCGTTTGATAGAGAAGTTTTGAAACCCTGTTCTTGTAGGATTTCCAAGTGGATATTTAGACCACTTTGAAGCCTATGATAGAAAAGGAAACATCTTCATGGAAAACATAGATAGAATCATTCTCAGAAACAACTTTGTGATGTGTGCGTTGAACTCACCGTCTTTAACCTTTCTTTTGGTAGAGAAGTTTTGAAACACTCTCTTTGTAAAGTCTACAAGTGGATATTTTGAGCCCTTGGAGGCATTCTTTGGAAAAGGGAATGTCTTCACATAAAAGGCAGACAGAAGTGTTCTCAGAAACTGCTTTGTGATGTCTGTGTTCAACTCACAGAGTTTAACATTTCCTTTGAGAGAGCGGTTTAGTAACACTCTCTTTGTAGAATTTGGAAGTGTATACTAAGAGCGCTTTGAGGCCTATGGTAGAAAAGGAAATATCTTTCCATAAAAGCTAGACAGAAGCAATCTCAGAAACTCCTTTGTGATGTCTGCATTCAACTCACCGAGTGGAACATTCCTCTTGATAGAGCAGTTTGGAAACACTCTTTCTGTAGAATCAGCTTGTTTGTATTTGGACCTCCTTGAGGCCTTCGTTGGAAACGGGTTTTCATCTTATAAACCCAGACAGAAGAATTCTCAGAGTCTTCTTTGTGATGTGTGCTTTCAACTCACCGAGATAAAGATTTCTCTTGATAGAGCAATTTGGAAACACTCTTTTTGTAGAATTTGCAAGGGTACATTGAGAGCGCTTTCAGGCCTATGGTAGAAAAGGGAATATCTTTCCATAAAAGGTAGACAGAAGCAATCTCAGAAACTACTTTGTGATGTGTGCATTCAACTCACCGAGTGCAACATTCCTCTTGATAGAGCAGTTTGGAAACATTGTTTCTGTAGAATCTGCAAGTGGATATATGGACCGCTTTGAGGCCTTCGTTGGAAACGGGATTTCTTCCTATAAACCCAGACAGAAGAATTCCCAGAGATTTCTTTGTGATGTGTGAATTCAACTCACAGTGTGGATCCCTCCTTTTGATAGAGCAGTTTTGAAACACCGTTTTTGTAGTATTTCCAAGCGGATATTTGGAACGCCTTGAAGCGTATGGTAGAAAAGGAAATATCTTCCCATAAAACCTAGACGGAACCAATCTCAGAAACGACTTTGTGATGTCTGCATTCAACTCACAGAGTTGAACATTTCTCTTGATAGAGCAGTTTTGAAACCCTCTTTCTGAAGGATCTGCAAGTGGATATTTGGAACTCCTTTGGGTCTTCGTTGGAAACGGGATTTCTTCGTATAAATCCAGACAGAAGAATTCTCCGAAACTTCTTTGGTTGTGTGCATTCAAGTCACAGAGTGGAACCTTCTTTTGGATAGAGCAGTTTGAAACGCTGTGGTTGTAGTATTCCCAAGCGGATATTAGAGCGCCTTGAGGCCTATGGTAGAAAAGGAAATATCTTCCCATAAAACCTAGACGGAAGCAATCTCAGAAACTACTGTGTGATGGCTGCATTCCACACACACGGTGGAACATTTCTCTTGATAGAGCAGTTTTGAAACACTCTTTCTGTAGAATCTGCAAGTGGATAATTGGACCGCCTTGAGGCCTTCGTTGGAAACGGGATTTCTTCATGTTACTCTAGACAGAAGAATTCTCAAACACTGCTATATGATGTTTGCATGCAAGTCACAGAGTGCAACATTCCTCTTGATAGAGCAGTTGGGAAACACTCCTTTTGTAGAATTTGCAATGGGATATTTGGACTTCTTTGAGGCCTTCGTTGGAAACGGGATTTCTTCGTATGAATCTAGACAGAAGAATTCTCAGAAACTTCCTTGTGATGTGTGCATTCAACTCAGCGAGTGGCACCTTCCTTTGGATACAGCAGTTTTGAAACACTGTTTTTGTAGTATTTCCAAGCGGATATTTAGAGCGCCTTGAAGCCTATGCTAGAAATGGAAATATCTCCCCATAAAACCAAGACAGAAGCAATCTCAGAAACTAATGTGTGATGGCTGCATTCCACACACACGGTGGACCATTTCTCTTGATAGAGCAGTTTTGAAACACTCTTTCTGTAGAATCTGCAAGTGGATAATTGGACCTCCTAGAGGCCTTCGTTGGAAACGGGATTTCTTCATCTAAACCTACAGAGAAGAATTCTCAGTAACTTCTTCGGATGTGTGCATTCGACTCACAGAATGGAACATTCCCTTTGGTAGAGCAGTTTTGAGACACCGTTTTTGTAGAATTCCCAAGTGGATATTTAGAGCACTTTGAAGTCTCTGCTAGAAAAGGAAACATCTTCATGTAAAAAGTAGATAGAATCGTTCTCAGAAAGTGCTTAGTGACGTGTGCGTTCAACTCACAGAGTTTAACGTTTCTTTTGATAGAGCGTTTCTGAAACACCCTTCTTGTAGTAGCTGCAAGTGGATATTTGGACCTATTTGAGGCCTTCTTTGGAAACGGGATTTCTTCATGTAACTCTAGATTGAAGAATTTTCAGAAACTCCTTTGTGATGTGTGCATTCAATTCAAAGAGTGAAACCTCCCTTTTCACAGAGCAGTTTTGAAACACTGTTTTTGTAGGATTTCCAAGGGGATATTTATAGCGCATTGAGCCTATGGCAGAAAAAGAAACATCTTCCTATAAAAACTAGACAGAATAATTCTCAGAATCTGCTTTGCGATGTGTGCGTTCAACTCACAGAGTAAAACTTTTCTTTTGATAGAGCAGTTTTGAAACACTCTTTTTGTAGTATTTGCATGTGTATATTTAGAGCGCATTGAAGCCCACAGTAGAAAAGGAAATAACTTCACCTAAAACCTAGACAGAAGCAATCTCAGAAACTACTTTGTGATGTGTACATTCAACTCACAGAGTGGAACTTTTCTCTTTATAGAGCAGTGTTGAAACACTCTTTTTGTAGAAACTGCAAGTGGATATTTGGACCTCTTTGAGGCCTTCGTTGGAAACGGGATTTCTTCCTATAACCCTAGACAGAAGAATTTTCAGAAACCTCATTGTGATGTGTGCGTTCATCTCACAGAGTGGAGTCTTCCGTTTGATAGAGAAGTTTTGAAACCCTGTTCTTGTAGGATTTCCAAGTGGATATTTAGACCACTTTGAAGCCTATGATAGAAAAGGAAACATCTTCATGGAAAACATAGATAGAATCATTCTCAGAAACAACTTTGTGATGTGTGCGTTGAACTCACCGTCTTTAACCTTTCTTTTGGTAGAGAAGTTTTGAAACACTCTCTTTGTAAAGTCTACAAGTGGATATTTTGAGCCCTTGGAGGCATTCTTTGGAAAAGGGAATGTCTTCACATAAAAGGCAGACAGAAGTGTTCTCAGAAACTGCTTTGTGATGTCTGTGTTCAACTCACAGAGTTTAACATTTCCTTTGAGAGAGCGGTTTAGTAACACTCTCTTTGTAGAATTTGGAAGTGTATACTAAGAGCGCTTTGAGGCCTATGGTAGAAAAGGAAATATCTTTCCATAAAAGCTAGACAGAAGCAATCTCAGAAACTCCTTTGTGATGTCTGCATTCAACTCACTGAGTGGAACATTCCCTTGATAGAGCAGTTTGGAAACACTCTTTCTGTAGAATCAGCTTGTTTGTATTTGGACCTCCTTGAGGCCTTCGTTGGAAACGGGTTTTCATCTTATAAACCCAGACAGAAGAATTCTCAGAGTCTTCTTTGTGATGTGTGCTTTCAACTCACCGAGATAAAGATTTCTCTTGATAGAGCAATTTGGAAACACTCTTTTTGTAGAATTTGCAAGGGTACATTGAGAGCGCTTTCAGGCCTATGGTAGAAAAGGGAATATCTTTCCATAAAAGGTAGACAGAAGCAATCTCAGAAACTACTTTGTGATGTGTGCATTCAACTCCCCGAGTGCAACATTCCTCTTGATAGAGCAGTTTGGAAACATTGTTTCTGTAGAATCTGCAAGTGGATATATGGACCGCTTTGAGGCCTTCGTTGGAAACGGGATTTCTTCCTATAAACCCAGACAGAAGAATTCTCAGAGATTTCTTTGTGATGTGTGAATTCAACTCACAGTGTGGATCCTTCCTTTTGATAGAGCAGTTTTGAAACACTGTTTTTGTAGTATTTCCAAGCGGATATTTGGAACGCCTTGAAGCGTATGGTAGAAAAGGAAATATCTTCCCATAAAACCTAGACAGAACCCATCTCAGAAACGACTTTGTGATGTCTGCATTCAACTCACAGAGTTGAACATTTCTCTTGATAGAGCAGTTTTGAAACCCTCTTTCTGAAGGATCTGCAAGTGGATATTTGGAACTCCTTTGGGTCTTCGTTGGAAACGGGATTTCTTCGTATAAATCCAGACAGAAGAATTCTCCGAAACTTCTTTGGTTGTGTGCATTCAAGTCACAGAGTGGAACCTTCCTTTGGATAGAGCAGTTTGAAACGCTGTGGTTGTAGTATTTCCAAGCGGATATTAGAGCGCCTTGAGGCCTATGGTAGAAAAGGAAATATCTTCCCATAAAACCTAGACGGAAGCAATCTCAGAAACTACTGTGTGATGGCTGCATTCCACACACACGGTGGAACATTTCTCTTGATAGAGCAGTTTTGAAACACTCTTTCTGTAGAATCTGCAAGTGGATAATTGGACCGCCTTGAGGCCTTCGTTGGAAACGGGATTTCTTCATGTTACTACTAGACAGAAGAATTCTCAAACACTGCTGTGTGATGTTTGCATTCAAGTCACAGAGTGCAACATTCCTCTTGATAGAGCAGTTGGGAAACACTCCTTTTGTAGAATTTGCAATGGGATATTTGGACTTCTTTGAGGCCTTCGTTGGAAACGGGATTTCTTCGTATGAATCTAGACAGAAGAATTCTCAGAAACTTCCTTGTGATGTGTGCATTCAACTCAGCGAGTGGCACCTTCCTTTGGATACAGCAGTTTTGAAACACTGTTTTTGTAGTATTTCCAAGCGGATATTTAGAGCGCCTTGAAGCCTATGCTAGAAATGGAAATATCTCCCCATAAAACCAAGACAGAAGCAATCTCAGAAACTAATGTGTGATGGCTGCATTCCACACACACGGTGGACCATTTCTCTTGATAGAGCAGTTTTGAAACACTCTTTCTGTAGAATCTGCAAGTGGATAATTGGACCTCCTAGAGGCCTTCGTTGGAAACGGGATTTCTTCATCTAAACCTACAGAGAAGAATTCTCAGTAACTTCTTCGGATGTGTGCATTCGACTCACAGAATGGAACATTCCCTTTGGTAGAGCAGTTTTGAGACACCGTTTTTGTAGAATTCCCAAGTGGATATTTAGAGCACTTTGAAGTCTCTGCTAGAAAAGGAAACATCTTCATGTAAAAAGTAGATAGAATCGTTCTCAGAAAGTGCTTAGTGACGTGTGCGTTCAACTCACAGAGTTTAACGTTTCTTTTGATAGAGCGTTTCTGAAACACCCTTCTTGTAGTAGCTGCAAGTGGATATTTGGACCTATTTGAGGCCTTCTTTGGAAACGGGATTTCTTCATGTAACTCTAGATTGAAGAATTTTCAGAAACTCCTTTGTGATGTGTGCATTCAATTCAAAGAGTGAAACCTCCCTTTTCACAGAGCAGTTTTGAAACACTGTTTTTGTAGGACTTCCAAGGGGATATTTATAGCGCATTGATCCTATGGCAGAAAAAGAAACATCTTCCTATAAAAACTAGACAGAATAATTCTCAGAATCTGCTTTGCGATGTGTGCATTCAACTCACAGAGTAAAACTTTTCTTTTGATAGAGCAGTTTTGAAACACTCTTTTTGTAGTATTTGCATGTGTATATTTAGAGCGCATTGAAGCCCACAGTAGAAAAGGAAATAACTTCACCTAAAACCTAGACAGAAGCAATCTCAGAAACTACTTTGTGATGTGTACATTCAACTCACAGAGTGGAACTTTCCTCTTTATAGAGCAGTGTTGAAACACTCTTTTTGTAGAAACTGCAGGTGGATATTTGGACCTCTTTGAGGCCTTCGTTGGAAACGGGATTTCTTCCTATAACCCTAGACAGAAGAATTTTCAGAAACCTCATTGTGATGTGTGCGTTCATCTCACAGAGTGGAGTCTTCCGTTTGATAGAGAAGTTTTGAAACCCTGTTCTTGTAGGATTTCCAAGTGGATATTTAGACCACTTTGAAGCCTATGATAGAAAAGGAAACATCTTCATGGAAAACATAGATAGAATCATTCTCAGAAACAACTTTGTGATGTGTGCATTGAACTCACCGTCTTTAACCTTTCTTTTGGTAGAGAAGTTTTGAAACACTCTCTTTGTAAAGTCTACAAGTGGATATTTTGAGCCCTTGGAGGCATTCTTTGGAAAAGGGAATGTCTTCACATAAAAGGCAGACAGAAGTGTTCTCAGAAACTGCTTTGTGATGTCTGTGTTCAACTCACAGAGTTTAACATTTCCTTTGAGAGAGCGGTTTAGTGACACTCTCTTTGTAGAATTTGGAAGTGTATACTAAGAGCGCTTTGAGGCCTATGGTAGAAAAGGAAATATCTTTCCATAAAAGCTAGACAGAAGCAATCTCAGAAACTCCTTTGTGATGTCTGCATTCAACTCACCGAGTGGAACATTCCTCTTGATAGAGCAGTTTGGAAACACTCTTTCTGTAGAATCAGCTTGTTTGTATTTGGACCTCCTTGAGGCCTTCGTTGGAAACGGGTTTTCATCTTATAAACCCAGACAGAAGAATTCTCAGAGTCTTCTTTGTGATGTGTGCTTTCAACTCACCGAGATAAAGATTTCTCTTGATAGAGCAATTTGGAAACACTCTTTTTGTAGAATTTGCAAGGGTACATTGAGAGCGCTTTCAGGCCTATGGTAGAAAAGGGAATATCTTTCCATCAAAGGTAGACAGAAGCAATCTCAGAAACTACTTTGTGATGTGTGCATTCAACTCACCGAGTGCAACATTCCTCTTGACCGAGCAGTTTGGAAACATTGTTTCTGTAGAATCTGCAAGTGGATATTTGGACCTCTTTGAGGCCTTCGTTGGAAACGGGATTTCTTCCTATAAACCCAGACAGAAGAATTCTCAGAGACTTCTTTGTGATGTGTGAATTCAACTCACAGTGTGGATCCTTCCTTTTGATAGAGCAGTTTTGAAACACTGTTTTTGTAGTATTTCCAAGCGGATATTTGGAACGCCTTGAAGCGTATGGTAGAAAAGAAAATATCTTCCCATAAAACCTAGACAGAACCAATCTCAGAAACGACTTTGTGATGTCTGCATTCAACTCACAGAGTTGAACATTTCTCTTGATAGAGCAGTTTTGAAACCCTCTTTCTGAAGGATCTGCAAGTGGATATTTGGAACTCCTTTGGGTCTTCGTTGGAAACGGGATTTCTTCGTATAAATCTAGACAGAAGAATTCTCCGAAACTTCTTTGGTTGTGTGCATTCAAGTCACAGAGTGGAACCTTCCTTTGGATAGAGCAGTTTGAAACGCTGTGGTTGTAGTATTTCCAAGCGGATATTAGAGCGCCTTGAGGCCTATGGTAGAAAAGGAAATATCTTCCCATAAAACCTAGACGGAAGCAATCTCAGAAACTACTGTGTGATGGCTGCATTCCACACACACGGTGGAACATTTCTCTTGATAGAGCAGTTTTGAAACACTCTTTCTGTAGAATCTGCAAGTGGATAATTGGACCGCCTTGAGGCCTTCGTTGGAAAGGGGATTTCTTCATGTTACTCTAGACAGAAGAATTCTCAAACACTGCTATGTGATGTTTGCATTCAAGTCACAGAGTGCAACATTCCTCTTGATAGAGCAGTTGGGAAACACTCCTTTTGTAGAATTTGCAATGGGATATTTGGACTTCTTTGAGGCCTTCGTTGGAAACGGGATTTCTTCGTATGCATCTAGACAGAAGAATTCTCAGAAACTTCCTTGTGATGTGTGCATTCAACTCAGCGAGTGGCACCTTCCTTTCGATACAGCAGTTTTGAAACACTGTTTTTGTAGTATTTCCAAGCGGATATTTAGAGCGCCTTGAAGCCTATGCTAGAAATGGAAATATCTCCCCATAAAACCAAGACAGAAGCAATCTCAGAAACTAATGTGTGATGGCTGCATTCCACACACACGGTGGACCATTTCTCTTGATAGAGCAGTTTTGAAACACTCTTTCTGTAGAATCTGCAAGTGGATAATTGGACCTCCTAGAGGCCTTCGTTGGAAACGGGATTTCTTCATCTAAACCTACAGAGAAGAATTCTCAGTAACTTCTTCGGATGTGTGCATTCGACTCACAGAATGGAACATTCCCTTTGATAGAGCAGTTTTGAGACACCGTTTTTGTAGAATTCCCAAGTGGATATTTAGAGCACTTTGAAGTCTCTGCTAGAAAAGGAAACATCTTCATGTAAAAAGTAGATAGAATCGTTCTCAGAAAGTGCTTAGTGACGTGTGCGTTCAACTCACAGAGTTTAACGTTTTTTTGATAGAGCGTTTCTGAAACACCCTTCTTGTAGTAGCTGCAAGTAGATATTTGGACCTATTTGAGGCCTTCTTTGGAAACGGGATTTCTTCATGTAACTCTAGATTGAAGAATTTTCAGAAACTCCTTTGTGATGTGTGCATTCAATTCAAAGAGGGAAACGTCCCTTTTCACAGAGCAGTTTTGAAACACTGTTTTTGTAGGTTTTCCAAGGGGATAATTATAGCGCATTGAGCTTACGGCAGAAAAAGAAACATCTTCCTATAAAAACTAGACAGAATAATTCTCAGAATCTGCTTTGCGATGTGTGCGTTCAACCCACAGAGTAAAACTTTTCTTTTGATAGAGCAGTTTTGAAACACTCTTTTTGTAGTATTTGCATGTGTATATTTAGAGCGCATTGAAGCCCACAGTAGAAAAGGAAATAACTTCACCTAAAACCTAGACAGAAGCAATCTCAGAAACTACTTTGTGATGTGTACATTCAACTCACAGAGTGGAACTTTCCTCTTTATAGAGCAGTGTTGAAACACTCTTTTTGTAGAAACTGCAAGTGGATATTTGGACCTCTTTGAGGCCTTCGTTGGAAACGGGATTTCTTCCTATAACCCTAGACAGAAGAATTTTCAGAAACCTCATTGTGATGTGTGCGTTCATCTCACAGAGTGGAGTCTTCCGTTTGATAGAGAAGCTTTGAAACCCTGTTCTTGTAGGATTTCCAAGTGGATATTTAGACCACTTTGAAGCCTATGATAGAAAAGGAAACATCTTCATGGAAAACATAGATAGAATCATTCTCAGAAACAACTTTGTGATGTGTGCGTTGAACTCACCGTCTTTAACCTTTCTTTTGGTAGAGAAGTTTTGAAACACTCTCTTTGTAAAGTCTACAAGTGGATATTTTGAGCCCTTGGAGGCATTCTTTGGAAAAGGGAATGTACTTCACATAAAAGGCAGACAGAAGTGTTCTCAGAAACTGCTTTGTGATGTCTGTGTTCAACTCACAAGAGTGTAACATTTCCTTTGAGAGAGCGGTTTAGTAACACTCTCTTTGTAGAATTTGGAAGTGTATACTAAGAGCGCTTTGAGGCCTATGGTAGAAAAGGAAATATCTTTCCATAAAAGCTAGACAGAAGCAATCTCAGAAACTCCTTTGTGATGTCTGCATTCAACTCACCGAGTGGAACATTCCTCTTGATAGAGCAGTTTGGAAACACTCTTTCTGTAGAATCAGCTTGTTTGTATTTGGACCTCCTTGAGGCCTTCGTTGGAAACGGGTTTTCATCTTATAAACCCAGACAGAAGAATTCTCAGAGTCTTCTTTGTGATGTGTGCTTTCAACTCACCGAGATAAAGATTTCTCTTGATAGAGCAATTTGGAAACACTCTTTTTGTAGAATTTGCAAGGGTACATTGAGAGCGCTTTCAGGCCTATGGTAGAAAAGGGAATATCTTTCCATAAAAGGTAGACAGAAGCAATCTCAGAAACTACTTTGTGATGTGTGCATTCAACTCACCGAGTGCAACATTCCTCTTGACCGAGCAGTTTGGAAACATTGTTTCTGTAGAATCTGCAAGTGGATATTTGGACCTCTTTGAGGCCTTCGTTGGAAACGGGATTTCTTCCTATAAACCCAGACAGAAGAATTCTCAGAGACTTCTTTGTGATGTGTGAATTCAACTCACAGTGTGGATCCTTCCTTTTGATAGAGCAGTTTTGAAACACTGTTTTTGTAGTATTTCCAAGCGGATATTTGGAACGCCTTGAAGCGTATGGTAGAAAAGGAAATATCTTCCCATAAAACCTAGACAGAACCAATCTCAGAAACGACTTTGTGATGTCTGCATTCAACTCACAGAGTTGAACATTTCTCTTGATAGAGCAGTTTTGAAACCCTCTTTCTGAAGGATCTGCAAGTGGATATTTGGAACTCCTTTGGGTCTTCGTTGGAAACGGGATTTCTTCGTATAAATCTAGACAGAAGAATTCTCCGAAACATCTTTGGTTGTGTGCATTCAACTCACAGAGTGGAACCTTCCTTTGGATAGAGCAGTTTGAAACGCTGTGGTTGTAGTATTTCCAAGCGGATATTAGAGCGCCTTGAGGCCTATGGTAGAAAAGGAAATATCTTCCCATAAAACCTAGACGGAAGCAATCTCAGAAACTACTGTGTGATGGCTGCATTCCCCACACACGGTGGAACATTTCTCTTGATAGAGCAGTTTTGAAACACTCTTTCTGTAGAATCTGCAAGTGGATAATTGGACCGCCTTGAGGCCTTCGTTGGAAACGGGATTTCTTCATGTTACTCTAGACAGAAGAATTCTCAAACACTGCTGTGTGATGTTTGCATGCAAGTCACAGAGTGCAACATTCCTCTTGATAGAGCAGTTGGGAAACACTCCTTTTGTAGAATTTGCAATGGGATATTTGGACTTCTTTGAGGCCTTCGTTGGAAACGGGATTTCTTCGTATGAATCTAGACAGAAGAATTCTCAGAAACTTCCTTGTGATGTGTGCATTCAACTCAGCGAGTGGCACCTTCCTTTGGATACAGCAGTTTTGAAACACTGTTTTTGTAGTATTTCCAAGCGGATATTTAGAGCGCCTTGAAGCCTATGCTAGAAATGGAAATATCTCCCCATAAAACCAAGACAGAAGCAATCTCAGAAACTAATGTGTGATGGCTGCATTCCACACACACGGTGGACCATTTCTCTTGATAGAGCAGTTTTGAAACACTCTTTCTGTAGAATCTGCAAGTGGATAATTGGACCTCCTAGAGGCCTTCGTTGGAAACGGGATTTCTTCATCTAAACCTACAGAGAAGAATTCTCAGTAACTTCTTCGGATGTGTGCATTCGACTCACAGAATGGAACATTCCCTTTGATAGAGCAGTTTTGAGACACCGTTTTTGTAGAATTCCCAAGTGGATATTTAGAGCACTTTGAAGTCTCTGCTAGAAAAGGAAACATCTTCATGTAAAAAGTAGATAGAATCGTTCTCAGAAAGTGCTTAGTGACGTGTGCGTTCAACTCACAGAGTTTAACGTTTCTTTTGATAGAGCGTTTCTGAAACACCCTTCTTGTAGTAGCTGCAAGTGGATATTTGGACCTATTTGAGGCCTTCTTTGGAAACGGGATTTCTTCATGTAACTCTAGTTTGAAGAATTTTCAGAAACTCCTTTGTGATGTGTGCATTCAATTCAAAGAGTGAAACCTCCCTTTTCACAGAGCAGTTTTGAAAAACTGTTTTTGTAGGATTTCCAAGGGGATATTTATAGCGCATTGAGCCTACGGCAGAAAAAGAAACATCTTCCTATAAAAACTAGACAGAATAATTCTCAGAATCTGCTTTGCGATGTGTGCGTTCAACCCACAGAGTAAAACTTTTCTTTTGATAGAGCAGTTTTGAAACACTCTTTTTGTAGTATTTGCATGTGTATATTTAGAGCGCATTGAAGCCCACAGTAGAAAAGGAAATAACTTCACCTAAAACCTAGACAGAAGCAATCTCAGAAACTACTTTGTGATGTGTACATTCAACTCACAGAGTGGAACTTTCCTCTTTATAGAGCAGTGTTGAAACACTCTTTTTGTAGAAACTGCAAGTGGATATTTGGACCTCTTTGAGGCCTTCGTTGGAAACGGGATTTCTTCCTATAACCCTAGACAGAAGAATTTTCAGAAACCTCATTGTGATGTGTGCGTTCATCTCACAGAGTGGAGTCTTCCGTTTGATAGAGAAGTTTTGAAACCCTGTTCTTGTAGGATTTCCAAGTGGATATTTAGACCACTTTGAAGCCTATGATAGAAAAGGAAACATCTTCATGGAAAACATAGATAGAATCATTCTCAGAAACAACTTTGTGATGTGTGCGTTGAACTCACCGTCTTTAACCTTTCTTTTGGTAGAGAAGTTTTGAAACACTCTCTTTGTAAAGTCTACAAGTGGATATTTTGAGCCCTTGGAGGCATTCTTTGGAAAAGGGAATGTCTTCACATAAAAGGCAGACAGAAGTGTTCTCAGAAACTGCTTTGTGATGTCTGTGTTCAACTCACAGAGTTTAACATTTCCTTTGAGAGAGCGGTTTAGTAACACTCTCTTTGTAGAATTTGGAAGTGTATACTAAGAGCGCTTTGAGGCCTATGGTAGAAAAGGAAATATCTTTCCATAAAAGCTAGACTGAAGCAATCTCAGAAACTCCTTTGTGATGTCTGCATTCAACTCACCGAGTGGAACATTCCTCTTGATAGAGCAGTTTGGAAACACTCTTTCTGTAGAATCAGCTTGTTTGTATTTGGACCTCCTTGAGGCCTTCGTTGGAAACGGGTTTTCATCTTATAAACCCAGACAGAAGAATTCTCAGAGTCTTCTTTGTGATGTGTGCTTTCAACTCACCGAGATAAAGATTTCTCTTGATAGAGCAATTTGGAAACACTCTTTTTGTAGAATTTGCAAGGGTACATTGAGAGCGCTTTCAGGCCTATGGTAGAAAAGGGAATATCTTTCCATAAAAGGTAGACAGAAGCAATCTCAGAAACTACTTTGTGATGTGTGCATTCAACTCACCGAGTGCAACATTCCTCTTGATAGAGCAGTTTGGAAACATTGTTTCTGTAGAATCTGCAAGTGGATATATGGACCGCTTTGAGGCCTTCATTGGAAACGGGATTTCTTCCTATAAACCCAGACAGAAGAATTCTCAGAGATTTCTTTGTGATGTGTGAATTCAACTCACAGTGTGGATCCTTCCTTTTGATAGAGCAGTTTTGAAACGCGGTTTTTGTAGTATTTCCAAGCGGATATTTGGAACGCCTTGAAGCGTATGGTAGAAAAGGAAATATCTTCCCATAAAACCTAGACAGAACCAATCTCAGAAACGACTTTGTGATGTCTGCATTCAACTCACAGAGTTGAACATTTCTCTTGACAGAGCAGTTTTGAAACCCACTTTCTGAAGGATCTGCAAGTGGATATTTGGAACTCCTTTGGGTCTTCGTTGGAAACGGGATTTCTTCGTATAAATCTAGACAGAAGAATTCTCCGAAACTTCTTTGGTTGTGTGCATTCAAGTCACAGAGTGGAACCTTCCTTTGGATAGAGCAGTTTGAAACGCTGTGGTTGTAGTATTTCCAAGCGGATATTAGAGCGCCTTGAGGCCTATGGTAGAAAAGGAAATATCTTCCCATAAAACCTAGACGGAAGCAATCTCAGAAACTACTGTGTGATGGCTGCATTCCACACACACGGTGGAACATTTCTCTTGATAGAGCAGTTTTGAAACACTCTTTCTGTAGAATCTGCAAGTGGATAATTGGACCGCCTTGAGGCCTTCGTTGGAAACGGGATTTCTTCATGTTACTCTAGACAGAAGAATTCTCAAACACTGCTGTGTGATGTTTGCATGCAAGTCACAGAGTGCAACATTCCTCTTGATAGAGCAGTTGGGAAACACTCCTTTTGTAGAATTTGCAATGGGATATTTGGACTTCTTTGAGGCCTTCGTTGGAAACGGGATTTCTTCGTATGAATCTAGACAGAAGAATTCTCAGAAACTTCCCTTGTGATGTGTGCATTCAACTCAGCGAGTGGCACCTTCCCTTTGGATACAGCAGTTTTGAAACACTGTTTTTGTAGTATTTCCAAGCGGATATTTAGAGCGCCTTGAAGCCTATGCTAGAAATGGAAATATCTCCCCATAAAACCAAGACAGAAGCAATCTCAGAAACTAATGTGTGATGGCTGCATTCCACACACACGGTGGACCATTTCTCTTGATAGAGCAGTTTTGAAACACTCTTTCTGTAGAATCTGCAAGTGGATAATTGGACCTCCTAGAGGCCTTCGTTGGAAACGGGATTTCTTCATCTAAACCTACAGAGAAGAATTCTCAGTAACTTCTTCGGATGTGTGCATTCGACTCACAGAATGGAACATTCCCTTTGGTAGAGCAGTTTTGAGACACCGTTTTTGTAGAATTCCCAAGTGGATATTTAGAGCACTTTGAAGTCTCTGCTAGAAAAGGAAACATCTTCATGTAAAAAGTAGATAGAATCGTTCTCAGAAAGTGCTTAGTGACGTGTGCGTTCAACTCACAGAGTTTAACGTTTCTTTTGATAGAGCGTTTCTGAAACACCCTTCTTGTAGTAGCTGCAAGTGGATATTTGGACCTATTTGAGGCCTTCTTTGGAAACGGGATTTCTTCATGTAACTCTAGATTGAAGAATTTTCAGAAACTCCTTTGTGATGTGTGCATTCAATTCAAAGAGTGAAACCTCCCTTTTCACAGAGCAGTTTTGAAACACTGTTTTTGTAGGATTTCCAAGGGGATATTTATAGCGCATTGAGCCTATGGCAGAAAAAGAAACATCTTCCTATAAAAACTAGACAGAATAATTCTCAGAATCTGCTTTGCAATGTGTGCGTTCAACTCACAGAGTAAAACTTTTCTTTTGATAGAGCAGTTTTGAAACACTCTTTTTGTAGTATTTGCATGTGTATATTTAGAGCGCATTGAAGCCCACAGTAGAAAAGGAAATAACTTCACCTGAAACCTAGACAGAAGCAATCTCAGAAACTACTTTGTGATGTGTACATTCAACTCACAGAGTGGAACTTTCCTCTTTATAGAGCAGTGTTGAAACACTCTTTTTGTAGAAACTGCAAGTGGATATTTGGACCTCTTTGAGGCCTTCGTTGGAAACGGGATTTCTTCCTATAACCCTAGACAGAAGAATTTTCAGAAACCTCATTGTGATGTGTGCGTTCATCTCACAGAGTGGAGTCTTCCGTTTGATAGAGAAGTTTTGAAACCCTGTTCTTGTAGGATTTCCAAGTGGATATTTAGACCACTTTGAAGCCTATGATAGAAAAGGAAACATCTTCATGGAAAACATAGATAGAATCATTCTCAGAAACAACTTTGTGATGTGTGCGTTGAACTCACAGTCTTTAACCTTTCTTTTGGTAGAGAAGTTTTGAAACACTCTCTTTGTAAAGTCTACAAGTGGATATTTTGAGCCCTTGGAGGCATTCTTTGGAAAAGGGAATGTCTTCACATAAAAGGCAGACAGAAGTGTTCTCAGAAACTGCTTTGTGATATCTGTGTTCAACTCACAGAGTTTAACATTTCCTGTGATAGAGAGGATTAGTAACCCTCTCTTTGTAGAATTTGGAAGTGTATACTAAGAGCGCTTTGAGGCCTATGGTAGAAAAGGAAATATCTTTCCATAAAAGCTAGACAGAAGCAATCCCAGCAAACTCCTTTGTGATGTCTGCATTCAACTCACCGAGTGGAACATTCCTCTTGATAGAGCAGTTTGAAAACACTCTTTCTGTAGAATCAGCTTGTTTGTATTTGGACCTCCTTGAGGCCTTCGTTGGAAACGGGTTTTCATCTTATAAACCCAGACAGAAGAATTCTCAGAGTCTTCTTTGTGATGTGTGCTTTCAACTCACCGAGATAAAGATTTCTCTTGATAGAGCAATTTGGAAACACTCTTTTTGTAGAATTTGCAAGGGTACATTGAGAGCGCTTTCAGGCCTATGGTAGAAAAGGGAATATCTTTCCATAAAAGGTAGACAGAAGCAATCTCAGAAACTACTTTGTCATGTGTGCATTCAACTCACCGAGTGCAACATTCCTCTTGACCGAGCAGTTTGGAAACATTGTTTCTGTAGAATCTGCAAGTGGATATTTGGACCTCTTTGAGGCCTTCGTTGGAAACGGGATTTCTTCCTATAAACCCAGACAGAAGAATTCTCAGAGACTTCTTTGTGATGTGTGAATTCAACTCACAGTGTGGATCCTTCCTTTTGATAGAGCAGTTTTGAAACACTGTTTTTGTAGTATTTCCAAGCGGATATTTGGAACGCCTTGAAGCGTATGGTAGAAAAGGAAATATCTTCCCATAAAACCTAGACAGAACCCATCTCAGAAACGACTTTGTGATGTCTGCATTCAACTCACAGAGTTGAACATTTCTCTTGATAGAGCAGTTTTGAAACCCTCTTTCTGAAGGATCTGCAAGTGGATATTTGGAACTCCTTTGGGTCTTCGTTGGAAACGGGATTTTTCGTATAAATCCAGACAGAAGAATTCTCCGAAACTTCTTTGGTTGTGTGCATTCAAGTCACAGAGTGGAACCTTCCTTTGGATAGAGCAGTTTGAAACGCTGTGGTTGTAGTATTTCCAAGCGGATATTAGAGCGCCTTGAAGCCTATGGTAGAAAAGGAAATATCTTCCCATAAAACCTAGACGGAAGCAATCTCAGAAACTACTGTGTGATGGCTGCATTCCACACACACGGTGGAACATTTCTCTTGATAGAGCAGTTTTGAAACACTCTTTCTGTAGAATCTGCAAGTGGATAATTGGACCGCCTTGAGGCCTTCGTTGGAAACAGGATTTCTTCATGTTACTCTAGACAGAAGAATTCTCAAACACTGCTATGTGATGTTTGCATTCAAGTCACAGAGTGCAACATTCCTCTTGATAGAGCAGTTGGGAAACACTCCTTTTGTAGAATTTGCAATGGGATATTTGGACTTCTTTGAGGCCTTCGTTGGAAACGGGATTTCTTCGTATGAATCTAGACAGAAGAATTCTCAGAAACTTCCTTGTGATGTGTGCATTCAACTCAGCGAGTGGCACCTTCCTTTGGATACAGCAGTTTTGAAACACTGTTTTTGTACTATTTCCAAGCGGATATTTAGAGCGCCTTGAAGCCTATGCTAGAAATGGAAATATCTCCCCATAAAACCAAGACAGAAGCAATCTCAGAAACTAATGTGTGATGGCTGCATTCCACACACACGGTGGACCATTTCTCTTGATAGAGCAGTTTTGAGACACTCTTTCTGTAGAATCTGCAAGTGGATAATTGGACCTCCTAGAGGCCTTCGTTGGAAACGGGATTTCTTCATCTAAACTTACAGAGAAGAATTCTCAGTAACTTCTTCGGATGTGTGCATTCGACTCACAGAATGGAACATTCCCTTTGGTAGAGCAGTTTTGAGACACCGTTTTTGTAGAATTCCCAAGTGGATATTTAGAGCACTTTGAAGTCTCTGCTAGAAAAGGAAACATCTTCATGTAAAAAGTAGATAGAATCGTTCTCAGAAAGTGCTTAGTGACGTGTGCGTTCAACTCACAGAGTTTAACGTTTCTTTTGATAGAGCGTTTCTGAAACACCCTTCTTGTAGTAGCTGCAAGTGGATATTTGGACCTATTTGAGGCCTTCTTTGGAAACGGGATTTCTTCATGTAACTCTAGATTGAAGAATTTTCAGAAACTCCTTTGTGATGTGTGCATTCAATTCAAAGAGTGAAACCTCCCTTTTCACAGAGCAGTTTTGAAACACTGTTTTTGTAGGACTTCCAAGGGGATATTTATAGCGCATTGATCCTATGGCAGAAAAAGAAACATCTTCCTATAAAAACTAGACAGAATAATTCTCAGAATCTGCTTTGCGATGTGTGCGTTCAACCCACAGAGTAAAACTTTTCTTTTGATAGAGCAGTTTTGAAACACTCTTTTTGTAGTATTTGCATGTGTATATTTAGAGCGCATTGAAGCCCACAGTAGAAAAGGAAATAACTTCACCTAAAACCTAGACAGAAGCAATCTCAGAAACTACTTTGTGATGTGTACATTCAACTCACAGAGTGGAACTTTCCTCTTTATAGAGCAGTGTTGAAACACTCTTTTTGTAGAAACTGCAAGTGGATATTTGGACCTCTTTGAGGCCTTCGTTGGAAACGGGATTTCTTCCTATAACCCTAGACAGAAGAATTTTCAGAAACCTCATTGTGATGTGTGCGTTCATCTCACAGAGTGGAGTCTTCCGTTTGATAGAGAAGTTTTGAAACCCTGTTCTTGTAGGATTTCCAAGTGGATATTTAGACCACTTTGAAGCCTATGATAGAAAAGGAAACATCTTCATGGAAAACATAGATAGAATCATTCTCAGAAACAACTTTGTGATGTGTGCGTTGAACTCACCGTCTTTAACCTTTCTTTTGGTAGAGAAGTTTTGAAACACTCTCTTTGTAAAGTCTACAAGTGGATATTTTGAGCCCTTGGAGGCATTCTTTGGAAAAGGGAATGTCTTCACATAAAAGGCAGACAGAAGTGTTCTCAGAAACTGCTTTGTGATGTCTGTGTTCAACTCACAGAGTTTAACATTTCCTTTGAGAGAGCGGTTTAGTAACACTCTCTTTGTAGAATTTGGAAGTGTATACTAAGAGCGCTTTGAGGCCTATGGTAGAAAAGGAAATATCTTTCCATAAAAGCTAGACAGAAGCAATCTCAGAAACTCCTTTGTGATGTCTGCATTCAACTCACCGAGTGGAACATTCCTCTTGATAGAGCAGTTTGGAAACACTCTTTCTGTAGAATCAGCTTGTTTGTATTTGGACCTCCTTGAGGCCTTCGTTGGAAACGGGTTTTCATCTTATAAACCCAGACAGAAGAATTCTCAGAGTCTTCTTTGTGATGTGTGCTTTCAACTCACCGAGATAAAGATTTCTCTTGATAGAGCAATTTGGAAACACTCTTTTTGTAGAATTTGCAAGGGTACATTGAGAGCGCTTTCAGGCCTATGGTAGAAAAGGGAATATCTTTCCATAAAAGGTAGACAGAAGCAATCTCAGAAACTACTTTGTGATGTGTGCATTCAACTCACCGAGTGCAACATTCCTCTTGACCGAGCAGTTTGGAAACATTGTTTCTGTAGAATCTGCAAGTGGATATTTGGACCTCTTTGAGGCCTTCGTTGGAAACGGGATTTCTTCCTATAAACCCAGACAGAAGAATTCTCAGAGACTTCTTTGTGATGTGTGAATTCAACTCACAGTGTGGATCCTTCCTTTTGATAGAGCAGTTTTGAAACACCGTTTTTGTAGTATTTCCAAGCGGATATTTGGAACGCCTTGAAGCGTATGGTAGAAAAGGAAATATCTTCCCATAAAACCTAGACAGAACCCATCTCAGAAACGACTTTGTGATGTCTGCATTCAACTCACAGAGTTGAACATTTCTCTTGATAGAGCAGTTTTGAAACCCTCTTTCTGAAGGATCTGCAAGTGGATATTTGGAACTCCTTTGGGTCTTCGTTGGAAACGGGATTTCTTCGTATAAATCCAGACAGAAGAATTCTCCGAAACTTCTTTGGTTGTGTGCATTCAAGTCACAGAGTGGAACCTTCCTTTGGATAGAGCAGTTTGAAACGCTGTGGTTGTAGTATTTCCAAGCGGATATTAGAGCGCCTTGAGGCCTATGGTAGAAAAGGAAATATCTTCCCATAAAACCTAGACGGAAGCAATCTCAGAAACTACTGTGTGATGGCTGCATTCCACACACACGGTGGAACATTTCTCTTGATAGAGCAGTTTTGAAACACTCTTTCTGTAGAATCTGCAAGTGGATAATTGGACCGCCTTGAGGCCTTCGTTGGAAACGGGATTTCTTCATGTTACTCTAGACAGAAGAATTCTCAAACACTGCTGTGTGATGTTTGCATGCAAGTCACAGAGTGCAACATTCCTCTTGATAGAGCAGTTGGGAAACACTCCTTTTGTAGAATTTGCAATGGGATATTTGGACTTCTTTGAGGCCTTCGTTGGAAACGGGATTTCTTCGTATGAATCTAGACAGAAGAATTCTCAGAAACTTCCTTGTGATGTGTGCATTCAACTCAGCGAGTGGCACCTTCCTTTGGATACAGCAGTTTTGAAACACTGTTTTTGTAGTATTTCCAAGCGGATATTTAGAGCGCCTTGAAGCCTATGCTAGAAATGGAAATATCTCCCCATAAAACCAAGACAGAAGCAATCTCAGAAACTAATGTGCGATGGCAGCATTCCACACACACGGTGGACCATTTCTCTTGATAGAGCAGTTTTGAAACACTCTTTCTGTAGAATCTGCAAGTGGATAATTGGACCTCCTAGAGGCCTTCGTTGGAAATGGGATTTCTTCATCTAAACCTACAGAGAAGAATTCTCAGTAACTTCTTCGGATGTGTGCATTCGACTCACAGAATGGAACATTCCGTTTGATAGAGCAGTTTTGAGACACCGTTTTTGTAGAATTCCCAAGTGGATATTTAGAGCACTTTGAAGTCTCTGCTAGAAAAGGAAACATCTTCATGTAAAAAGTAGATAGAATCGTTCTCAGAAAGTGCTTAGTGACGTGTGCGTTCAACTCACAGAGTTTAACGTTTCTTTTGATAGAGCGTTTCTGAAACACCCTTCTTGTAGTAGCTGCAAGTGGATATTTGGACCTATTTGAGGCCTTCTTTGGAAACGGGATTTCTTCATGTAACTCTAGTTTGAAGAATTTTCAGAAACTACTTTGTGATGTGTGCATTCAATTCAAAGAGTGAAACCTCCCTTTTCACAGAGCAGTTTTGAAAAACTGTTTTTGTAGGATTTCCAAGGGGATATTTATAGCGCATTGAGCCTACGGCAGAAAAAGAAACATCTTCCTATAAAAACTAGACAGAATAATTCTCAGAATCTGCTTTGCGATGTGTGCGTTCAACCCACAGAGTAAAACTTTTCTTTTGATAGAGCAGTTTTGAAACACTTTTTTTGTAGTATTTGCATGTGTATATTTAGAGCGCATTGAAGCCCACAGTAGAAAAGGAAATAACTTCACCTAAAACCTAGACAGAAGCAATCTCAGAAACTACTTTGTGATGTGTACATTCAACTCACAGAGTGGAACTTTCCTCTTTATAGAGCAGTGTTGAAACACTCTTTTTGTAGAAACTGCAAGTGGATATTTGGACCTCTTTGAGGCCTTCGTTGGAAACGGGATTTCTTCCTATAACCCTAGACAGAAGAATTTTCAGAAACCTCATTGTGATGTGTGCGTTCATCTCACAGAGTGGAGTCTTCCGTTTGATAGAGAAGTTTTGAAACCCTGTTCTTGTAGGATTTCCAAGTGGATATTTAGACCACTTTGAAGCCTATGATAGAAAAGGAAACATCTTCATGGAAAACATAGATAGAATCATTGTCAGAAACAACTTTGTGATGTGTGCGTTGAACTCACCGTCTTTAACCTTTCTTTTGGTAGAGAAGTTTTGAAACACTCTCTTTGTAAAGTCTACAAGTGGATATTTTGAGCCCTTGGAGGCATTCTTTGGAAAAGGGAATGTCTTCACATAAAAGGCAGACAGAAGTGTTCTCAGAAACTGCTTTGTGATGTCTGTGTTCAACTCACAGAGTTTAACATTTCCTTTGAGAGAGCGGTTTAGTAACACTCTCTTTGTAGAATTTGGAAGTGTATACTAAGAGCGCTTTGAGGCCTATGGTAGAAAAGGAAATATCTTTCCATAAAAGCTAGACAGAAGCAATCTCAGAAACTCCTTTGTGATGTCTGCATTCAACTCACCGAGTGGAACATTCCTCTTGATAGAGCAGTTTGGAAACACTCTTTCTGTAGAATCAGCTTGTTTGTATTTGGACCTCCTTGAGGCCTTCGTTGGAAACGGGTTTTCATCTTATAAACCCAGACAGAAGAATTCTCAGAGTCTTCTTTGTGATGTGTGCTTTCAACTCACCGAGATAAAGATTTCTCTTGATAGAGCAATTTGGAAACACTCTTTTTGTAGAATTTGCAAGGGTACATTGAGAGCGCTTTCAGGCCTATGGTAGAAAAGGGAATATCTTTCCATAAAAGGTAGACAGAAGCAATCTCAGAAACTACTTTGTGATGTGTGCATTCAACTCACCGAGTGCAACATTCCTCTTGATAGAGCAGTTTGGAAACATTGTTTCTGTAGAATCTGCAAGTGGATATATGGACCGCTTTGAGGCCTTCGTTGGAAACGGGATTTCTTCCTATAAACCCAGACAGAAGAATTCTCAGAGACTTCTTTGTGATGTGTGAATTCAACTCACAGTGTGGATCCTTCCTTTTGATAGAGCAGTTTTGAAACACTGTTTTTGTAGTATTTCCAAGCGGATATTTGGAACGCCTTGAAGCGTATGGTAGAAAAGGAAATATCTTCCCATAAAACCTAGACAGAACCCATCTCAGAAACGACTTTGTGATGTCTGCATTCAACTCACAGAGTTGAACATTTCTCTTGATAGAGCAGTTTTGAAACCCTCTTTCTGAAGGATCTGCAAGTGGATATTTGGAACTCCTTTGGGTCTTCGTTGGAAACGGGATTTCTTCGTATAAATCCAGACAGAAGAATTCTCCGAAACTTCTTTGGTTGTGTGCATTCAAGTCACAGGAGTGGAACCTTCCTTTGGATAGAGCAGTTTGAAACGCTGTGGTTGTAGTATTTCCAAGCGGATATTAGATCGCCTTGAAGCCTATGGTAGAAAAGGAAATATCTTCCCATAAAACCTAGACGGAAGCAATCTCAGAAACTACTGTGTGATGGCTGCATTCCACACACACGGTGGAACATTTCTCTTGATAGAGCAGTTTTGAAACACTCTTTCTGTAGAATCTGCAAGTGGATAATTGGACCGCCTTGAGGCCTTCGTTGGAAACGGGATTTCTTCATGTTACTCTAGACAGAAGAATTCTCAAACACTGCTATGTGATGTTTGCATGCAAGTCACAGAGTGCAACATTCCTCTTGATAGAGCAGTTGGGAAACACTCCTTTTGTAGAATTTGCAATGGGATATTTGGACTTCTTTGAGGCCTTCGTTGGAAACGGGATTTCTTCGTATGAATCTAGACAGAAGAATTCTCAGAAACTTCCTTGTGATGTGTGCATTCAACTCAGCGAGTGGCACCTTCCTTTGGATACAGCAGTTTTGAAACACTGTTTTTGTAGTATTTCCAAGCGGATATTTAGAGCGCCTTGAAGCCTATGCTAGAAATGGAAATATCTCCCCATAAAACCAAGACAGAAGCAATCTCAGAAACTAATGTGTGATGGCTGCATTCCACACACACGGTGGACCATTTCTCTTGATAGAGCAGTTTTGAAACACTCTTTCTGTAGAATCTGCAAGTGGATAATTGGACCTCCTAGAGGCCTTCGTTGGAAACGGGATTTCTTCATCTAAACCTACAGAGAAGAATTCTCAGTAACTTCTTCGATGTGTGCATTCGACTCACAGAATGGAACATTCCCTTTGATAGAGCAGTTTTGAGACACCGTTTTTGTAGAATTCCCAAGTGGATATTTAGAGCACTTTGAAGTCTCTGCTAGAAAAGGAAACATCTTCATGTAAAAAGTAGATAGAATCGTTCTCAGAAAGTGCTTAGTGACGTGTGTGTTCAACTCACAGAGTTTATCGTTTCTTTTGATAGAGCGTTTCTGAAACACCCTTCTTGTAGTAGCTGCAAGTGGATATTTGGACCTATTTGAGGCCTTCTTTGGAAACGGGATTTCTTCATGTAACTCTAGATTGAAGAATTTTCAGAAACTCCTTTGTGATGTGTGCATTCAATTCAAAGAGTGAAACGTCCCTTTTCACAGAGCAGTTTTGAAACACTGTTTTTGTAGGATTTCCAAGGGGATATTTATAGCGCATTGATACCTATGGCAGAAAAAGAAACATCTTCCTATAAAAACTAGACAGAATAATTCTCAGAATCTGCTTTGCGATGTGTGCGTTCATCTCACAGAGTAAAACTTTTCTTTTGATAGAGCAGTTTTGAAACACTCTTTTTGTAGTATTTGCATGTGTATATTTAGAGCGCATTGAAGCCCACAGTAGAAAAGGAAATAACTTCACCTAAAACCTAGACAGAAGCAATCTCAGAAACTACTTTGTGATGTGTACATTCAACTCACAGAGTGGAACTTTCCTCTTTATAGAGCAGTGTTGAAACACTCTTTTTGTAGAAACTGCAAGTGGATATTTGGACCTCTTTGAGGCCTTCGTTGGAAACGGGATTTCTTCCTATAACCCTAGACAGAAGAATTTTCAGAAACCTCATTGTGATGTGTGCGTTCATCTCACAGAGTGGAGTCTTCCGTTTGATAGAGAAGTTTTGAAACCCTGTTCTTGTAGGATTTCCAAGTGGATATTTAGACCACTTTGAAGCCTATGATAGAAAAGGAAACATCTTCATGGAAAACATAGATAGAATCATTCTCAGAAACAACTTTGTGATGTGTGCATTGAACTCGCCGTCTTTAACCTTTCTTTTGGTAGAGAAGTTTTGAAACACTCTCTTTGTAAAGTCTACAAGTGGATATTTTGAGCCCTTGGAGGCATTCTTTGGAAAAGGGAATGTCTTCACATAAAAGGCAGACAGAAGTGTTCTCAGAAACTGCTTTGTGATGTCTGTGTTCAACTCACAGAGTTTAACATTTCCTTTGAGAGAGCGGTTTAGTAACACTCTCTTTGTAGAATTTGGAAGTGTATACTAAGAGCGCTTTGAGGCCTATGGTAGAAAAGGAAATATCTTTCCATAAAAGCTAGACAGAAGCAATCTCAGAAACTCCTTTGTGATGTCTGCATTCAACTCACCGAGTGGAACATTCCTCTTGATAGAGCAGTTTGGAAACACTCTTTCTGTAGAATCAGCTTGTTTGTATTTGGACCTCCTTGAGGCCTTCGTTGGAAACGGGTTTTCATCTTATAAACCCAGACAGAAGAATTCTCAGAGTCTTCTTTGTGATGTGTGCTTTCAACTCACCGAGATAAAGATTTCTCTTGATAGAGCAATTTGGAAACACTCTTTTTGTAGAATTTGCAAGGGTACATTGAGAGCGCTTTCAGGCCTATGGTAGAAAAGGTAGACAGAAGCAATCTCAGAAACTACTTTGTGATGTGTGCATTCAACTCACCGAGTGCAACATTCCTCTTGATAGAGCAGTTTGGAAACATTGTTTCTGTAGAATCTGCAAGTGGATATATGGACCGCTTTGAGGCCTTCGTTGGAAACGGGATTTCTTCCTATAAACCCAGACAGAAGAATTCTCAGAGATTTCTTTGTGATGTGTGAATTCAACTCACAGTGTGGATCCTTCCTTTTGATAGAGCAGTTTTGAAACACTGTTTTTGTAGTATTTCCAAGCGGATATTTGGAACGCCTTGAAGCGTATGGTAGAAAAGGAAATATCTTCCCATAAAACCTAGACAGAACCCATCTCAGAAACGACTTTGTGATGTCTGCATTCAACTCACAGAGTTGAACATTTCTCTTGATAGAGCAGTTTTGAAACCCTCTTTCTGAAGGATCTGCAAGTGGATATCTGGAACTCCTTTGGGTCTTCGTTGGAAACGGGATTTCTTCGTATAAATCCAGACAGAAGAATTCTCCGAAACTTCTTTGGTTGTGTGCATTCAAGTCACAGAGTGGAACCTTCCTTTGGATAGAGCAGTTTGAAACGCTGTGGTTGTAGTATTCCCAAGCGGATATTAGAGCGCCTTGAGGCCTATGGTAGAAAAGGAAATATCTTCCCATAAAACCTAGACGGAAGCAATCTCAGAAACTACTGTGTGATGGCTGCATTCCACACACACGGTGGAACATTTCTCTTGATAGAGCAGTTTTGAAACACTCTTTCTGTAGAATCTGCAAGTGGATAATTGGACCGCCTTGAGGCCTTCGTTGGAAACGGGATTTCTTCATGTTACTCTAGACAGAAGAATTCTCAAACACTGCTATGTGATGTTTGCATGCAAGTCACAGAGTGCAACATTCCTCTTGATAGAGCAGTTGGGAAACACTCCTTTTGTAGAATTTGCAATGGGATATTTGGACTTCTTTGAGGCCTTCGTTGGAAACGGGATTTCTTCGTATGAATCTAGACAGAAGAATTCTCAGAAACTTCCTTGTGATGTGTGCATTCAACTCAGCGAGTGGCACCTTCCTTTGGATACAGCAGTTTTGAAACACTGTTTTTGTAGTATTTCCAAGCGGATATTTAGAGCGCCTTGAAGCCTATGCTAGAAATGGAAATATCTCCCCATAAAACCAAGACAGAAGCAATCTCAGAAACTAATGTGTGATGGCTGCATTCCACACACACGGTGGACCATTTCTCTTGATAGAGCAGTTTTGAAACACTCTTTCTGTAGAATCTGCAAGTGGATAATTGGACCTCCTAGAGGCCTTCGTTGGAAACGGGATTTCTTCATCTAAACCTACAGAGAAGAATTCTCAGTAACTTCTTCGGATGTGTGCATTCGACTCACAGAATGGAACATTCCCTTTGATAGAGCAGTTTTGAGACACCGTTTTTGTAGAATTCCCAAGTGGATATTTAGAGCACTTTGAAGTCTCTGCTAGAAAAGGAAACATCTTCATGTAAAAAGTAGATAGAATCGTTCTCAGAAAGTGCTTAGTGACGTGTGCGTTCAACTCACAGAGTTTAACGTTTCTTTTGATAGAGCGTTTCTGAAACACCCTTCTTGTAGTAGCTGCAAGTGGATATTTGGACCTATTTGAGGCCTTCTTTGGAAACGGGATTTCTTCATGTAACTCTAGATTGAAGAATTTTCAGAAACTCCTTTGTGATGTGTGCATTCAATTCAAAGAGTGAAACCTCCCTTTTCACAGAGCAGTTTTGAAACACTGTTTTTGTAGGATTTCCAAGGGGATATTTATAGCGCATTGAGCCTATGGCAGAAAAAGAAACATCTTCCTATAAAAACTAGACAGAATAATTCTCAGAATCTGCTTTGCGATGTGTGCGTTCATCTCACAGAGTAAAACTTTTCTTTTGATAGAGCAGTTTTGAAACACTCTTTTTGTAGTATTTGCATGTGTATATTTAGAGCGCATTGAAGCACACAGTAGAAAAGGAAATAACTTCACCTAAAACCTAGACAGAAGCAATCTCAGAAACTACTTTGTGATGTGTACATTCAACTCACAGAGTGGAACTTTCCTCTTTATAGAGCAGTGTTGAAACACTCTTTTTGTAGAAACTGCAAGTGGATATTTGGACCTCTTTGAGGCCTTCGTTGGAAACGGGATTTCTTCCTATAACCCTAGACAGAAGAATTTTCAGAAACCTCATTGTGATGTGTGCGTTCATCTCACAGAGTGGAGTCTTCCGTTTGATAGAGAAGTTTTGAAACCCTGTTCTTGTAGGATTTCCAAGTGGATATTTAGACCACTTTGAAGCCTATGATAGAAAAGGAAACATCTTCATGGAAAACATAGATAGAATCATTCTCAGAAACAACTTTGTGATGTGTGCGTTGAACTCACCGTCTTTAACCTTTCTTTTGGTAGAGAAGTTTTGAAACACTCTCTTTGTAAAGTCTACAAGTGGATATTTTGAGCCCTTGGAGGCATTCTTTGGAAAAGGGAATGTCTTCACATAAAAGGCAGACAGAAGTGTTCTCAGAAACTGCTTTGTGATGTCTGTGTTCAACTCACAGAGTTTAACATTTCCTTTGAGAGAGCGGTTTAGTAACACTCTCTTTGTAGAATTTGGAAGTGTATACTAAGAGCGCTTTGAGGCCTATGGTAGAAAAGGAAATATCTTTCCATAAAAGCTAGACAGAAGCAATCTCAGAAACTCCTTTGTGATGTCTGCATTCAACTCACCGAGTGGAACATTCCTCTTGATAGAGCAGTTTGGAAACACTCTTTCTGTAGAATCAGCTTGTTTGTATTTGGACCTCCTTGAGGCCTTCGTTGGAAACGGGTTTTCATCTTATAAACCCAGACAGAAGAATTCTCAGAGTCTTCTTTGTGATGTGTGCTTTCAACTCACCGAGTATAAAGATTTCTCTTGATAGAGCAATTTGGAAACACTCTTTTTGTAGAATTTGCAAGGGTACATTGAGAGCGCTTTCAGGCCTATGGTAGAAAAGGGAATATCTTTCCATAAAAGGTAGACAGAAGCAATCTCAGAAACTACTTTGTGATGTGTGCATTCAACTCACCGAGTGCAACATTCCTCTTGACCGAGCAGTTTGGAAACATTGTTTCTGTAGAATCTGCAAGTGGATATTTGGACCTCTTTGAGGCCTTCGTTGGAAACGGGATTTCTTCCTATAAACCCAGACAGAAGAATTCTCAGAGACTTCTTTGTGATGTGTGAATTCAACTCACAGTGTGGATCCTTCCTTTTGATAGAGCAGTTTTGAAACACTGTTTTTGTAGTATTTCCAAGCGGATATTTGGAACGCCTTGAAGCGTATGGTAGAAAAGGAAATATCTTCCCATAAAACCTAGACAGAACCAATCTCAGAAACGACTTTGTGATGTCTGCATTCAACTCACAGAGTTGAACATTTCTCTTGATAGAGCAGTTTTGAAACCCTCTTTCTGAAGGATCTGCAAGTGGATATTTGGAACTCCTTTGGGTCTTCGTTGGAAACGGGATTTCTTCGTATAAATCTAGACAGAAGAATTCTCCGAAACTTCTTTGGTTGTGTGCATTCAAGTCACAGAGTGGAACCTTCCTTTGGATAGAGCAGTTTGAAACGCTGTGGTTGTAGTATTTCCAAGCGGATATTAGAGCGCCTTGAAGCCTATGGTAGAAAAGGAAATATTTTCCCATAAAACCTAGACGGAAGCAATCTCAGAAACTACTGTGTGATGGCTGCATTGCACACACACGGTGGAACATTTCTCTTGATAGAGCAGTTTTGAAACACTCTTTCTGTAGAATCTGCAAGTGGATAATTGGACCGCCTTGAGGCCTTCGTTGGAAACGGGATTTCTTCATGTTACTCTAGACAGAAGAATTCTCAAACACTGCTATGTGATGTTTGCATTCAAGTCACAGAGTGCAACATTCCTCTTGATAGAGCAGTTGGGAAACACTCCTTTTGTAGAATTTGCAATGGGATATTTGGACTTCTTTGAGGCCTTCGTTGGAAACGGGATTTCTTCGTATGAATCTAGACAGAAGAATTCTCAGAAACTTCCTTGTGATGTGTGCATTCAACTCAGCGAGTGGCACCTTCCTTTGGATACAGCAGTTTTGAAACACTGTTTTTGTAGTATTTCCAAGCGGATATTTAGAGCGCCTTGAAGCCTATGCTAGAAATGGAAATATCTCCCCATAAAACCAAGACAGAAGCAATCTCAGAAACTAATGTGTGATGGCTGCATTCCACACACACGGTGGACCATTTCTCTTGATAGAGCAGTTTTGAAACACTCTTTCTGTAGAATCTGCAAGTGGATAATTGGACCTCCTAGAGGCCTTCGTTGGAAACGGGATTTCTTCATCTAAACCTACAGAGAAGAATTCTCAGTAACTTCTTCGGATGTGTGCATTCGACTCACAGAATGGAACATTCCCTTTGATAGAGCAGTTTTGAGACACCGTTTTTGTAGAATTCCCAAGTGGATATTTAGAGCACTTTGAAGTCTCTGCTAGAAAAGGAAACATCTTCATGTAAAAAGTAGATAGAATCGTTCTCAGAAAGTGCTTAGTGACGTGTGTGTTCAACTCACAGAGTTTATCGTTTCTTTTGATAGAGCGTTTCTGAAACACCCTTCTTGTAGTAGCTGCAAGTGGATATTTGGACCTATTTGAGGCCTTCTTTGGAAACGGGATTTCTTCATGTAACTCTAGATTGAAGAATTTTCAGAAACTCCTTTGTGATGTGTGCATTCAATTCAAAGAGTGAAACCTCCCTTTTCACAGAGCAGTTTTGAAACACTGTTTTTGTAGGATTTCCAAGGGGATATTTATAGCGCATTGATCCTATGGCAGAAAAAGAAACATCTTCCTATAAAAACTAGACAGAATAATTCTCAGAATCTGCTTTGCGATGTGTGCGTTCAACTCACAGAGTAAAACTTTTCTTTTGATAGAGCAGTTTTGAAACACTCTTTTTGTAGTATTTGCATGTGTATATTTAGAGCGCATTGAAGCCCACAGTAGAAAAGGAAATAACTTCACCTAAAACCTAGACAGAAGCAATCTCAGAAACTACTTTGTGATGTGTACATTCAACTCACAGAGTGGAACTTTCCTCTTTATAGAGCAGTGTTGAAACACTCTTTTTGTAGAAACTGCAAGTGGATATTTGGACCTCTTTGAGGCCTTCGTTGGAAACGGGATTTCTTCCTATAACCCTAGACAGAAGAATTTTCAGAAACCTCATTGTGATGTGTGCGTTCATCTCACAGAGTGGAGTCTTCCGTTTGATAGAGAAGTTTTGAAACCCTGTTCTTGTAGGATTTCCAAGTGGATATTTAGACCACTTTGAAGCCTATGATAGAAAAGGAAACATCTTCATGGAAAACATAGATAGAATCATTCTCAGAAACAATTTTGTGATGTGTGCGTTGAACTCACCGTCTTTAACCTTTCTTTTGGTAGAGAAGTTTTGAAACACTCTCTTTGTAAAGTCTACAAGTGGATATTTTGAGCCCTTGGAGGCATTCTTTGGAAAAGGGAATGTCTTCACATAAAAGGCAGACAGAAGTGTTCTCAGAAACTGCTTTGTGATGTCTGTGTTCAACTCACAGAGTTTAACATTTCCTTTGAGAGAGCGGTTTAGTAACACTCTCTTTGTAGAATTTGGAAGTGTATACTAAGAGCGCTTTGAGGCCTATGGTAGAAAAGGAAATATCTTTCCATAAAAGCTAGACAGAAGCAATCTCAGAAACTCCTTTGTGATGTCTGCATTCAACTCACCGAGTGGAACATTCCTCTTGATAGAGCAGTTTGGAAACACTCTTTCTGTAGAATCAGCTTGTTTGTATTTGGACCTCCTTGAGGCCTTCGTTGGAAACGGGTTTTCATCTTATAAACCCAGACAGAAGAATTCTCAGAGTCTTCTTTGTGATGTGTGCTTTCAACTCACCGAGATAAAGATTTCTCTTGATAGAGCAATTTGGAAACACTCTTTTTGTAGAATTTGCAAGGGTACATTGAGAGCGCTTTCAGGCCTATGGTAGAAAAGGGAATATCTTTCCATAAAAGGTAGACAGAAGCAATCTCAGAAACTACTTTGTGATGTGTGCATTCAACTCACCGAGTGCAACATTCCTCTTGACCGAGCAGTTTGGAAACATTGTTTCTGTAGAATCTGCAAGTGGATATTTGGACCTCTTTGAGGCCTTCGTTGGAAACGGGATTTCTTCCTATAAACCCAGACAGAAGAATTCTCAGAGACTTCTTTGTGATGTGTGAATTCAACTCACAGTGTGGATCCTTCCTTTTGATAGAGCAGTTTTGAAACACTGTTTTTGTAGTATTTCCAAGCGGATATTTGGAACGCCTTGAAGCGTATGGTAGAAAAGGAAATATCTTCCCATAAAACCTAGACAGAACCAATCTCAGAAACGACTTTGTGATGTCTGCATTCAACTCACAGAGTTGAACATTTCTCTTGATAGAGCAGTTTTGAAACCCTCTTTCTGAAGGATCTGCAAGTGGATATTTGGAACTCCTTTGGGTCTTCGTTGGAAACGGGATTTCTTCGTATAAATCCAGACAGAAGAATTCTCCGAAACTTCTTTGGTTGTGTGCATTCAAGTCACAGAGTGGAACCTTCCTTTGGATAGAGCAGTTTGAAACGCTGTGGTTGTAGTATTTCCAAGCGGATATTAGAGCGCCTTGAGGCCTATGGTAGAAAAGGAAATATCTTCCCATAAAACCTAGACGGAAGCAATCTCAGAAACTACTGAGTGATGGCTGCATTCCACACACACGGTGGAACATTTCTCTTGATAGAACAGTTTTGAAACACTCTTTCTGTAGAATCTGCAAGTGGATAATTGGACCGCCTTGAGGCCTTCGTTGGAAACGGGATTTCTTCATGTTACTCTAGACAGAAGAATTCTCAAACACTGCTATGTGATGTTTGCATTCAAGTCACAGAGTGCAACATTCCTCTTGATAGAGCAGTTGGGAAACACTCCTTTTGTAGAATTTGCAATGGGATATTTGGACTTCTTTGAGGCCTTTGTTGGAAACGGGATTTCTTCGTATGAATCTAGACAGAAGAATTCTCAGAAACTTCCTTGTGATGTGTGCATTCAACTCAGCGAGTGGCACCTTCCTTTGGATACAGCAGTTTTGAAACCCTGTTTTTGTACTATTTCCAAGCAGATATTTAGAGCGCCTTGAAGCCTATGCTAGAAATGGAAATATCTCCCCATAAAACCAAGACAGAAGCAATCTCAGAAACTAATGTGTGATGGCTGCATTCCACACACACGGTGGACCATTTCTCTTGATAGAGCAGTTTTGAAACACTCTTTCTGTAGAAATTGCAAGTGGATAATTGGACCTCCTAGAGGCCTTCGTTGGAAACGGGATTTCTTCATCTAAACCTACAGAGAAGAATTCTCAGTAACTTCTTCGGATGTGTGCATTCGACTCACAGAATGGAACATTCCCTTTGATAGAGCAGTTTTGAGACACCGTTTTTGTAGAATTCCCAAGTGGATATGTAGAGCACTTTGAAGTCTCTGCTAGAAAAGGAAACATCTTCATGTAAAAAGTAGATAGAATCGTTCTCAGAAAGTGCTTAGTGACGTGTGTGTTCAACTCAAAGAGTTTAACGTTTCTTTTGATAGAGCGTTTCTGAAACACCCTGCTTGTAGTAGCTGCAAGTGGATATTTGGACCTATTTGAGGCCTTCTTTGGAAACGGGATTTCTTCATGTAACTCTAGATTGAAGAATTTTCAGAAACTCCTTTGTGATGTGTGCATTCAATTCAAAGAGTGAAACCTCCCTTTCCACAGAGCAGTTTTGAAACACTGTTTTTGTAGGATTTCCAAGGGGATATTTATAGCGCATTGAGCCTACGGCAGAAAAAGAAACATCTTCCTATAAAAACTAGACAGAATAATTCTCAGAATCTGCTTTGCGATGTGTGCGTTCAACCCACAGAGTAAAACTTTTCTTTTGATAGAGCAGTTTTGAAACACTCTTTTTGTAGTATTTGCATGTGTATATTTAGAGCGCATTGAAGCCCACAGTAGAATAGGAAATAACTTCACCTAAAACCTAGACAGAAGCAATCTCAGAAACTACTTTGTGATGTGTACATTCAACTCACAGAGTGGAACTTTCCTCTTTATAGAGCAGTGTTGAAACACTCTTTTTGTAGAAACTGCAAGTGGATATTTGGACCTCTTTGAGGCCTTCGTTGGAAACGGGATTTCTTCCTATAACCCTAGACAGAAGAATTTTCAGAAACCTCATTGTGATGTGTGCGTTCATCTCACAGAGTGGAGTCTTCCGTTTGATAGAGAAGTTTTGAAACCCTGTTCTTGTAGGATTTCCAAGTGGATATTTAGACCACTTTGAAGCCTATGATAGAAAAGGAAACATCTTCATGGAAAACATAGATAGAATCATTCTCAGAAACAACTTTGTGATGTGTGCGTTGAACTCACCGTCTTTAACCTTTCTTTTGGTAGAGAAGTTTTGAAACACTCTCTTTGTAAAGTCTACAAGTGGATATTTTGAGCCCTTGGAGGCATTCTTTGGAAAAGGGAATGTCTTCACATAAAAGGCAGACAGAAGTGTTCTCAGAAACTGCTTTGTGATGTCTGTGTTCAACTCACAGAGTTTAACATTTCCTTTGAGAGAGCGGTTTAGTAACACTCTCTTTGTAGAATTTGGAAGTGTATACTAAGAGCGCTTTGAGGCCTATGGTAGAAAAGGAAATATCTTTCCATAAAAGCTAGACAGAAGCAATCTCAGAAACTCCTTTGTGATGTCTGCATTCAACTCACCGAGTGGAACATTCCTCTTGATAGAGCAGTTTGGAAACACTCTTTCTGTAGAATCAGCTTGTTTGTATTTGGACCTCCTTGAGGCCTTCGTTGGAAACGGGTTTTCATCTTATAAACCCAGACAGAAGAATTCTCAGAGTCTTCTTTGTGATGTGTGCTTTCAACTCACCGAGATAAAGATTTCTCTTGATAGAGCAATTTGGAAACACTCTTTTTGTAGAATTTGCAAGGGTACATTGAGAGCGCTTTCAGGCCTATGGTAGAAAAGGGAATATCTTTCCATAAAAGGTAGACAGAAGCAATCTCAGAAACTACTTTGTGATGTGTGCATTCAACTCACCGAGTGCAACATTCCTCTTGATAGAGCAGTTTGGAAACATTGTTTCTGTAGAATCTGCAAGTGGATATATGGACCGCTTTGAGGCCTTCGTTGGAAACGGGATTTCTTCCTATAAACCCAGACAGAAGAATTCTCAGAGATTTCTTTGTGATGTGTGAATTCAACTCACAGTGTGGATCCTTCCTTTTGATAGAGCAGTTTTGAAACACCGCTTTTGTAGTATTTCCAAGCGGATATTTGGAACGCCTTGAAGCGTATGGTAGAAAAGGAAATATCTTCCCATAAAACCTAGACAGAACCCATCTCAGAAACGACTTTGTGATGTCTGCATTCAACTCACAGAGTTGAACATTTCTCTTGATAGAGCAGTTTTGAAACCCTCTTTCTGAAGGATCTGCAAGTGGATATTTGGAACTCCTTTGGGTCTTCGTTGGAAACGGGATTTCTTCGTATAAATCCAGACAGAAGAATTCTCCGAAACTTCTTTGGTTGTGTGCATTCAAGTCACAGAGTGGAACCTTCCTTTGGATAGAGCAGTTTGAAACGCTGTGGTTGTAGTATTTCCAAGCGGATATTAGAGCGCCTTGAGGCCTATGGTAGAAAAGGAAATATCTTCCCATAAAATCTAGACGGAAGCAATCTCAGAAACTACTGTGTGATGACTGCATTCCACACACACGGTGGAACATTTCTCTTGATAGAGCAGTTTTGAAACACTCTTTCTGTAGAATCTGCAAGTGGATAATTGGACGGCCTTGAGGCCTTCGTTGGAAACGGGATTTCTTCATGTTACTCTAGACAGAAGAATTCTCAAACACTGCTATGTGATGTTTGCATTCAAGTCACAGAGTGCAACATTCCTCTTGATAGAGCAGTTGGGAAACACTCCTTTTGTAGAATTTGCAATGGGATATTTGGACTTCTTTGAGGCCTTCGTTGGAAACGGGATTTCTTCGTATGAATCTAGACAGAAGAATTCTCAGAAACTTCCTTGTGATGTGTGCATTCAACTCAGCGAGTGGCACCTTCCTTTGGATACAGCAGTTTTGAAACACCGTTTTTGTACTATTTCCAAGCGGATATTTAGAGCGCCTTGAAGCCTATGCTAGAAATGGAAATATCTCCCCATAAAACCAAGACAGAAGCAATCTCAGAAACTAATATGTGATGGCTGCATTCCACACACACGGTGGACCATTTCTCTTGATAGAGCAGTTTTGAAACACTCTTTCTGTAGAATCTGCAAGTGGATAATTGGACCTCCTAGAGGCCTTAGTTGGAAACGGGATTTCTTCATCTAAACCTACAGAGAAGAATTCTCAGTAACTTCTTCGGATGTGTGCATTCGACTCACAGAATGGAACATTCCCTTTGATAGAGCAGTTTTGAGACACCGTTTTTGTAGAATTCCCAAGTGGATATTTAGAGCACTTTGAAGTCTCTGCTAGAAAAGGAAACATCTTCATGTAAAAAGTAGATAGAATCGTTCTCAGAAAGTGCTTAGTGACGTGTGTGTTCAACTCACAGAGTTTAACGTTTCTTTTGATAGAGCGTTTCTGAAACACCCTTCTTGTAGTAGCTGCAAGTGGATATTTGGACCTATTTGAGGCCTTCTTTGGAAACGGGATTTCTTCATGTAACTCTAGTTTGAAGAATTTTCAGAAACTCCTTTGTGATGTGTGCATTCAATTCAAAGAGTGAAACCTCCCTTTTCACAGAGCAGTTTTGAAACACTGTTTTTGTAGGATTTCCAAGGGGATATTTATAGCGCATTGAGCCTATGGCAGAAAAAGAAACATCTTCCTATAAAAACTAGACAGAATAATTCTCAGAATCTGCTTTGCGATGTGTGCGTTCAACTCACAGAGTAAAACTTTTCTTTTGATAGAGCAGTTTTGAAACACTCTTTTTGTAGTATTTGCATGTGTATATTTAGAGTGCATTGAAGCCCACAGTAGAAAAGGAAATAACTTCACCTAAAACCTAGACAGAAGCAATCTCAGAAACTACTTTGTGATGTGTACATTCAACTCACAGAGTGGAACTTTTCTCTTTATAGAGCAGTGTTGAAACACTCTTTTTGTAGAAACTGCAAGTGGATATTTGGACCTCTTTGAGGCCTTCGTTGGAAACGGGATTTCTTCCTATAACCCTAGACAGAAGAATTTTCAGAAACCTCATTGTGATGTGTGCGTTCATCTCACAGAGTGGAGTCTTCCGTTTGATAGAGAAGTTTTGAAACCCTGTTCTTGTAGGATTTCCAAGTGGATATTTAGACCACTTTGAAGCCTATGATAGAAAAGGAAACATCTTCATGGGAAAACATAGATAGAATCATTCTCAGAAACAACTTTGTGATGTGTGCGTTGAACTCACCGTCTTTAACCTTTCTTTTGGTAGAGAAGTTTTGAAACACTCTCTTTGTAAAGTCTACAAGTGGATATTTTGAGCCCTTGGAGGCATTCTTTGGAAAAGGGAATGTCTTCACATAAAAGGCAGACAGAAGTGTTCTCAGAAACTGCTTTGTGATGTCTGTGTTCAACTCACAGAGTTTAACATTTCCTTTGAGAGAGCGGTTTAGTAACACTCTCTTTGTAGAATTTGGAAGTGTATACTAAGAGCGCTTTGAGGCCTATGGTAGAAAAGGAAATATCTTTCCATAAAAGCTAGACAGAAGCAATCTCAGAAACTCCTTTGTGATGTCTGCATTCAACTCACCGAGTGGAACATTCCTCTTGATAGAGCAGTTTGGAAACACTCTTTCTGTAGAATCAGCTTGTTTGTATTTGGACCTCCTTGAGGCCTTCGTTGGAAACGGGTTTTCATCTTATAAACCCAGACAGAAGAATTCTCAGAGTCTTCTTTGTGATGTGTGCTTTCAACTCACCGAGATAAAGATTTCTCTTGATAGAGCAATTTGGAAACACTCTTTTTGTAGAATTTGCAAGGGTACATTGAGAGCGCTTTCAGGCCTATGGTAGAAATGGGAATATCTTTCCATAAAAGGTAGACAGAAGCAATCTCAGAAACTACTTTGTGATGTGTGCATTCAACTCACCGAGTGCAACATTCCTCTTGACCGAGCAGTTTGGAAACATTGTTTCTGTAGAATCTGCAAGCGGATATTTGGACCTCTTTGAGGCCTTCGTTGGAAACGGGATTTCTTCCTATAAACCCAGACAGAAGAATTCTCAGAGACTTCTTTGTGATGTGTGAATTCAACTCACAGTGTGGATCCTTCCTTTTGATAGAGCAGTTTTGAAACACTGTTTTTGTAGTATTTCCAAGCGGATATTTGGAACGCCTTGAAGCGTATGGTAGAAAAGGAAATATCTTCCCATAAAACCTAGACAGAACCAGTCTCAGAAACGACTTTGTGATGTCTGCATTCAACTCACAGAGTTGAACATTTCTCTTGATAGAGCAGTTTTGAAACCCTCTTTCTGAAGGATCTGCAAGTGGATATTTGGAATTCCTTTGGGTCTTCGTTGGAAACGGGATTTCTTCGTATAAATCCAGACAGAAGAATTCTCCGAAACTTCTTTGGTTGTGTGCATTCAAGTCACAGAGTGGAACCTTCCTTTGGATAGAGCAGTTTGAAACGCTGTGGTTGTAGTATTTCCAAGCGGATATTAGAGCGCCTTGAGGCCTATGGTAGAAAAGGAAATATCTTCCCATAAAACCTAGACGGAAGCAATCTCAGAAACTACTGTGTGATGGCTGCATTCCACACACACGGTGGAACATTTCTCTTGATAGAGCAGTTTTGAAACACTCTTTCTGTAGAATCTGCAAGTGGATAATTGGACCGCCTTGAGGCCTTCGTTGGAAACGGGATTTCTTCATGTTACTCTAGACAGAAGAATTCTCAAACACTGCTGTGTGATGTTTGCATGCAAGTCACAGAGTGCAACATTCCTCTTGATAGAGCAGTTGGGAAACACTCCTTTTGTAGAATTTGCAATGGGATATTTGGACTTCTTTGAGGCCTTCGTTGGAAACGGGATTTCTTCGTATGAATCTAGACAGAAGAATTCTCAGAAACTTCCTTGTGATGTGTGCATTCAACTCAGCGAGTGGCACCTTCCTTTGGATACAGCAGTTTTGAAACACTGTTTTTGTAGTATTTCCAAGCGGATATTTAGAGCGCCTTGAAGCCTATGCTAGAAATGGAAATATCTCCCCATAAAACCAAGACAGAAGCAATCTCAGAAACTAATGTGTGATGGCTGCATTCCACACACACGGTGGACCATTTCTCTTGATAGAGCAGTTTTGAAACACTCTTTCTGTAGAATCTGCAAGTGGATAATTGGACCTCCTAGAGGCCTTCGTTGGAAACGGGATTTCTTCATCTAAACCTACAGAGAAGAATTCTCAGTAACTTCTTCGGATGTGTGCATTCGACTCACAGAATGGAACATTCCCTTTGATAGAGCAGTTTTGAGACACCGTTTTTGTAGAATTCCCAAGTGGATATTTAGAGCACTTTGAAGTCTCTGCTAGAAAAGGAAACATCTTCATGTAAAAAGTAGATAGAATCGTTCTCAGAAAGTGCTTAGTGGCGTGTGTGTTCAACTCACAGAGTTTAACGTTTCTTTTGATAGAGCATTTCTGAAACACCCTTCTTGTAGTAACTGCAAGTGGATATTTGGACCTATTTGAGGCCTTCTTTGGAAACGGGATTTCTTCATGTAACTCTAGATTGAAGAATTTTCAGAAACTCCTTTGTGATGTGTGCATTCAATTCAAAGAGTGAAACGTCCCTTTTCACAGAGCAGTTTTGAAACACTGTTTTTGTAGGATTTCCAAGGGGATATTTATAGCGCATTGATACCTATGGCAGAAAAAGAAACATCTTCCTATAAAAACTAGACAGAATAATTCTCAGAATCTGCTTTGCGATGTGTGCGTTCAACTCACAGAGTAAAACTTTTCTTTTGATAGAGCAGTTTTGAAACACTCTTTTTGTAGTATTTGCATGTGTATATTTAGAGCGCATTGAAGCCCACAGTAGAAAAGGAAATAACTTCACCTAAAACCTAGACAGAAGCAATCTCAGAAACTACTTTGTGATGTGTACATTCAACTCACAGAGTGGAACTTTTCTCTTTATAGAGCAGTGTTGAAACACTCTTTTTGTAGAAACTGCAAGTGGATATTTGGACCTCTTTGAGGCCTTCGTTGGAAACGGGATTTCTTCCTATAACCCTAGACAGAAGAATTTTCAGAAACCTCATTGTGATGTGTGCGTTCATCTCACAGAGTGGAGTCTTCCGTTTGATAGAGAAGTTTTGAAACCCTGTTCTTGTAGGATTTCCAAGTGGATATTTAGACCACTTTGAAGCCTATGATAGAAAAGGAAACATCTTCATGGAAAACATAGATAGAATCATTCTCAGAAACAACTTTGTGATGTGTGCGTTGAACTCACCGTCTTTAACCTTTCTTTTGGTAGAGAAGTTTTGAAACACTCTCTTTGTAAAGTCTACAAGTGGATATTTTGAGCCCTTGGAGGCATTCTTTGGAAAAGGGAATGTCTTCACATAAAAGGCAGACAGAAGTGTTCTCAGAAACTGCTTTGTGATGTCTGTGTTCAACTCACAGAGTTTAACATTTCCTTTGAGAGAGCGGTTTAGTAACACTCTCTTTGTAGAATTTGGAAGTGTATACTAAGAGCGCTTTGAGGCCTATGGTAGAAAAGGAAATATCTTTCCATAAAAGCTAGACAGAAGCAATCTCAGAAACTCCTTTGTGATGTCTGCATTCAACTCACCGAGTGGAACATTCCTCTTGATAGAGCAGTTTGGAAACACTCTTTCTGTAGAATCAGCTTGTTTGTATTTGGACCTCCTTGAGGCCTTCGTTGGAAACGGGTTTTCATCTTATAAACCCAGACAGAAGAATTCTCAGAGTCTTCTTTGTGATGTGTGCTTTCAACTCACCGAGATAAAGATTTCTCTTGATAGAGCAATTTGGAAACACTCTTTTTGTAGAATTTGCAAGGGTACATTGAGAGCGCTTTCAGGCCTATGGTAGAAAAGGGAATATCTTTCCATAAAAGGTAGACAGAAGCAATCTCAGAAACTACTTTGTGATGTGTGCATTCAACTAACCGAGTGCAACATTCCTCTTGATAGAGCAGTTTGGAAACATTGTTTCTGTAGAATCTGCAAGTGGATATATGGACCGCTTTGAGGCCTTCGTTGGAAACGGGATTTCTTCCTATAAACCCAGACAGAAGAATTCTCAGAGATTTCTTTGTGATGTGTGAATTCAACTCACAGTGTGGATCCTTCCTTTTGATAGAGCAGTTTTGAAACACCGTTTTTGTAGTATTTCCAAGCGGATATTTGGAACGCCTTGAAGCGTATGGTAGAAAAGGAAATATCTTCCCATAAAACCTAGACAGAACCAATCTCAGAAACGACTTTGTGATGTCTGCATTCAACTCACAGAGTTGAACATTTCTCTTGATAGAGCAGTTTTGAAACCCTCTTTCTGAAGGATCTGCAAGTGGATATTTGGAACTCCTTTGGGTCTTCGTTGGAAACGGGATTTCTTCGTATAAATCCAGACAGAAGAATTCTCCGAAACTTCTTTGGTTGTGTGCATTCAAGTCACAGAGTGGAACCTTCCTTTGGATAGAGCAGTTTGAAACGCTGTGGTTGTAGTATTTCCAAGCGGATATTAGAGCGCCTTGAGGCCTATGGTAGAAAAGGAAATATCTTCCCATAAAACCTAGACGGAAGCAATCTCAGAAACTACTGTGTGATGGCTGCATTCCACACACACGGTGGAACATTTCTCTTGATAGAGCAGTTTTGAAACACTCTTTCTGTAGAATCTGCAAGTGGATAATTGGACCGCCTTGAGGCCTTCGTTGGAAACGGGATTTCTTCATGTTACTCTAGACAGAAGAATTCTCAAACACTGCTGTGTGATGTTTGCATGCAAGTCACAGAGTGCGACATTCCTCTTGATAGAGCAGTTGGGAAACACTCCTTTTGTAGAATTTGCAATGGGATATTTGGACTTCTTTGAGGCCTTCGTTGGAAACGGGATTTCTTCGTATGAATCTAGACAGAAGAATTCTCAGAAACTTCCTTGTGATGTGTGCATTCAACTCAGCGAGTGGCACCTTCCTTTGGATACAGCAGTTTTGAAACACTGTTTTTGTAGTATTTCCAAGCGGATATTTAGAGCGCCTTGAAGCCTATGCTAGAAATGGAAATATCTCCCCATAAAACCAAGACAGAAGCAATCTCAGAAACTAATGTGTGATGGCTGCATTCCACACACACGGTGGACCATTTCTCTTGATAGAGCAGTTTTGAAACACTCTTTCTGTAGAATCTGCAAGTGGATAATTGGACCTCCTAGAGGCCTTCGTTGGAAACGGGATTTCTTCATCTAAACCTACAGAGAAGAATTCTCAGTAACTTCTTCGGATGTGTGCATTCGACTCACACAATGGAACATTCCGTTTGATAGAGCAGTTTTGAGACACCGTTTTTGTAGAATTCCCAAGTGGATATTTAGAGCACTTTGAAGTCTCTGCTAGAAAAGGAAACATCTTCATGTAAAAAGTAGATAGAATCGTTCTCAGAAAGTGCTTAGTGACGTGTGTGTTCAACTCACAGAGTTTAACGTTTCTTTTGATAGAGCATTTCTGAAACACCCTTCTTGTAGTAGCTGCAAGTGGATATTTGGACCTATTTGAGGCCTTCTTTGGAAACGGGATTTCTTCATGTAACTCTAGATTGAAGAATTTTCAGAAACTCCTTTGTGATGTGTGCATTCAATTCAAAGAGTGAAACCTCCCTTTTCACAGAGCAGTTTTGAAACACTGTTTTTGTAGGACTTCCAAGGGGATATTTATAGCGCATTGATCCTATGGCAGAAAAAGAAACATCTTCCTA